>NC_000016.10:32584180-32899387 GCF_000001405.40 Homo sapiens
GAAGGAGACTATCTGAGAAGCTGCTTTGTGATGTGCACATTCATCTCATGTTGTTAAACCTTTTTTTTTTTTCATTCAGCAGTTTGGAAACACAGTTTTTGTACAATCTCCAAATGCATATTTCAGAGCTCACTGAGGAAAATGGCAAAAAAGCCAATATCCCAAAATATAAAGTAGAAGGAAGCTATCTGAGAAACCACTTTGTGATATGGGCATTCATTTCACCCAGTTAAAACTTTCTTTTGATTGAAGAGTTTGGAAACACTGTTATTGTACATTCTGCGATTGGACATTTCAGAGTGCATTGAGGCATATTGTGAAAAACAAATATCTACTGATAAAAAGTAGAATGAAGCTTTCTGAGAAACTGCTTTGTGATGTGTTCATTCAACTCACATAGTTAAAACTTTCTTATTATTCAGCAGTTTGCAAACACACCTTTGCAGAATCTGAGAAATGATATTTGGGAGTGCATTCAGGCTTACAGTGAAAAAGAAAATATCTTCAGATGAAATCTAGAAGGAAGCTTTGAGAAGTTGCTTTGTGATGTGTGCATTCATCTCACAGAGTTAAACCATTCTTTTGTTTCAACAGTTTAGAAACACTGTTTTTGTCCATTTTGTAAATGGACGTTTGGGAGCTTATTGAGGCCAATGGCAGAAAAGGGAATATCCCAGGATAAAAACTAGAAGGAAGCTATCTGGTAAACCGCTTTGTGATGTGGGCATTCATCTCAAAGAGTTAAACGTTTCTTTTGATTCAACAGTTTGGAAACACACCTTTTGTCCATTCTGCTAATGGCCTTTTCAGAGTGCATTCAGACCTATGGTGAAAAAGAAAATATCTTCAGATAAAAACAAGAAAGAAGCTTTCTGAGAAACTGCTTTGTGATGTGTGCATTCATCTCACAGAGTTGAACATTTCCTTTGATACAGCAGATAGGAAACACTGTTTTTGTCCATTCTGCGAAATGACATTTGGGAGCTCTTTGAGCCCAAAGGCAAAAAAGGAAATATCCCAGGATAAAAACTAGAAGGAAGATATCTGAGACACTGTTTTGTGATATGTGCATTCATCTTGCAGAGTTAAAACTTTCTTTTCATTCAGCAGTTTGGAAACACTGTTTTTTTTGAATTTGTGAAGGGATACTTGAGAGCGCATTGAGACCTATGGTAACAAACAAAATAACTTTAGATAAAATGTAGAAAGAAGCTTTCTGAGAAAGTGCTTTGTGATGTGTACATTCATCTCACAGAGTTAAAACTTTCTTTTGATTCAAGAGTTTGGAAACACTGTTTTTTTTTATTGTTATTTTGCAAATAGTCCTTTTGGAATTCATTGATGCCAGTGGTGAAAAAGGGAATATCCCAGGATAAAAACTGGAAGGAATCAATCTGAAAAAATTGCTTTGTGATGTGTGGATTCATCTCACAGAGTTAAAACTTTGTTTTCATTCGGTAGTTTGAAACTCTGTTTTTGTAGAATCTGCAAAGGGATATTTGGGAGCGTATTGAGGTCCATGGTGAAAAAGAAAATAACTTCAGATAAAAACTAGAAAGAAGCTTTCTGTGAAACTGCTTTGTGATGTGTGCATTCATCTCACAGAGTTGAACCTTTCATTTGATTCAGCAGTTTGGAAACGTTGTTTTTTTCCATTCTGCAAATGGACATTTGGGAGCTGATTGAGGCAAATGGTGAAAAGGGAATATTGCAGTGTAAAAAATAGAAGGAAGCTATCTGAGAAACGGCTTTGTGATGTGTGCATCCATCTCACAGAGTTAAACCTTTCTTTTTCATTGAGTAGTTTGGAAACACTGTTGTCCTGGAATCTTCCAAGGGATATTGGGGGGCATTGAGACCTATGGTGAAAAAGAAAATATCTTCAGATAAAAAATGGAAAGAAGCTTTCCGAGAAACTGCTTTGTGATATGTGAATTCATCTCACAGAGTTAAACCTTTCTTTTGATTCAGCAGTTTGTAAACACTCTGAATGGACATTTTGGAGCTCATTGAGGCCAATGGCTAAAAAGTGAATGCCCAGGATAAAAAGTAGAAGGAAGCTATCTGATAAACCGCTTTGTTATGTGTGCAATCATCTCACAGAGTTAAACCTTTCTTTTGATTCAGCAGTTTGGAAACACCGCTTTTGTCCATTCTGCAAAAGGACATTTGGGAGCTCCTTGTGGCCAAAGGTGAAAAAGCAAATACCCCAGGATTAAAACTAGAAGGAAGATATCTAAGAAAATTCTTTGTGATGTGTGCATTCATCTCACAGAGTTAAACCTTCCTTTTCATTCAGCAGTTTGGAAACACTGTTCTTGTAGAATCTGCAAAAGGATATTTGGCAGCGCTTTGGGGCCTATGGTGGAAAATAAAATATCTTCAGATAAAAACTAGAAAAAAGCTTTCTGAGAAACTGGTTTGTGATGCTTGCATTCATCTCACAGAGTTAATCCCTTCTTTTGATTCAGCAGTTTGGAAACACTGTTTTTGTCCTTTCTACAGATGGACAATTTAGAGCTCATTGAGGCCAATGGCGAAAAAGTGAATATCCCAGGATAAAAACCAGAAGGAAGCTATCTGATAAACCACTGTGTTATGTGTGCAATCATCTCGCACTGTTAAACCTTTCTTTTGATTAAGTAGTTTGGAAAAACTGTTTTTTCATTTCTGCAAATCGACATTTGGGAGCTCTTGGAGGCCAATTGAGGAAAAGCGAATATCCCAGGATAAAAACTGAAAGAAAGGCATGTGAGAAACTGCTTTGTGATGTATGCATTCATCTCGCAGAGTTATACCTTTCTCTTCATTCAACAGTTTGAAAACACAGTTCACAGATAGCTTCTTTCTAGTTTTTACCTTGCGATTTTCTCTTTGTCACCATTGGCCTCAATGAGCTCCCAAATATCCCTTCATAGATTCTACAAAAACAGTGTTTTCAAACTGCTGAATACAAAGAAAGGTTTAACTATATGAAGTGAATGCACACATCAAATATCAGTTTCTCAGAAACCTTCTTTCTAATTTTTATCAAAAGCTATTTTCTTTTTCACCATAGACCTCAATGCACTTAAAAATCTCCATTCGCAGAATGGACAAAAACAGTGTTTCTAAACTGCTGAATCAAAAGAAAGGTTTAACTCAGTGAGATGTATGCACACAAAATAAAGAAGTTTCTCAGAGGGCTTCTTTCTAGTTTTTATCTGATGGTATTTTCTTTTTCACCATATGCCTCAATTCGTTCCCAAATATCCCTTCAGAGATTCCACAATTACAGGGATTCCAAACTGCTGAATGAAACTTTTCCCCACCTTTGTGGTTTTATCTACTTTTGGTCTTTGATGATGGTGATGTACAGATGTGTTTTTGGTGTGGATGTCCTTTCTGTTTGTTAGTTTTCCTTCTAACAGAGAGGACCCTCAGCTGCAGGTCTGTTGGAATACCTTGCTGTGTGAGGTGTCAGTGTGCCCCTGCTGGGGGGTGCCTCCCAGTTAGGCTGCTCGGGGGTCAGGGGTCAGGCACCCACTTGAGGAGGCAGTCTGCACCTTCTCAGATCTCCAGCTGCATACTGGGAGAACCACTGCTCTCTTCAAAGCTGTCAGACAGGGACATTTAATTCTGCAGAGGTTACTGCTGTCTTTTTGTTTGTCTGTGCCCTGCCCCCAGAGGTGGAGCCTACAGAGGCAGGCAGGCCTCCTTGAGCTGTGGTGGGCTCCACCCAGTTGGAGCTTCCCAGCTGCTTTGTTTACCTAAGCAAGCCTGGGCAATGGCGGACGCCCCTCCCCGAGCCTCGCTGCCGCCTTGCAGTTTGATCTCAGACTGCTGTGCTAGCAATCAGTGAGACTCCGTGGGAGTAGGACCCTCCGAGCCAGGTGCGGGATATAATGTCGTGGTGCGCTGTTTTTTAAGCCAGTCCGAAAAGCGCAATATTCGGGTGGGAGTGACCCGGTTTTCCAGGTGCGTCCGTCACCCCTTTCTTTGACTTGGAAAGGGAGCTCCCTGACCCCTTGCACTTCCCAAGTGAGGCAGTGCCTCGCCCTGCTTCGGCTTGTGCATGGTGCGCTCACCCACTGACCTGTGCCCACTGTCTGGCACTCCCTAGTGAGATGAACCTGGTACCTCAGATGGAAATGCAGAAATCACCCGTCTTCTGCATCGCTCACGCTGGAAGCTGTAGACCGGAGCTGTTCTTATTCGGCTATCTTGGCTCCTCCCCCGATTCAGCAGTTTTTAAAGACTATTTGAATAAAATCTGCAAAGGGACATTTGTGGGCTCATTGAGGCTTATGGTGAAAAAGCAAATATCACAAAATAAAAACTGAAAAGAAGCTATCTGTGAAACTGCTTTGTGATGTGTGGATTCATCACACAGAGTTAAACTTTTCTGTTAATTCTGGAGATTGGAAACACTTTTTTTGTTGTTTAAATCTATGAATTGACATTTGGGAGCACATTGAGGCCTATAGTGAGGAAGCAAATATCCCCAGATAAAAACTAGAAAGAAGCCACCAGCTAACCTGATTTGTGACATGTGGATTCATCTCAGAGAGTTAAAATTTTCTTTTGATTAAGTAGTTTTGAAACACTGTTGTTTCAGAGTCCGTGAGAAAACATCTGGGAGCTCTTTGAGGCCTATGGTGAGAAAGCAAATATCCCAAGATAAAAACTAGACAGAAGTTGTCTTTGAAACCGCTTTGTGATGTGTGGATTCTTCTTACAGAACTAAACTTTTCTTTTCATTCAGCAGGTTGGAAACAGTCCTTTTTTAGTATCTGTGAAGGGATGTGTGGAGTCCATTGAGGCCTATGGTGACAAACTGAATATCCCCAGATAAAAACTAGAAATAAGTTATCTGTGAAACTGCTTTGTGACAAGTGGATTCATCTCACACAGTTAAAGCTTTCTTTTGATTCAACAATTAGTAAACACTGTTTTGTTAGATTCTGCGAAGGTATATTTGGGAGCCCATTGAGGCCTATGGTGAAAAAACAAATATCCCCAGATAAAAACTACAAAGCAATTATCTGTGAAGCTGCTTTGTGATATGTGGATTCATCTCACAGAGTTAAACCTGTCTTTTGATTCAGCTGGTTGTAAACAATTCTCTCATAGAATCTGCGAAGGGATGTTTGGGAGTTTGTTGAGGCCTATGGGAAAAAGTGAATATCCCCAGATTACAACTAGAAAGAAGCTATCTATGAAACTGCTTTGTGATGTTTGGATTCATGTCATGGAGTTAAATCTTACTTTTGGTTCAGCAGTTTGGAAACACTGTTTTGTACTATCTATCTGCAAAGGGACATTTTTGCTCATTGAGGGCTTTTTTGACAAAGCAAATATTCCCAGATTAAAAATAGAAAGTTTTCTGTGAAACTGCTTTGTGATGTGTGGATTCATCTGACAGAGTTAAACCTTTCTTTTGATTCAGCACATTGGAAACAGTCCTTTCATGGAATCTGTGAAGGGACATTTGGGACTGCATTGAATCCTATTGTGACAAACTGAATATCTCCAAACAAAAACTAGACAGAAGGTATCTGTGAAACTAGTTTATGATGTTTGGACTCATCTCACAGACTTAAAAGTTTCTTTTGATTCAGCAGTTTGGAAACACTATTTGTGTAGAATCTGTGAAGGGATATTTGGGAGCTCATTAAGGCCTATGTTTAACAAGCAAATAGTTCCAGGTAAAAACTAGAAAGAAGTTATCTGTGAAACTGCTTTGTGATCTGCAGATTCATCTCACAGAGTTAATCCTTTCTTTTGATTCAGCAGTTTGGAAACACTATTTTTGTATAATCTGCAAGGGGACATTCAGCAGTGCCTTGAAGACTATGGTGAAAAAGAGAATATCCACAGATAAAAAATAGAAAGAAACTATCTGTGAAACTGCTTTGTGATGTGTGGATTCATCTCACAGAGTTAAACCTTTCTTTTGGTTCAGCAGTTAGGAAACACTATTTTTGTAGAATCTGCAAAGGGACATTTGGGAGCCCAGGGAGGCCTACAGTTAAAAGGTGAATATCCCCGGATAATAACTAGAAAGAATCTATCTGTGAAACCACTTTGTGATGTGTGGATTTATTTCACAGACTTAAACCTTTCCTTTTATTCAGCAGTTTGGAAACACTGTTTTTGTATAATCTGTGAAGGGACATTTTGGAGCTCATTGAGGCCTATGGTGGAAAAGAAAATATCCCCAGATAAAAACTAGAAAAATGTTGTTTGTGAAACTGCTTTGTGATGTGTTGATTCTTATCACAGAGTTTAAACTTTCTTTTGATTCAGCAGTTACAAAGAGTCCTTTTGTAGAATCTGCAAGGGGACCTTAAATAACTCATGGAGGCCTATGGTGACAAACTGAATATCCCCAGATAAGAAGTAGAAAGAAGCTATTTGTGAAACTGTTTTGTGATGTGTGGATTCATCTCACAGAGTTAAATCTTTCTTTTGATACAGCTGTTTGGAAAAACTTTTTTTAGAATCTGCAAAAAGATATCTAGGAGTGCAATGAGGCCTATAGTGAAAAAGCAAATATCCCCAGACAAAAACTAGAAAGAAACTATCTGTGAAACTGCTTTCTGATGTGTGGACTCATTTCTCAGAGTTAAACCTTTCTTTTGATTCAGCTGTTTGGAAACACTGTTTTTGTGGGATCTGTGAAGGGATATTTGGGAGCCCATTGAGACCAATAGGGAAAAACCAAATATCCACAGATATAAACTAGAAAGAAGCTATCTGTGAAAGTGCTTTGTCTGTGTGGATTCACGTCTCAGAGGTAAACCTTTCTTTGGATTCTACAGATTGACAACAGTCTTTGTGGACAGTCTGCGAAGAAACATTTAAGAGCCCATTGAGGCCAATGAAGAAAAACTGAATATCCGCAGATAAAAACTACAAAAAAAATCTGTGAAACTACTCGATTATGTGTGGATTCATCTCAGAGTTTAACCTTTCTTTAGTTTCAGCAAGTTGGAAGCACTCTTTTTGTAAAATCTGTGAACGGACATTTGGCAGCCCATTGAGGCCAATGGGGAAAAACCGAATATCCCAGTTAAAAACTAGCAGGAATCCATCTGTGAAACTGCTTTGTGATGTGTCAATTAATCTTCCAGAGTTAAATGTTTCTTTTGATTTAGCAGTTTGGAAACCGTATTTTGGAGAATCTGCAAAGGTACATTTTGTAGCCCATTGAGCCCTATTGGGAAAACCAGATATCACCAGGAAAAAAACTAGAAAGAAGCTGTGAAACTGCTTTGTGATGTGTGGATGCATCTCACTGAATTAAACCTTTCTTTTGACCCAGCAGGGTGAAAACACTCTGTTTGCAGAATCTGAGAAGGGACATTTGGGAACCCACTTAGGCCTATGGGGAAAAACTCAATATCCACAGGTAAAACTTAGAAAGAACCTATTTGTGAAACTGCTTTCAGATGTGTGGATGCATCTCACGGAGTTAAACCTTTCTTTTGATCCAGCAGGTTGAAAACACTCTTTTTGCAGAATCTGAGAAGGGACATTTCAGAACCCACTGAGGCCTATGGGAAAAATCTCAATATCTGCAGGTAAAACTTAGAAAGAACCTATTTGTGAAACTGCTTTCAGATGTGTGGATTCATCTCACAGAGATAAAACTTTCTTTTGATTCAGCAGGTTGGAAACACACTTTTTGGAGAATCTGCATAGGAATGTTTTGGAGCACATTGAGGCCTATGTGGCAAAACCTAATATGCACACATAAAACTGAGAAGAAGCTATCTGTGAAACAGCTTTGTGATGTGTGGATTCATCTCACAGAGTGAAACATTTCATTTGATTCAGCAGGTTGGAAATGCTCTTGTTGTAGAGTCTGCGAAAAGACATAAGGGAGCACATTTTCTTCTTTGAAGAAAAATCGAATATCCACAGATAAAAACTAGAAAGAAGATATCTGAGAAACTGCTTTGTAATAAGTGAGTTAATCTCACAGAGTTAAACCTGTCTTCAGATTCAGCAGGCTGGAAACAATCTATTTGGTGAATCTGCAAATTTACATTTGGGAGCCCATTGAGGGTTATCTACTAATAGGTATAATTAATATTAATTCTAATAAGATCCCAGTTATGCTCCCAAAGTAATGCTTTATAACAAGCATCAGTCCTATGTTTTAAAAAAAGAAAAGAAAAGAAAAAAAACATGATCTGAAGTCTGCACACAAGTGTACATCACTTTTTTTGAAGGTAGAGTCTTGATGTTTCCCAAGCTGGCCTCAAACTTCTGGAATCCTCAAGTGATCCTCCTGCCTCAGCCTTCCAAGTAGTTGGGAATACAGGCATGCATCACTGTGCCTTCTTATGCATTTAATACTCTATACAATTATTATTGATTTAAAATGCATTTTACCTTTTTCTTTAATAGATTCTGGGAGTTCTAATGAACCTGCAGTCAGGTAGGATTTTACAGATTTAAAAACTATCTTAACTAAGGAAATATAGATGGAAGAGGTTAATATCTGTTGTGTTGTATTCTGGGCTAAACCCCTATTATGTGCTATGCATTTGTCATCCCATAAAGCCATTGCGACATCTGTGTTCTTATAACCTACTGTTTATTACATAGACAACTGTGGTTTAGAGGTTGATTAATTGGCTCATGATCCCGTAGTTAACAAAGTAGCTGACCCACAGTTAAACCATCAGCCTGTCTGGCTTCCAGATCCCTTATCTTGCTCCTCAACATAGATTGATAGAGATGTGTGCAGCACTTGGATCAAGGTATATGTCTGGATCAGATTAATTTAGACAGTCAAATCTAGTTATATGTTAACTCTCATTTAAGGTTATTGTTAGAAATGTTATTAGTCCAAGAGTTTCTCCTAATAAATTTGACAATTTCAGTGGTAGCCAATATCTTATTTTACCATCAAAGGCTTTAGGGCAAAGTAAAGGTTTGGCCATATGATTATAATTTTACAAAAGCAAGATTAGACAAGTCTTAGAAATTATTTGACTTCCCAGTTTGGTTTTCCCTTTAGGCTAGTATTTCTGCTTACTTCCATAATACTTTTTTTTGGACTTTTTTCTTTTTCCATGACATTTCTATAATCCTGTCTTGATGTTTTAAAACTTCCTTCTCTGCTTTTCTTCGTGTTTCTTTTGTCATATTATTTCTTCAAAATCTGCCAACTGTGTATTCCCAATTTTCTTGTAGACAGAATCAAAAGCACATAGAATTATAGAATTTTAAGGAATCACAGGAACAATTAAAATAACCTCTAGTACTTCAACCTGTGTTAAACCTTCTGGTCAAGTGTTTCTCTAGATAGAGAACATGAGACTCAAAGAGATTAGGATAGTTTTTTTTATATATATAGGAAGTGGCAGAAAGGAGATTTCAACTCATTTTAAAGCTCAGTACTTGTCTTTCTTTTTTTTTAGCCTATTGGCATGTTTTTCTGTTTGTTTTTTGTTTCATTTTGTTTTTTTGAGACGAGCCTCACTCTGCTGCCAAGGCTGGAGTGCAGTGGCACAATCTTGGCTCAATGCAACCTCTGCCACCCGAGTTCAAGCAATTCTCCTGCCTCAGCCTCCTGAGTAGCTGGGATTACATGCACTTGCCACAACATCCAGGTAACATTTGCACTTTAAGTAGAGATGGGGTTTCAGCATCTTGGGCATGCTGGCCTTGAACTCCAGACCTCGATCCACTCATCTCCACCACCCAAAGTGCTGGGATCACAGGCATAGCCATGATGCCTCATTTGGCATGTGTTTTAATAATACAAAGCAGGGCGGGGCACAGTGGCTCACAACTGTATGTCCTCATTTGCATGAGCTAAGTTTTTCATAGCAATCAAAAGCAAAGCTAGTGCAGGTATTTGCAATTTTCCTTAATGTCATCAAGCCCAGGATTTGAGAGCCATTTTCATTGGCCCTAGATGACCTGTTCATATGTGTCTTCATTGTGCCCAGCTCAGAGCTTCAAAGCTGTCTTCATCCAGGCCTGCAAAGGTGTTCACAGTGGTCCTCATCTAAGCCAGCCAAGTTGTTCTCTTCTCATCCACATGAGAGCCAGCCCAGATGTCCATAGCCGTCCTCAACGAGGCCAGCCAGTTAATTCACACTCATGCTTATTGGGGCCATCCACCTTCATAGAGGCCATCCCAGGTATTTACAGCCATCCTCACTAAAGCCAGCCCATGTGTCCACAGCTGTCCTCAGTGGGCATAGCCTGGGTGTTCATAGTTTTCCTCATTGGACTTAATACAGGTGTTCTGAGCAATTCCCATGGTCCCAGGCCAAGTGTTGACAGGTGTCCTCAATGGGGACAGCCCAGATGTTCACCGTTGTCTTAATTAAGCCAAGTGCAGATGCCCATAGCTGCCTCACAGGGCTCAGCCAAAATGAACAAGGCTGTTCTCCTGAGCCCACGCCAGGTATTTACAGCTTTCTGCATTGGGGTCAGCCCAGGTGTTGGTAGCCATACATTCTGGGTGAATCGCAGTTATTCCAAGCGGTTTCCTTGGGCCCAGCCCAGGTGTCTACAGCCATCCTCATTGGTCCAGCACAGGTGTTCAGAGCTATCCTCCTTGGCCCCAGGCCAGATGTTGACACTCGATCTGACTGGTCCCAGACCAGGTCTGCAAAAGCTGTCTTAACTGGGAGCAGCCCATGCTTTCACAGTGGTCTTCACTGGTGTCAGCCAGGTTTCTCAGAACTGTCACTTGGCCAAACATTGGTGTACATTGCCATCCCCATGGAGCACAGCTCAGGTATCCATAGCCGTCCTCACTGGGGCCAGCTGAGGTGTTCCCAGCCAGTCTCATTTGTCTCAGTGCAGGGGTTCACAGCTGTCCTTATTGGCTAAGCCCAGTTGTTCCTTGCAATCATTACATGAGCAAGACCAGGTGTTCATGGCTGTTCTAATTGGGGGCGAGCCCAGGAGTTAATAGTGCTCCTCATCTGGGCCAGCCCAGGCATTCACAGCCATCTTCATCATGATCAGTTTCAAAGCTGTCCTCCTGAGTCCAGCCTGGTTGTTCACTGCTGTTTTTACTGGGCCCAGCCCGGGTTTTCCCAGCTTTCCTCACTTTGGCTAGCACAAGTGTTCACAGCTTTCCTCATTAGGCCCAGGCCATGTGCTCATAGCCATCTTCATCAGGCAAAGCCAAGGTGTTCACAGCCATTTTTTCTGGGTCCAGCCGAAGTCGCCCTCACTTGGGCCCAGCCCAGGTGTTAATAGTCGTCATCAGTGGGATTAACCCAGTTGTTCACAGTGTCTTTCTTGGGCTGAGTTTAAGTGTCGAGAGCCATTCATCTTGGGCCCAGCCAGCTGTTCATAGGAATCCTCATGGGGGCAGGCCCAAGTGCTCACAGTGGCTCTCACTGAAACCAGGGCAGGTGTTTTTGTCTGTGTTCATTGGGTCCAGCCTAGACATTCATAGCTGTGCTCAAGGTGACCAGCCACGATCTTGACAGCTGTCTTCAGGACAGTCGTCCCTGGTGCCACAGCTGTCCTTATTGGCTTAGCCCAAGTGTTCTCAGCTGTTCTCGTTGGAGCCAGGCCAGGTGTTCACAGCTGTCCTTACTGGCCCAGCCCAGGTTTCTGCAGCCACCCTCACTGGGCTCAGCTCAGGGCTTCACAGCTGTTTACTTTGGGCTGAGCCCAAACACTCCAAGCTGTCCTTAGAGGGCCCAGCCAAGGTGTTCACAGCTGTCCTCATTGGTAGCTAGCCTAGGTGTTAGTCCTTGTCCTCAGTGGGCCCAGACCAGTGTTCACAGACATCCTCATTGGGCCAGCCCAGGAGTTCAATGCTGACCTTGCTGGGTCCTGCCTAGCTCTTCATAGCTGTCCTCACTGGGCCCAGGCCAGGTGTTCACAGCCACACCATCAATGTCAGCCCAGGGGTTCACAGCCTTTCTCGTTTGTATGAACTCAGTTTATTATAGCAACAGTTTTTGATGGCTGTCAATATCAAGGCAAGCCCAGGAGTTCACGGTTCCCTTCAGTAACATTAAGTCCAAGATTAAGACCATTTGCCCTGGCCCCAGGCCACCTGTTCATAGCTGTCTTCATTGTTTCCAGCCCAGAACTTCCCAGCTGTCTTCATCCAGGCCTGCACCAGTGTTCACAGTGGTCCTCATCTAAGCCAGCCAAGGAGGTCTCTGTCATCCATGTGACAGCCAGCCCTATGTCCCTAGCCATCCTCATCAAGGCCAGCCGGTTTGATGACATGTGTGCTAATTGGGGCCAGCCACCCTCATAGAGGCCATCCCAGGTATTGACAACCATCCACACTGGGCCCAGCCCAGGGGTCCACACCTGTCCCCTTTGAGCTTAACCTTGGTGTTCATGGCTTTTGTCACAGGACTTCTGCCAGTTGTTTCCAGCAGTTTCCGTGGTCCCAGGCAAGGGCTTCACAGACGTCCTCAATGGGGACAGCCCGTCTGTTCACCGTTGTCTTAATTAGGCCTGGTGCAGACGTTCACAGCTGTCCTTCTTCGGCTCAGCCAAAATGAACAAAACTCCTGAGCACACACCAGCGGTTTCTAGCTGTCCACGTTGGGGTCAGCCCAGTTGTTCATAGCCCTATATTCTGGGTCCATCCCAGTTATTCCAAGCTGTACTTTTGGGCCTAGCCCAGGTGTCCACAGCCATCCTCCTTGGTCACTGCACAGGTGTTCACAGCTATCTTCCTTGGCCCTAGGCCAGATGTTCACATTTGATCTCACTGGGCCCAGACCAGCTATGCCAAGTTTTTGCTCTTGAAGTTGAGGTTTGTTGAAATTGAGGTTCCTGAGGTTGGATAGCAGTGTCCAGATGCAGGTGACTCGTGCACAAGCACTGGGCTGCCTGGCTGTGCCCTGGGCTTGTGTGCCCTTCAGTCTGTGCTGGGCTGGAACCTGCTCTAAGGTTTCCAGATCTCTTCTTTTCACCCTCCACCCCAACAGACCCTCAGGCCTTTTCTGTGCTCACTTCCCAAGCTCCCCTTGGACTCTGCTCCAGAGTCCAAGTCAGCCCCACCTGGGACCTTGACTGCCACTTCATCCCCATTGCTCCCCTCAGCCTGTGATGATGATATATCCAGACCCCTTTCTGCCCCAGAGCTGCAATGGGTCTCAGAGGAGCCCTGAGAAGGCTCCTCTGAGAGCCTTCTCATGGTCTACCCTGGGAAGGTGGAGACACATCTGATACTGTCACTGCAGGGGGTGCCCCATGGGCCAGCTGCTCCACCAGGGCTGCACTGACCCATCCCCAGCTGTAAGTTCCATGTCACTGGTGTGCACAGGCACTCAGCTCTTTAATTAACTTTGTCACATCCACATTCTTAAGTGTTTGGTGGCACCAGGACCTGGCAGGGCTAAGGGAAGGACCCCTCGAAGCTCAGTTAGTTCTCTATGTCCAGCAAGGATGAGTGTGAGGCCCGGAGCGTCGGGCATTGGGGAAACCATATCAGATGTTCCTCTCAAGCAGGTGCCCATTGCAGTGCCTGCCACGGCCAGAGGGCACTGCCTGAGCTAAATCCCCCATCTCACCTTCCTAGACCTTCAACTGGTTTCAGGGCTCCTCAGCCACCCGCATGTCACTGAAATATAGAAGAGCTTGTGAGGAAGCTTCTGGGGCACCAGCCTTCTAGAGGAGGCTGAGGGCAGCTGTGGATGGTTATTTATGGGGATGTTTTTGGCCTAGGCTGCAAGAAGATGGGTAAGTGGCACAGGGATGGCAGCTCAAGGTGCCCTGGCTTCTCTGCATGTCTGTCACTGGGTGGAGAAGGCCGGGCCTGCCACCAGGTTCCATCCTAGCTTTTTCTCTGTGTCCTCAGTTGGGGTACCTACCTGTCTCTGCCTCAGTTTCCTCCTCTGTGAGACAGGGATCCTAACAGGCCCTACCTCTGACAGTGGTTTTGATGAAGTACATGATGTGGGTGAAGCACCTGGAGCAGGCCCACTCTCGAAGAACGCACAACAGACTCTCCAGGTTAATGTTGAGAAGGAGCTGGGGTGGGGCAAAAGTGGGCAGGCCATTTCAGCTCCAGGTACCTGGGCTGACAGATTGGATTAAATTAGCATGTGCCTTGCTGAGTGCACAGGGGTCAGTTGCCCAGGCAAGAGGCACCAGGGTCAAAGCTGGTAATGCCTTGGCCTCATCATCCCAGGCTAGGGCCAGTGCATGATGTATTCGGCCAGCGGTGGGCTCTGGAGCCCTGCAGCCAAGGGGTCCTGGCGACCTTCACAAGGTCATTCACAGGCCACTAGGTTGGCCTGTCCTCTTCCAGCCAGGCCTCACTCTAGGAAAAAAGAAATTGTAACCTCGTTGGCAGTTTCCTTTGCATAGAAGTAGGAAGTAGCTGCTAGCAAGGCTGGTGATGAACTCCGCAAAAGCTGGGAAATCTCATTTGAGCAGGAGCACCCATTATCTTGGCCAAGCTGCTGCAGCTGGGCTGAGCAGGTGTGGAAGTGTGGGTGGTGGTCGTGTAAGTTCTCCAGCCAAGGCCAAGTTCCTCTGCAGACCTGTGCATGATGGCATATCCAGATGATTCCAACCCCCTGCTGTGGATTCAATCCCATTCCATAAGACTTCTCTGCAGTCTCCAGACATCAACAAGGACCAATAAGCTAACTTTTCTGTGTCTTTCCTGAATTCTTGTCCCTGTAAAGCAAATTGAAATGTTTGTCTTCTACTAGCATTTGGGGGTATTAGTTTTTTTTATTTAAAAATAATCACAGTAAAGATATCAGGAATAACACACTTGTAGGATATTCACAAGGTACAGAAGAGTGGACACTGAAATCTGGACTTGTCTTTTCCTCTTCTGCAGCCTGCCAGCTTCTGCCTCTGGAAGTAACAACTGTTAAGTTTCTGCACATCTTTCCAGATTTATTAATTGAACAATCATATAGCACTGACAGCATGGCAAAGCCTTATAAAAGGGCTTTGGCTACCAGTGTAAAAGACTCAATTATTTTCCTTCACTGTGATCACTTAGGTGGCACCAGGAAGGAAAGCCTTATGCTCATTCCCTTTTATTCTTCCTAACATATTCTGTTTTTAAAAATGTCTTTTCCAGGGGCCAGGCACAGTGGCTCATGCCTGTAATCCCAACACTTTGGGAGACCGAGGCGGTGGATCACGAGGTCAGGAGATGGAGACCATCCTGGATAACACGGTGAAACCCTGTCTCTACTAAAAATAAAAAAAAATTAGCTGCACGTGGTGGTAGACACCTGTAGTCCCAGCTACTTGGGAGGCTGAGGTAGGAGAATGGCATGAATCCTGGGAGGTGGAGGTTGCAGTGAGTTGAGATTGCACTACTGCACTCCAGCCTGGTCAACAGAGTGAGACTCCATCTCAAAAAAAAAAAAAAAAGTCTTTCCGAATTTGGCATTAAGAGATATATATCTGTTGTCTAGTATTTTTTAATTGAGTTTTCTCTCTCTCATATATGTGTATATTTATATGTGCACACCTGCCCAATTTTCTATTCTGTTGTTGACAATTAAAATTCTCCATTGACACAGGTAATATGTGTTTCTTCCCAAATCCTGTTAACCACCCCTTCAATTAGATAATCCCTGAAAAAAATTGCAGCATCTATATTAATGCAGTTTTTATGCCTCAGTAATGACCCATTTGATTTAATCGTTCTTAAAACTTGTAATGAATCAACAGTGATGGAAAGTTATACTGAATCATTTCATATCTGTTTTGATTACTGTGAATTATATTCTAAGAGATAGGCTTTAAAATTGAACTTATATTAATACATTTTAAATTTAATTTGGAACTAGTTTAGAATCGTTGAAGCTAGGACTCTCTGTTGACTCAGAAATTGTAGAAATGAGTGGGGATGGCATTTCACATCCAGCCTGGAATCTCCCTTTATTCTCAATGTATTGGCTTTTCTTATCTTTACCCTTAAATTTTCACTATCAAATATATTTGAGAGGCAGATCCTTTTCCTCCTGTAATATTTGTTTCATACACACAGAATAATACTCTTTGTCTGGGATTCAGTTTTTGAAATGAAACATGGAGTCTGAGTGACCCCTTGTTGATGTGACAATGGGCTGGTCAGGATCACAGCAGTTGGGCCCCATATTGTGACATGTATGCTTGTGAAAATTCTACTGTGACATGTCACTGACATGATCTGATGATGTAGGTCTTGCCTTTCATTTTAACTGCCACTCTGGCAACTGAACTTTGGCAGTAAACACAGCTTAGTTGTCTCAGAGGATTCACAATGGGAAATGTTTGTAGTTGCTGCCTCAGAGGTATGTATGTTCATTTCCATCTTCTGACCACAATTTCTTCAGATGTGCCAGTTTTTCTGTATGTTAAATGTCATTCTGATTATTTTTTTATTTTCCCAGCTCCTATTTGTCCACAGATTTCTAAATATGTTTTAGAGTTTTATTACTCAATTTGTATTTTTTAATTCTTCTATCAAGATTTTTGCCTCAAGTGATTTTTTTCTAGAAAAACGCACTGTTTCCAATGCCAATTTTTTTTTTGGACAGTCTTGCTCTGTTGCCTAGGCTAGAGTGCAGTGGTGTGATGTCGGTTCACAGCAACCTCCACCTCCCAGGTTTAAGCAATTCTGCTGCCTCAGCCTACTGAGTAGCTGGGATTACAGGCATCCACCACCATGCCTGGCTAATTTTTGTATGTTTAGTAGATACAGGGGTTCACCATGTTGGCGAAGGAGGTCTTGAACTCCTTACCTCCTGATCCACCTGCCTTGGACTCCCAAAATGATGGGATTACAGGCATGAGCCACAGTACTTGGACATTTTATTTTTTTGGCAGAGTCTCATTCTGTCACCCAGGCTGGAATGCAGTGGCATGATCTCAGCTCTCTGCAACCTCTGCATCCTAGGTTCAAGCAGTTCTCTTGCCTCAGCCACCCAAGTAACTGGGACTATGGGTGCCTGCCACCATGCCTGTCTAATTTTTGTATTTTTAGTAGAGACAGGGTTTCACCATATCATCATATTGACCAGGCTGGTCTCAAACTCCTGACCTTGTGATCTGCCAGCCTTGGCCTCCCAAAGTGCTGAGATACAGGGGTGAGCCACCACACTTGGCATTTTTCCCCCACATTCTTTCATAGACTAGATACAGAAGAAACCACTGAAAAACAAACTGGGGTGCCACATTTTCAGTTAATTCCCATTAATTGCTTGTTCAGAATGTTTCAGTTGAAGGGAAGTTGATTCTTGGCACAGCCATCAAGTGGTAGTTAGTTTGGAATGTCCTACATTCCAAATTAACTTGGGGGCCAAGCAGAACTTGGTCCCTTGGTGTGGTCAGTTGATCATGGAGGAGTGCTCACTGCCAGACAGCAGACAATACAGGGTGCTGGGTAGGATGACCAGACATTTGAATTTGTTCCTCAGAGAGGCTTCATTTGCAGGAAAGTGCCACATTTTAGCACTGGAGTTAAAATGTAGAGACAGGAGTTTTGTTTTGTTAAATGATTTGAGTTTTTTTCTGGAGTCACCACCTCTTTAATACACCAACCTTCCCGAAAGGCCCTTGGTGCAGGAGGATTGAGAAAGGGAGAGGAAAGAGCTCCAGGTTCAGGGTCCAGGCCATGATTTAGAGGCCTCAGATGTTCAGGGATCTCTGTCTCCAGAAAACCAACCAAATTCTTGTCCCAGATCTATCATTCATCAGTGTTGTGACTCTAGGCAGGTCACTTCAATTCTCTTCATTTCACTTCCCTGAACCATCAACTCTTGAGTGGCAGCCCCTGCTCTGCCTATCTTTCTGGGGTGATGTGGGCATCACAGGAAATTTGAATAGAACTTTTTCACGAGTTCTAAAGCATGAGATCCATGTCAAGAATGAAGCTAATTTTACCCTCCACTGCCCTGGAGTCTCCCAGTGGCTTCTCTATTAATCACTACCAAGGGCCTGGCTTATTCTTCCAGATGTGAAATAACTGAACACTTTATGGTACTTAGGAAGCACCGATCTTAAGGCTTTAGGTCCATTTAACTATTTTTACCCTTTTAACATAACGTAGGCCATTATCAACATTTCCACATTCAGACTAGGGATTAGAGGCACAGTGGAGTCTGTAGAACTTCCTCAGGTTCTAGCAGCTTCTCAAAAGTCCTTGAGCTCAGATCCTATGCACCAGACCATATGCTCTTGGTCACTCCAATCTACTACCTGTCTGTAATGTCTCATCTCAATACAGGCATTTGCCTGCACAGTTATAAGTGCAACCCATAGTGCAGGTTCATTCTGAAGCCCAACTCAGATTCAGGGGGCTTTGCTCTGCAGATGATGAACAATGGGATCAAACATTTAAGCTGTGAATAAATAATTACTCATTTCTCTGATCTTTTGCAGCAAGATATCAACAGTTGTCTTTATTTTAGTTCATTTCCCAGCATATTCTGTTGAAGATCAAAGAGTGGATCCTGGGGTGCCAGGGGAATCCACCGTCTGCCACCACAAGTGTAAGAAGTGAATCCTCCATCACTGGCTTCACAGCTGTGTACACTCTAGAGTTGCATCAACAGAAGTTATCTTGGAAATTCAGTCATTCAGTTCATTCATGATATGATTTCTAGATTCTTCAGTGTCTCATATTTCAGACAATTATAAAATTGCAATGCTATATTCTTTATATCGTGTACATATGTAAATGTGTTAAGTCAATTACTAGTGCTACAACTACAGGAGTAAAGGTGTATTTCCATTCCAGGTTTGGGTTTACTTTTAATAGTAAATAACATCTCAGTGCAAATTGTAGATATTTTGCTGATTGTTAAAACATTAACTAAGAAGGATCTTTTTCTGAGACAGTGTTGCCAGATTTGTAAAGCAATGGACATCACTTCAAAATGTTTGGAAGTAACCTAAAAATGGAGGAAGTGGTACTGAAAATTTCCATATACCCACCTTCCTCAGTGTTTTTTTGTGAACCCATCTTACATGAGTGTGATAACGCTTGTAACAATGACCGAGCCAATAGTGATACATTCTTATGAACAGAAGTCCAAGGTTAGCATCAGTGACTGAGCCAATAGTGACACATTCTTATGAACAGAAGTCTAGGGTTAGCATCAAGGTTCACTCTGTGTTGTCCAGTCTTTGGGTTTTGACAAACTGACAATGTCCTTTGTCACCCTGATGGAATAATTTCACATCCTAAACATGACCTGAGCTGCATCTACTAATTCCTCTCCTTTTCTGATGATTCCTGACAACTGTGGATGATTTTACTGCCTCTATAGGTTTCCTTTTCCAGAATTTTATGGAGTTGGAATCATAAAGTATGTAGCTACTTATGACTAACTTATTTTACTTAGCAATATACATGTGAGATCTTTTGTATTGTTTTGAAGCTTAACAGCTTAATAACTCTTATCAGTGAACAATAGCCCATTGGTTTCATCAAACAGTATTAGTTGGCTCACTCACCTCCTGAAGACCATCTCAGCTGCTTCCAATTTGGGTAATTATGAATAAAGTTGCCCACATTCTTGTGCAGATTTTAACATGAACATAATTTTTAAATATAGCTGGGTAAATATATAGAATTTTGATCACTTGCTGGTAAGACTATGTTTTCTGTTGTGTTAGGCAGAATTCACCAGTATAATTATGTGGGCATGTTTTTTTAAAGTTATTACTTACTGATTAAATTCTATAATAATAGAGGCCTACCCAGATTATCTATCTCTCCTTTGGGTGGTTATGATAATTTCTCCCTTTGAATGCATTTGTCCATTTCATCTAAGCTAGGAAATTTGTGGACATAGACACTTGAATCTCACAAGTTTCCTGCTTGGTTCTTGTCAAAGGCTACTGTGCTTCCTGTCATTCCTACTCTAAAACTTTTCAATAACCTTTCACTCCTGCACTTAAAAAATTGCAGGCATAAATTTGTTGAAAGTATTCTGTTATTATTTTCTTAATGTTCATGGGATCAGCAGGGATAATTCCTCTTCTATTCATATTATTTGTACATTGTGTTGTTTCTTTGTGATTAGCCTGGCTGGAGGTTTACCAATTCTATTGATCTTTTCTAAGAAGCAGCTTTTGGTTTTGTTAAGTTTCTTTGTTTATTATTTGTATTACATTGATTTCTGCAAATATTGTTATATTTTTGGGGAGGGGGATTGCCTGGTTTACAATTCACTACACCTTTTTTTGTCTAGTTTCCTAAGGTGGAAAGTAAGACAACTGGATTTGGATTATGTTTAGTTTACTGCACAGAATTGGGAAGGGCACTGATGCCCCTGAAGTGTGCACTTGATTATTAAAATAATAAATATGATGTATTTTGGCCACAATATTGATTTTAAAGCCAATAAAATGGATGATAAGTGCAGGAGGAGCATATGTAGATCCAGAAAAGATAAATGACATTATAACATTTCAACAACAAAAAAAGGAAATTTACCAGGCCTCAAAATGCACAAGGGGGTGATGGGACACTGTCATGAAATCAGCTGTGCATTTGTATGCTGCCCTGTGTGAACTCTGCCTATTTTGTAGCGGTGAGGGTTGCTTAGCCAGAGAACCAGGCCCTAACTTCTGTGCCTTTCCTGATGGTCTCATTTGCCTTCCCTCATCACCCAGGATGGTGTCCCAGTGGCAGCCAAGTTTCTGCCCTTAACCCACCTCCTTTACACACACCAGCCCCCTGCCCCCAGCACCCAAGTTTGCCTAAGGGATTCCTTCAGTGGAACCAATATGCTGACAGTTACTCTGTGTTTCCTAGATCACGATGAGCACGTGGCACAGGAAACTTCTTCTGAGGATGTCCCAGCCGTTCACATGGTAAGTTCTTCTTTATGTTTCTAAGATGGAAATTTTGTTGCTCTTGGTTTTTTATTTTATTTGAATTGAGATATGAAAATCTTACCGTGTACATTATAGATGACTTACAGAATTTTTTGGTGGGAAAATGTGAGGGTTCATTACCAGGTAAGAAATGATCTCAGATGGTATTCTTAGATGGCACCTTCAGTTATGAACTGTATGGCAGAAAGAATTTTTTTAGGGGAAAAGCTTTCTTCTTATAACATTTTGACTATACAACCACAAGAATCTTGGAAGTCTTGCATAAAAACCTAGTGCCTTTCCAGAAATGTCTTCTAGGCTTTATTTTGGGACCATCGCCTCAACCACTGTCTCCCATCTGTTTTTGTAATGTCACCAAGTAAAGAAAAGGTCTGTATGGTGAAACACCATCTCTACTAAAAATATAAAAATTAGGCAGGCATGCTGACCAGCAACTGTGATCTCAGCTACTGGGGAGGGAGAGGGAGCAGGATCGCTTGAGCCTAGGAGGTGGATGTTGCAGTGAGCCAAGATCATGACTCTGTACTCCAGCCTGAGGGACAGAGCGAGATTCCAGCAAAGAAAGAGAGAGAGAGAAATAACAACCTGTGCACACAGGACACAGCATGGTCTGACCCTTATAGTGTTTTGTTTTTCTCTAAATGCAGGTGGACAAAGCCACAGAGACAAACAGTACATATTCTGGGATCACCCCTATGCTGAGGAAAATTTCTAGTGTTGACAAAGGTGACACTTTCTTGCCTCATTTTTTCTGGAGAGCCACTCTGGTTTGAACTTCCTGCCAGAAATGTGGTTCAAGCACTTTTGTCTTCAAAAGTGAAGAACCCGGTCAAGAAATGTGACCGTTGACTCTAGTGCCTGGAAGGAACTGTGCCATTTGTATAGAGGAAGGTGCTGTGCATTAGGGTTGGGAGGTATGGAGGAATGAGTCAATGTGGAGTGATTGTGAATGTCTCTGTGAGTTTGTGTGCTTTTCGCCAGAAAAGATGTTCCCAAGTGCAAAGCACAACACAAAGATTGATATTCTAAAAACAACATTTCATCACCACTGCGTTTTCCAAAAATCAACCCATTCATTCCTCATGACAGCTGTAGCTGAAGGTTAAGTTTGATATACCCAGTCCTCACGTGGAGATGATGTAGAGATGAATTTTTCAGGCTTTTGTTCTCCTAAGTGGAAATGGCATAGATGAACTCGGGAATGGGTGGAAGGGTGATGCTGTGGGCTGCTAGTCTGAAGTTATCACATGGCCCTGGTGTAACTTGTCACCATGTCACAGAGTCCTTAGCATCTATGTATATATGTGAAGTATGTTGGCCTATAAAGATCTCCAGCACTGTATACCACAATAGAATGGTCTCAATGGTCAGCTGACCCAGAGTTTGAGTAGGTTCATTGTACAGTGGACTTTGGTGTGGTCATTAATATGAAACATACAGAAGAAGTTGCCAGGCCTTTGGTCTTAAGTGATGGGGTATTCCTCAGCCCCTGCTCAAGGGCAGAGAACATTCACAGATATATTCTATTGTATTTAATGAGATCATCACCACAAACGTTAGAAATGCTCCAATTCAGTAGCACACATATCCAAGACACGGCACACAACAAGATCTCAAGGAGCCAATTGGCTGTTAGCCTGGTTCCCATCTCCTCTGCTGGAATCTTCTGCACAGCTGGCTAACAGAAGGTCAGCATCCCCACCTATTGCCACCCATGAAGGGCTGTCCCAGTCCTGGAGCCAGTGTGAGTATGAGCAACAGCGGGCCCCATGACACACACACACACTGTGTTAACAGAAAGAGCAGAAGGACAAATATCACAGGCCAAGTAGGGGTCATCTTTAAATGGTAGGATAATTGAGTATTTTCAAATCTTGGTTTAGTCTTCTTTAAAACAGAAGGTTAATGAATACACAGAATATTTTGGCTAGAACTAAATCTCCTGCTGAAGAAAGGTAGCTTTTTATCTTGTACAAATTGTGGCCAGGCACGGTGGCTCACGCCTGTAATCCCAGCACTTTGGGAGGCCAAGGAGGGCAGATCACCTGAGGTCAGGAGTTCAAGACCAGCCTGACCAACATGGAGAAACCCAGTCTCTATTAAAAATACAAAATTAGCTAGGTGTGGGGGCACATGCCTGTAATCCCAGTTACTCAGGAGGCTGAGGCAGGGGAATTGCTTGAATCCGGGAAGTGGAGGTTGCGGTGAGCCAAGATCACGCCATTACACTCCAGCCTGGGCAAGAAGAGTAAAACTCCATCTCAAAAAAAAAAAATATTCTAGGAGAAACGAAAAACATAGCAGCAGGACACGTGGATCCTGGGGAGGAAATGACCTCAAGGGGATCAAGAAGGAAGAGCAAGTTATCTCAGGTCAGATTAGGAAGGAGGAGCCATGAGATGCTACAGGGAAACCCTGTGTGGTGTGCCCTGTTTGAGATGGGTTATTTAATGTCAAAGAGGTTGCCTTAGCTACAGGACCAAGGCTCTGTCTTCTGTGGCCTTCCTGATGCCTTCCTTCACCATTTGCCTTCCCTCAGCACCATGGAGGATGGACTGGCAGCAGCTGAGTCTGTGCTGTGGACACACCTTTCCACACATCTATCCACACACGCCAGCCCCGTGTCCACAGCTCCAAGATCACCTGAGGGATTCACTCCGTGGAGCTCATGTGCTTATAGTGACTCTGTTTCCCAGGTGACCTGGAAGACTGGGAGGAGGATATGCCAGGGCAAACATCCTCTGAGGAAGCCACAAATGTTCACATGGCAAAGTCGTGTTTTTTCCTCTGAAATGGAAATTTTATTTCTCTCGGTTTCTCTCTGTTACAATTGAATTAAGATGTACACATCTTACCATGTACACTATAGGTGACTGATAGAATTTCTTGGTGGGCAAATGTCAGACTTAATTATCAACTAAAAAATTGTTTCAGGTGGCATCCACATTTACAGACCGTATGTCAGCAGGCATTTTCCTCAAGATAAATGCCTTCTTATGAGAAGCATTTAGAATTGTCTAACAAAAACAATTGAAAATTCAGTACAAAACTCTTATGCCTTTCCAGGAATGTCTTCTAGATATCAGGGCCATTGTCTCAATCACTATTTACCATATTTTTTTAACACCAACAAGTGAAGAAAAGACTTGTGCACAAAGGACACAGCCTGGTCTGACCCTCATAGTGTTTTGTTATTTTTCTGTAGATGAGCGGGGACCCAGCCACACTGGCAAAGAGTAAGTATTCTGGGATCATCTCTTTTTTTAGGTTCAAAATGTTAGTGTTGCAAAGATGGCACTGCTTTGCCTGCTTTTGCTCAAGAGCCACTCTGGCTTGAGCTTTCTGCCAGAAATGAGATTTGTGAAGTTTGGTTTAAAAAAATACTGAGAGTCCAGTAAACAACTCTAACCACGGTACTGTCATCCCTGGAAGCAACAGTGTCACGTAAGGTGGGGTGGTACATCAGGGTTGGGAGGGACAGAGGAGAGAGTCTATATGGAATGATTGTGGATGTCTTTGGGAGTGTGTGTGCATTTCCCCAGAAAACATACTCCCATGTTCAAAGCACAACACGAGGATCAATGTGCAAGAAAAATTGCATCACAACGGCACAGTTTGCATGGATCAACCCATTCATCCTCCACCACAGCTGTACCTGAAGATAAGTTTAATATCCCCAGTCCTCAGATGGACATGGTGCAGAGTCGAATTTCCCAAGCTCTTGGTCCTTTAAATGGAAGAGGTACGTGTGACCTCGGGAATGAGTGGAAGGTTAATGTCATGGACTACTACACTGAATTTGTCACAAAGCCCTAGTATAATTTCTTGCTAGGCCAAGTTATTCCAGCACTTCTGTGTGCATGTGGAAGAATGAAAATCTATTCAGATCCCAAACACTATCATTATTGGATGATCTCAACGGTCAGCTAACCCAGGGTTTGTTTGAGTTGGTACATTGCCCAGTGGGATTTAGTGTGATCACTAATGTAAAACACACAAAGTCCTCAGGCTTTTGGTCTACAGTGGTGAAGTCATTCCTCAGCTCTTGTTCAAAAGCAGACAATAATCAATGGCATATTCTGTTGTATTTAGTGAGATAATCACCACAAGTCTTAGAAATTCAGTGGAACCCTATCCAAAGACATAGCATCCAATAAAATCTCCAGGATCAACTTGGGTGTTAGCCTGGGACCCATTTTCCCTGCTGGAATCTCCCACACAGCTCGGCTGGAGACGGTCAGTGTCTGCACCCCGTCCCCCTCGCTGCTCCCTATGACAGACTGTCTCTGTGCTGGAGTCACTGTAAGCATGAGGAGCAGTGAACTCCATGGTGCACACACATTGTGTTGAAAAGGAAGAGTGGAAGAACAAATGTCATGTGCTAAGTTGGAGTCATCTTTAAATGGTAGGATAATTGAGTATTTTCAAATCTTGGTTTAATTGCCTTATAACAAAAAATTTTTTAATGAAATCTTTTGGCAATAACTAAATCTCCTATTTTAAGAAAAGTTGCTTCTTATTCAGTGCAAAATCTTCTAGAGTGATGACATACAGAGCAGCAGTACCTGTGGATTGATTGTGAGGAGGAAATGAGTTTGGTAGGGATCAATAAGAGGGCAAGTTAGCTCAGGTCAGATTAGGATGGAGGAGCCCTAAGAGGCTGCCAGGGACACACAGCCGGCACTGCAGGAAGGGCCCTGTTTGAGATTGGCTATTTCATGTTTACGAGTTGGTCTGGAGCTAGAAAGCCAAGGGCCCTGATTCCCTTTCTTCCCTGCATCTCTCCTGTGCCTGCTATCCTCCTCCCACACCCACCTCAAGCAATGTTACTGAATTGTTCATGAGCACCACCAGCAAGGTGCTGATGGTCACTCTGTATCCTCCTAGTTCTGATGAAGGATCTACTACAGGAGCTGTCCAGTTACAACGGAGAGGAGGAGGACCCAGAGGATGTGAAGGTCAGGCCACCTGGATTTGTCTGAGAAAAACTGTTGCTTTCTTAGCTTTATCTTATTTGGATTAAATTAAGATATGAGAATCTGGCAATATATATCTTAGATTAGTTACGCAATGTCCTTGGGGAGAATTGTAAGTGAGAGTCTGTCCCCCCTGAGGCTTGATTTAAGACAGTGGGAGAAAATGAAAGAATCAGTCACACATTGTGCGGCAGTGAGCCTTACCAATTTTGTTTTCTCTTTGGAGCAAAATCACTTACTTGCCAACCAACACGGACTTGAGAGGAAACATCCTCCGAGAAAAATTTGTGTCTTTAATATGAGTCGATTTGCTCTGTTCTTCTTTTGGGTTCCTTTCAACACTGGTTTCCGTCTTGTTTTCTAATGTCACTAAGTGAACAAAGTTTTGTGCACACAGGACACAGCATGGTCTGATGCTCATAGCAATTTATTTTCTGTCATTACAGAAATCCTCAGGAGTTATACAAAGGGGTATGTATTGGGGAACCCCTCTCATACTGATGAGTAATCCAGATGATGAGCAATGTGCCACTGTCTCTCTGGCCTTCCTGTAGACAGGCAGCCTGAGTGGAGCTTCCCCTCATGAATGAGGGCATAGGCTGTGATGGGAGAAATTGTTGTTCCAGATAAAGCATGATGGTCACATTCTGCAGTCCCTGGGAACAACTGTGGTCTCTGAAGTTAGGTGAGGTTGTGCGCATTGAGTTGCTGCGTGTCTTTTTGAATTAATGTGGTGAGTGTCCAAAATACGTAATGTCAAGGTCATGTACAGGCTCAGCCTCTATCATGCAGCCTAGTTCTGGTTTCCGTCTTCTATGCTCAGGAAACACAGCAACATGAAAAGATAACCAAAAGGCTTGCCCTAGGGTGTTACTGGCAGGGCAAGCACTTGCCTTCCTAGGAGGATAGAGGGTGACTCATGCATTATGAGGTGGGGAAAGACAAATGAGGCTGTTTTACAGCAGAGGCTCCATGATGTTCCCATTGAGCCCACTGTTGACAGAAGTTTTTGTTTGCTTCTGAAGGTCTTTGCAAAAAACAAGTCAAGGTGGTTGGCTGAAGGTTATATGAAAATAAAATTAGCCAAATTCTGGATTGAGTTTCTTTTGGGAGCTTGCGTTTGGTGGAAATATATTGTATATGAATTGAATTTGATTGCTCTGTAGGTGTCAATACTTATCCTATATTTTAAAACAATGAGGCTGGTGTGATTTTAAAATGCCCCTCGTTAACCTCATAAACTATCTCCTCATAGCCCATTTCCTCCAGTCATCTTTAATCTCTAAAATATAGGTTTTTTTTTTTGTGGTATTTGGGGCCCTCTGCTGTGTGTGATTAAAGGCACAAATCAGCGTTACCAGCATTGAGGCTCTAAGAATTCACAGAGTGCTGTCCAGTGGGTTCTATGAGAGAGACAGTAGGCTACAGCCTTGGCCTGGGCCTGAAAAGGAACACGATTTGGAAGAGCAGAAGGAAGGCATGAGGGCAACAAAGCCACAGGGGGAAGCCAAGGTGCAACATCAGCAGAGACAGTTCTGCATCATCACCTGGGCATGGCCGGGATGTTCATATTACAACTGACGGAGAATGGGTCAAGCTCCAACTTCATAGCTGGTTTTAGCACTGTTGGCCTGTCTTCCTAAGAGCCTGAAGAGAGAAGCTACTTTCTTGTTTCTTGTCTTCTCTATTTCCTGTATGTTGATGGCAATGGCACCACCAGAAATTAATGAGAGGCAGAGAACACAAGTGAGTTCTTGAAACATCCAATTTTGCCCAGAGAGGACATGATCAGCAGGGATGGATTTCAGGGTCAAGCCAGATACAAAGTATTTCCCAGGCCTGGTCTCTGGCTGGGACAGAGATCAGCTCTTATTTTTCACCTGCTTCTGGGAGTCACCTGACAGCTGGTCCTTGTGTAGTTGCTGTTGGCCAAGTGTGATTTGGCCCAGAACCCTGTGTGACTGGAAGGAGTGTCAGCTTTCAGGCAGGAAAGCTGCCCCACACTAGATGCAAGAGAGGTGAGAAGAGATCCTGCTTCAGTGCAAGGTGAACTCAGCCAAGGGAGAGGGGCTGCTCCAGAGTCCAGGTGGTCCTTGCAACTCTCCCATGTGACCTATAAGACAAGACTTTTCCTGTTTCTCTGAGATAGTCTTGGAATTATTAGTCTCAAATTCTGTTTTGTTTTACTTATGTGTTGATGAATCCTGGCCATGGCTCGTCAATGGGAGGGCAAGGACTATGTCCTCCTCATTCCTTGTCATCCCAGAGCTCAGCCCTTGGCAGCCCATCTTGGGCCCCAGTAATGTTCCAATGCTTCCAACCCCTTTGCTGAGATCCAGCGCCAGTGTGAAAAGGCTTCCTGCTCATCTCCTTCAATCTGTTTTTTCTCATGGTAATCTAGAAACCTGAATGGATTCTGATCCAAGGTCACAGGAGAATAGGGTGGGGTCCTGAAGTCAATGAAGAGTCCCCCTCATCTCTACTCTGGCTACATTGGTTCACCTTTTCTCCTTGCAGAAGATGCTCTTTTTCTGTTTACAAGCCCTCCTTTGCTGGACCAGGCTTTTTTATTTTTGTTGTGGCATCCCTGCACTTCACAGGGGGCCTGGAGCTTGTTCCTGTGCCCCTGAAGCACCTATCCATAAATGATCAGATCAGAGCAGCAAACCACTCTGCCAGGAATCACCAGGGGGGAGAGTCACATCTTCCTCACCTTTGGGTTTAGACCTGTGCATTCCAGTGTGGTCCTGAGTGGCATATGTGCCCATTCATATTTAAATAAATGAAAAAATTCAAAACCTCCTCACAAGAGCCATGCTAGAAGTTCCCAGTTGCCAAATGTCTACTCTTAAGAGACCATCTCCATTCTCCCAGAATCACCTGGGAAGCAGCTGCTGGGAGTCTGGCCCAGGTTCTGTTCAGTGCACCCACCTAACTCAGTGCATGTGCATCAAGGCTTAATCTCAGGTTCTCAGATTGGAGGTAAGAGATGCTATGAGCCAGTGTCGGTGAACAGTTGAAAGGGATTATTTCAGGTCCTCTGTCTCACCTGAAGGCGCACAGCTGTGAGCAGTGCCTTCATAAAGTCCCCTGAGTTCACAGAGCCCAGGGAGAATCATAGTGGACAAAGCAGTCATGTTGATGTTTGTGTCTCTGTACATGGGCTCATGGGCACTACCTCTGGATCCATCCAGGAGGAAATAGACT
The DNA here is from genome assembly GCF_000001405.40 of Homo sapiens. Lineage (NCBI taxonomy): Eukaryota > Metazoa > Chordata > Mammalia > Primates > Hominidae > Homo > Homo sapiens. Next base: position 32,613,172 of record NC_000016.10, read on the forward strand.
GGTCAGGTAGGGACCAACACCCCAGGGTTGACCAGTGAGAGAGCGTTCTTGGAGATTGGGTTACACTTGTTTTGGAGCCTAGGATGGGATCAATGAAGTGACTAAATATGAAAGGAAACAGGTATAGAAGTCTGACTTGGGTTTTTTTTTTTTTTTTGTATCTTAATGACAAAGTTGTAAGAGTTGTGTTCTTATGGGCTTTGTGTGAGTTGTGTTTGTCACCATCATTTCTTGCTCTGGTGTTTAAAGATTACATTTTGCAGAGGACCAGATCATTTCTGCCTTTGCCACAGCAAGCACCAGAGCCCTGGGTTTTGATGAGGTAGCATTTTTTTGTGAATAGAGATCACAAGATGAGTATGCAGGTGTAAAGTTGAGTGTGGGGTGGGACAGAGCCCCTTCCAGGTGCTACGTAATCCTGAAGGTAAAGTCCTTCATACATGTGCCAGGAGATGAAAGGAGCCCACTGTCTTTCTCTACACTCTCAGGACCTGCAACAGCACCTTCCTGTCCTGTCCTCACCATCTGCTCCTGCTCTAAGGGTGCTCCCTGGGTTGGATGACATAGGGAATCATTCCTCTGGAATTCATACGTGTGCCCCAGCATCCTGGAGTCCTGAGGGCCGAACACATGATTGAGCACATTTTTGGCCTCCACTCCTCACCCAGTCCCATCCAATCCCAAATCCTTGGGCTTTGAATGAAACCTAAATTGGTTTTCGTTGGAGAGGCCCGAGTCCAGCTGTAGCTCAAGGCCCTCTGTGGCTGGCAGGAATCCTAGGGGATATATGTGGAGGGGCTGCTGTGTTGCTGTAGGCAGTGGCTCTCACCGTCTGTGTAGCCTGGTCCCTGGAATCCACTGGGCCCAGGGCAGAGCCTCTGGGCAGCTGGCACGGGGTCATTTATCTTGTCACACCCTCCTCTCTGGCCCAGCAGCCTTGTCCTGCTCCCCATACTCCTGTCAGGCCCAGCTTGTTCTCTGTGTCAGGTCTGCCAGGTGCCCTCCCTCTTAGTCTTCCCACAGCTCAGGCAAACCCTGGGAGGGCCCCCTCATTTCTGTGCTGAAAACTGCTGGCCTCACCTGCAGATTAAGGCAACTGGGACAAGGGGCTTTACTCTGAATTCTGTTCCATTGTTTCCAAATATTCAGAAGCTGATGGGATTGTTTTGAGGGCTGAATATTTTCCAAGTCTCTAAGGTCATTCCAGGCATAGAACAGTCACTGTATCTGTGACATCAGCCATCATTGTCTCCCACAGGCCCCAACACAACCCCAAGCCTGTGGGAGGTGCTGCCGACCCAGGGTGAGATCCGTCGGTTGATTGTAGGCCCTGGAAGTGAAGCCTTGACCTTCTTTCTGATATTCTTCTTTTGGAGAACAGTAGGACTGGTGGAGGTCCACATGGAGAAAGGAAATGGGATTCATGAGGGAACAGAAGCAGGCCCTACAGGACGAGGAGGGAGGGAATTCCATGTCATGCACAAGGTTGTGAAGAGGGTGGCTGCCTCTTGGAGGAACAGAATGATGCGGCTTCCCCTCCCTTGGCTCAGTGATGGTATGTGAGGGCTGGGCAAGTATGTGGGAAGTCAGAGATCCCTCCCTTATAGCACAGAAGAAATGATACAGGCTGTGGAGAAGGCTCCAGAAATGAGCACATCAGAGGCTCTGGGGTTGGCTCCACAGCCCTGGAACAGCAGGGTCTGAGTGGTTGTCTCGACTCTAACTCTCCCCTTTCCTTCTTATGGCCACCCCATCACCACTGCTCCTCCAGACACTCTGATGCTTGCTTCACAGAATTGGAAGACTCCACCATTACAGGCGGCCACCAGCAGGTAATTGATCTCCTCTTATATGCTCTCTCTCTTTTATCCTCTTTCTGACTCATGAGCTCCTTTTTTAGCTCTGGTCCTTTTCCTCTTTCCCTCTCTTCTGATTGTTCTCCTGAAGAACCTGGTCTCATCCCACAGTTGAGGTTCTTGGGTCTTCAGTGTCAATAAAATCCTCTCCAGCCCTCCTGCCCACTGCCTTGGCATTGCCCTGTTCACTGGCCCCCAGGTTGCAGCTTTCAATCTTGCTGAACAACACTTCAGGGTCCAGGGAGGGGACTGGGCTGGGGTCAGAAGAGCTGGACCCCACCCTGCTGGAGGGACCCCCAGTAACATCTGGTCTGCTCTGGGCACCCCCTTAACAGATAGAACTTTTCTTGCACTGGCGTCTCTGGACATGCACAATTGTTCTCTTTCTCACAGATGTCAGCAAGTCCTTCCTCTGCACCTGCAGAAGAAGCAACAGAAAAGACAAAAGTGGAAGCGGAAGTGTGAGGGGAAGTGGAAGCAGGCAGAATGATGAGGGAAGCACAGACATGCCCATGTTCTTCATGGCTACACTCACATTCTTGTTGTCCCATCAGGAAAACCAGGAAGCCCAGGAAGAATGTCCTGAACTGTTGGGACATTTTTAGTTTATTTTAGAGACCTCTGAAGGTAAGTGAAGGATGCCCTGAGAACATCCTCCAGGAAACAGACACCCACTCCATAGCAGCCCCTGAGCCTGCTGGGCTGAGCCCTCCACAGGCTGCGTAGTGAGGGAGACACTGAGGTGCTGGTCAGACCACCATGTGCTGAATTCCAAGGGCTGTGCACTCTGTTATTCGTCTGCAGTGACACTTCATCTCACCACCATCTCATTTCGGGGAACCTAGCTCTGTCCTCCCAGCCTCTTGAGGCCAACAGGGAGCATCACTAGTTCATCCTGAGGAGACACTAGGGTTGACATGAATCCCCCCCAGTTCAGGCCTCCTGGGAAAGGTGTGAGAGGGATGGGGGCATCCCCAGTTCCTTGTCACACAAGCAAGCAGCCCACTCGGCCCAGTATTGCAGGCCAGTGGGCACTCAGTCGGTCCTGGCATCAAGCAGAGGACATGGCAGGATCTAAGAAGCACTGAAATGTGCCCAGCCCCAGGGGTCCTTCAGCTTCTGTGGGGGACTGGGGGCCTCCAATCCCAGGGGTCCTTCAGCCTCTGTGGGGGTCTGGGATGGCCTCATGGTCCCATTTTTCAAGATGAGGTTGGAGGCTTCTGTACATAGAGAGCACTGACTTGGGCATCAGTTGTTCTGTATCTGTGCCAAATGCCAACCAAACAAACCCCTGAAGACATTTCAGGATGATGCTCACCTGGGAGGGGTTGAGGGCATGATTTAGGGAGCCTCTGTTTTTTAAATGTATTTTTCAATCTTGAAGTAAGGTACACATATGAATGTTTGTGTGTGTACATATACACTGCTTTTCACTCTTTCAAATGTATGTCTTCTGTAACCCTTTTCTGCTAGAATATATGAACATGAGAAATTTATGTCTTACCAAAGCATAATTTTAAAAATTACAATGCAAAGACAGGTCCGGTGGCAATGCTAGGAAGACGAGGTCTTATTAGGCAATAAAAATGACGTGCTCCAGGAAGCTATGCATATTCAACGTGCAGCTCTTCTGTCTGGATGGCACAGAGGATCTGGGTGGCAAGGCAGAGTCACCACCCCCACCCTGTGTTATGAGCGCTCCTGCTCCTCTTAGGGCCCAGGGGCATGGGACTCTGCTTGTTGATCCTGGAATCCTCGAAATTCCCCCATTTCTCTCTGTCTGTTTTGCTCTCCAGGGAACCAGCCCCCTGAAGGTGCCCATGTGAGCGCCCAGGTCCAGTTCTTCCTCCATGACACTTACAGACACTCTCTGTGGACAGATAACACCTCAGCAGAGAGCAGCACACAGGGCTCAGTGCCTTGACATCTGAGTAGACCTGACTGTCAGGAGCTCAGGGGCCCAAGGTCACCTTCCAGTGCCCAAGGACCTCTCTGAGACCTGCACCACCCTAGGGAGCCCCTCCTCCCTCCACCTCTGTGCCTCCCCAGTGACCCTTGCACCTCTGTCTATGTTGCAAATTCCTCGAACACCAGGAAGGGCTTGATGTGGGGATGTCAACATGGCTCAGATTGATGTGGATCGTGATCATTTTGGGAACTGTGTTACTCCAAAAACTTTTATAATCTTTGCTTAATTTGTTTTTAAATATTTTCCTGGCCGGGCATCGTGGCTCATGTCTGTAATCCCAGCACTTTGGAAGTCCGAGGCGGGTGGATCACCTGAGTTCAGGAGTTTGAGACCAGCCTGGCCAACAAGGTGAAACCCCGTCTCTACTAAAACTACAAAAATTAGCTAGGCGTGGTGGCGCATGCTTGTAGTTTCAGGTACTCGGGAGGCTGAGGCAGGAGAATCGCTTGAACCCAGGAGGCAGAGGTTGCAGTGAGCCAAGATCATGCCACTACATTCCAGCCTGACGACAGAGCGAGGTTTCCTCTTAAAAAAATATTTTTTTACCTGACTTTAACCTCTGTTTTTTAGAGGGCACAAATTGTTCTTGTGTTGTTTCTATTTTACATTTTTCCTGAAGTTATTTTCCAATTGTTTTCATTCCTTCTGAAGTTTTGTTTACTCAGTTTTGAGTTTTTGTAATTTTAATAGACTTCTTTCATGCTTTCATTTTCTTAATGACTTTTACGTCATTTTTAAAACAAATCCATAGTACGGTAAGTTACATCAAGATGGACTGTATTTATGTTTTGTAGTGGTTTATATTCTGTATGTATTTTACATATACAAGTGTTAATGGCCTGGTGCAGTGGCTACTGCCTGTAATCTCAGCAGTTTGGAAGACCAAGGCAGGAGGATTGCTCGATCCCAGAAGTTTAAGACTAGCCTGGGCTACATAGTGGGAACTCATCCCTACAAAAAAAAAATTTTTTTTAATTAACTGGGCATGGTGGAATCCATCTGTAGCCCCAGCTACTAGGGAGGCTGAGGCAGGGGGATTGCTTGAGTCTGGGAGGTTGAGGCTGCAGTAAGCCATGACTGCACCACTGCACTCCAGCCTGGGTGACAGGGCGAGACTCTGTCTTTTAGAAAAAAAGTTTATTAATATTAATATCAGTTAGAAATCTAGTTGTTCATTGCAGAACTAAACCAGTTTATAGCAGAAATAAGCACTTGGAGGGAAATGTTACATTTTCACTCCAGGCCTTGAGTCCTTAGCCACCAGCTGTTTGTCCTTCAGGGTTCTGTGGTTCCTGGTTCCAGAGAAATCATTTGCTCCAACGTAATGGGTGAAGAGTTCTTCAGGTGATGGCTGCTGGGCCCAGCTTGGCTGTTGTCTTTGCTGTCTTGTAAGCCTTGTGTTGCTCAAGTTCAGTTGTGTATTAGTGCACTAACTGTACTGCAAGCTTCTCCAAGCATGTGCAAGCAATTTGAGAGGAGCCTAATGTTTGCAAGGAATTTGAGAGGAGCCTTTTAAGGATGTTTTATTGGGTGGGTCAGATGAGGGAGATAACATGGGGGCAAGAAGGAAAGTTATTAATTCACGTGAAACTACCAGCCGTTCATCACCTAACTTATGATTTCAGACACTGAGCACATTGCAGGTTGAGAAGGTGCTTGGTCCTTTTTGTAGCCTTATGCTGTGCTCTTCAGAGTCATGAGTGTGCTGCTTTTTCTCACCATTTTGTTTCTTGTAGATTGTTGTCCTTGATGCTGGAAAACATTTTGAAGACAAGACTCTAAACAGTGACCTATGCCGCACTAGTTTATTGGAAAATGAGAAATTTACATTACTGACAAGCTTGGAAGATTCTTCTGTCCTGCAGTGACCTGTGTTTCCCTGGTCTTTATCTTGCCACTCTGCTTTATTCCCCTTTTTTGTGGCAGTAGTTATGATGCCAACTTTTGGGGATTCTTTGTCCTCCTCTTTTCTTCCTACATGCCAACATTCAAATGGCCACTTCTATTAAGTGATGGAATTCAAAAATTTGTTTCTGTATATTAATCCTAATATGGTTTCACTCATCCCTCAATTTAACATTTAGAGTACAAAGTAGTCACCTAGAGGTGCCACTCAATATACAGCACTGTGTTTAGAAATTGAGGGAGCCATGAATTATTTAGACTCTGCTCTCTGAAACTTCAGCCAGGTGCAAAGAAGAGATGCAGAACCACATTTCAGATTGTGTTATGTACACCCAGCAGCACCAAAATGAGCCTGGGAATCATGGGGGTCAGAAATTTACCTCTGAGGCAGGTATGGCTGAAGCTTTATGAAAAGAGATGGGGCCTGTGCCAGGCCTTAGATGTAGGAGAAGGAGGACGTGTCAGGAAGCAGAAACAGTATCATCAAAGGTGCTGCTGTGAGGCATGTGGGCAGTGTTTGGAGAAGAGCCAGGGACTTTCTGTGTCAGGTTTACAGCATCTGTGGGAGGCCGCATTGGTAAATAAGCCCAGAGAAGTAGGCTGGGGCTACTTACATTAAAAGTATGCATGGCTTTAAAGGCCAGCTGAGTGGTATAAGTAGAAACTGTAAATAGTATCACATTTATTGAGGACAGCTTTTGCTGCCAATAGAGTTTTTAAATTTTTTGTGATTGTGTAATTAATGGATGAAGAATTATTGACCTAAATGTATCCAATCTTTGAGTGTTTTAGTATGCTAGATTATTGTAGGTGAAATGGCTAAGTCAAAGGTGATGAGTGTTTTTGAGACTGTTAATGCTAATTGCAAAATTAACCTCTTAAAAAGGCACTGCCAGCTTAGGCCATGACTGAGAGCTCTTGTTTTATCTTGTCCTTGCTGAGCTGGGTGTTATAACATTGAAACCTTCTGCAGTCTGTCTCTCTCTCTCTCTCTCCCCCCACCCCCTCCTCCCTTCCTCCCTTTATTCCTTTTACTTCTCTTAGGATAGGCTCATCTGTACTTTTTTGATAGAGGTAACCATTTGCCACACCATTTTCTGAAGGGCCTGCTCTCTTCCCATTCATTTGTGATGGCACATTTATCCTACCATAAGCTTTGGTAACATGTCAGGATCTTTCTGTCCTGTCCTCTCAAAGAGGTTAATTTTTTTTTATAATGACTTATAACTGACTGAAGTTATAATAGTTTTCTCATGTCAAATATAGAAAGAGGCCAGGTGCGGTGCCTCACGCCTGTAATCCCAGCACTTTGAAAGGCCAAAGCAGCTGGAATGCTTGAGTCCAGGAGTTTGAGACCAGCATGGACAACATGGGGAAACCCAATCTCTACCAAAAAAAAAAAAAACATTACCCAGGTGCAGTGGTGCATGCATGTAGTCCCAGTTACTCAGGAGGCTGAGATGGGAGGATGGCTTGAGCCTGAGAGGTGAAGATGGCAGTGAGCTGAGATCGCACCACTGCATTCAGTCTGAGCAACAGAACAAGACTCTATCTCCAAAAAAAATAAATTGTACACTTTGACTCATTTATGTCTGATGGGTATTTTGATTACAAATTATTTAGTCAGTACTTTAAAGCCTGCTTAATTTTTTTTCTTAATTTTATTGACTCATTCATGTCTTAGTCTTTTTTATTACAAGTTACTTATTGTTTAGTCACTACCTTACAGCCGTTTTATTTTTCTTAATTTTATTGACTCATTTATGTCTTAGCCCTTTTTATGACAAATTATTTATTGTTTAGTCACTACTTTAGAGCTTGTTTCATTTTTTCTTCATTTTATTAAAGGATGATATTGATGATGAAATGTCCTACAATGATCATTTAGAGCTTTATTTTGAACAACTGGCAATTCCAGGAATGATGGAATAAAACATATGAAGTAGAAGGACTGGAACCTCTAGAAAAAATACTTTAAGTTACCTGCAAGTGATCCTAGTCAGGTGTGTTACAGTCTTAATGGCTTTTCAGAAATTTGACAGAAAATTACTATTAATCTCACTGGGTGTTTACATGAATTTTAAGCCTTTGCTTTTCTTTTAACTTTGTTTTTTTACAGGTATGAATTGATAAGAAATGCCTGCACCTTACCTCCTTCCTATCTTTCCCTTGCCTACAGAAAATTAAAAGGCAAAGACAATGGACATCTACATATTCTTCATTCAGATCAACCAGTGGCTAGCATTTGCCACCTTTGCATTTTCTTTCTCTTTCCATAAGTACTTTCTTCTCTGAATCATTTGAAAGTAAGTTGCAGAGAGCAAGATGTTTTACCCCAACACTTCAGCATTTATCTCTTGTGAATAATGACATATTTCTACATAATCACAGTTCTACCATCTAACTGTAATACAGTAATTTGATGTACAGCCCATATTCAGTTTTACCTAATTGTCTCCAAAATTTTCTTTATTTTTGTTTTAAATCCACAGATTAATCAAAGATTAACCTTGCCTTTGGTTATCATGTCTCTCTGTTCTTTTACTTTGGAGTACTTCTTTCAATACATGAAATATTTTGAAAAATCTACACTCTTTGTTTTGTAGAATGACCCATAATCTAGATATATCTGATTGCTTTTTTCTTCTCCTGACTAGAATAGTTTGATCATTTTGGCAAGAATAGATTAAACAGTGTTCTCATGAGTGGATCCAGATTAAACAAGGAATAATGCCTAATTCAGATTAGGCAGTGTTGTGTACTTAACGCCTCACACCAGATGTTTGAGTCTGTTTGTCCCACGATTGTTGATGCTATGTTTAATAATTTTGGTTGAGGTAGTATCAACTGGACATCTCCTTGTGAAGTAGCTTTTCCCTTTTGTTGTTAGTCATCTGTGGGATGAGATATCAAAGCACTGTGAACATCTTATTCCCTGGCAACCTTCACCAGCTGGTTTCAGCGTCATTGCTGAAGCCTCCTGGAAACATTGATTAAACCCGTGGTTCCAGTGGTGATTTCTCATTCCTTTTACACTGATTACCTGCCTCCTTGAGTAAGGTAGATGTTGTCTGCTCCCCATGTTTTCCCCTTCAAAATGTTTAATTTTAATTTAAATGATTAGTACAGCTGAGTTACCCTTTCAACAGGCAAATGAAAACAGTAGCCTAAAGTGTCAGTTTCAACCAGAAAATAACAGCTCTGATTTCTCATGGCTCACACTCTTCTGAAAAGATTCAGGAGGAGGCTCAGGAAGGCCATGTTGTTTGTCTACCTGGGACTAGTAAGTATAGAAATAGAATTCCTTTGTTCTTAAATTCTACCTTTGACTTTACTTTTAAAATATAATTTATTTAGTGTGATTTAGCTCATGCCTGTAATCCCAGCATTTTGGGAGGCCAAAGATGGAGAATTGCTTGAGCCATGAGTTTGAGACCAGCCTAGGCATCATAGGGAGACTCTACACATGCACACAAGCACGCGCGCACACACACACACACACACACACACACACACACACACTAACTGGGAATGGTGGCATGCGACTGTGGTCCCAGCTACCTGGGAGGCTGAGGTTGGAGGATCATTTGGTCCCAGGAGGTGGAGGCTGCAGTGAAATGTGATTGTGCCACTGCACTCCAGCCTGGGTGACAGAGCAAGACCCTGTCTCACAGAAGAAAAAGAAGAAGAGATCATCCATTTGTCTTCTTGATTTTTGTCAAAATGTGATATGTGATAGTTGATAAGCTTTGTATGAATCTGTGGCCATTTAATTTTGGGCTAAGGACTTGTTCTATTATAGCACAGTAATCATTTTACTAATTAGTGACTATTTGTCATTAAAAACAATATATTTAGTTTTAATACAGTTGAGTACTCACAAATTTCTGGGGAAACTTGGTCAGGACATTTTAACTGAGAAGGCACCTTCTCACTGATAGCCATGCTGCTCGGTGGTGCAGCTCATATGCAGACAACTCCCTTCATGTAATTTAGTAGGAAAATGACAGAAATAGTTGTAGAACTATAAACTAAAGCAGAATTCTGGTTATTGAATCACAGCACCTACTGAAAGAAGTTCTCAAGTTCTGATTGAGTTCTAAAAGATTTTGAAGATTGGAATTCTTCATAGGTAAGTAAAAATTTTGGATGACCCATTTCTAGTCCATCTTCTAAAGAAATATTTAATCTGGGCCATGTGTGGTGGCTCATGACTGTAATCCCAGCACTTTGGGAGGCTGAGGTGGGTGGATCACGAGGTCAAGAGATTGAGACCATTCTTGCCAACAAGGTGAAACCCCGTCTCTACTAAAAACACAAAAATGAGCTGGGCATGGTGCCGTGTGCCTGTAGTCCCAGCTACACAGGAGGCTGAGTTGGGAGGATCACTTGAGCTTAGGAGTTGGAGGTTGCCGAAAGCTATGATCATGCCACTGCACTCCAGGATGGACGACAGTGAGACCCTGTCTCTAAAACACAAACAAAACTAACAAAAAAAGTGTTTAATCCATAAGATGACCACATGTACAGAAGCCTCCTGGCAATCTTAGCCTGAAGCCATGAAGGAAGGCATAGTGTGAAGGCAAGTGCAGGCTGGCCTATGGCAGGTGAGGATCAGGACAGGATATGGAATGAACATCTGCATCAAAGCTTTATTGCTTGAAACATTCCTATCTGTAGGTCAGCCTTAAAATACACCATTTCATAAAATATTATCTTTCCCATATTTTGAGGCCATGCAATTTTTGATACCTGAGGGAACTGTATTGTGTTCTTGATTTGATGAGATCAGTAGCTTTCTTATCTTATTGAATGACATCTACAGAACTCAGAAACAGGCTACATATTAAGCAAATTGATATCTTTCTTATTATAATATTACTGTGTATAAGAAATAGAGATGGCCAGGTGTGGTGGCTCACACCTGTAATCTCAGCACTTTGGGAGGCTAAGGCAGGTGGATCACAAGGTCAGTAGTTCAAGACCAGCCTGGCCAATATGGTGAAACCCTGTCTCTATTAAAAATACTAAAATTAGCTGGACCTGGTGGCATGCACCTGTAATCCCAGCTACTTGGGAGCTGAGACAGGAGAATTGCTTAAACCCAGGAGGCAGAGGCTGCAGTCACCCAAGATCTCATCACTGGACTCTAGCCTGGGTGACAGAACAAGACTCTGTCTCAAAAAAAAAAAAAAAAAAGAAAGAAAGAAAGGAAAGAAAAAAGAGAGGGTCCCCCCCCCCACCCCACCAACTGATGTCAACTGCAGGGAGTGTCAGGTGCATGGTGCTATCAGGTGTTGAAAGTGCTCCTTACCTAAAAAGGAAAAGTCCCAAAAATAAAATTATCAAGGGAATTTTAGGTATCAGCTTTATATTTGTGTAAGTTATTTGTAGAGTTGGATTTTAAGAGTTTTGCCTGCTTCAGAATTCTCCCATTTTGTTCTTTTTTTCTTTTACATGTATCTTATTACCTATTATTACATAAATATTATTCACCTATTAAAATCAGTCATTGTCCTCTGATCCATTTCTTCAGTGGTCAGGACCATCTGTGGTTTCCCCACCATCGAGCATTTTCTCCTAATACTGTTATAGTTTTATAAACTATGATGTGAGTTTTGCATGTGGGTTACTTTTTTCTCACTTAGACCAAGTTTTCCAGTATTTACTAAAAGAATTCTTACTTTTTTGCTTTATTCTGTACATCTCTGTTTTGTACATATTAAATATATTTTTAATTTTAAATTGTAAAATATATGTAACATAAACTTTACCATCTAATCATTTTAAGTGTACAGTTCAGTAATGTTAAGTACATTTATCAGGGTTGTTTGATGTTTTGGCTTCTTTGGACCAAATTGGAAGAATTGTCCTGGACCACACATAAAATACGCTAACACTAATGATAGCCCATGTGCTTAAAAAAAAAAGAAAGAAAGAAAGAAAGAAAAAAGCTCTATGCATAAATCTCATAATGATTTTTTATTTGTTTGTTTTGACATGAACTTCGGTGGACACCTTTCAACCCTAACAGTCAGATCTAAGATTCTTAGTTGAAAGGATTTCCCCACTCAGTACTTTGAATTAATCAACCCTACTGCCTTCTGGCCTCCAAGGTTTCTGGTAAGAAATCTACTGATAATCTGACTGAGAATCCTTTGTATGTGAGGAGTACTTCTCCCTTGTTTCATTCAAGATTCTTTGTCTTTTGATACCTTGATTATAAACTATCTTGAGTGAGATACTTTGAATTTATCCTATTTTGAGTTTGTTGAGCTTTGTGGTTTTTTTGACAGCAAGTTTTTGTAGAGACAGGGTCTCATGGCCAGGCACAGTGGCTCATGCCCATAATCCCAGCACTTTGGGAGGCCAGCTGAGACCAGCAGATCACCTGAGGTTCGGAGGTTGAGACCAGCCTGACCAACATGGAGAAACCCAGTCTCTGCTAAAAATACAAAATTAGCTCGGCATGGTGGCACGTGCCTGTGATCCCAGCTACGTGGGAGGCTGAGGCAAGAGAATCACCTGAACCCAGGAGGCAGAGGGTGCAGTGAGCTGAGATTTCACCATTGCAACAAGAGTGAAACTCCGTCTCAAAACAAGAGAAAAAAAAGACAGGGTCTCACTCAGTCACCCAGGCTGAAAGGGCTCAAGCAATCCTTTCACATGAGCCTCCTGAGTAGCTGAGATTGTATGTGCACACCACCATACCAGCTTTTAACTTTAATTATGATTTTTTCACAGAAACAGGGTCTCCCTATGTTTCCCAGGCTGATCTTGAATTCCTGGCCTGAAACTACCCTTCCACCTTGGCCTCCCAAAGCATTGAGTTTAGAGGTGGGAGCCACCATGCCAAGCCTTGTATATTTATAATGTTTTAATGTTTTAAATCAAATTTGGGAAGTTTCTTAGATTTTCATTATTTCTTCAAGTATTCTTTTAGTCCCTCTGTCTGTTCTGTGATTCTTACAAACTGTTGTTGGTCCACTTGATGGTGTCCCACAGGTCCCTTAGGGTCAGTTGATATTCCTGCAACCATTTTATTTCTGTTTCTGACACAGGATTATTTCAATTGCTTTGTCTTCAGATTTGCTAATTCTTTCCTCTGCTTGGTCAAATCTGTTTTTAATCCCTTCTAGTAAATTTTTCTTTTCTTTTTTTTTTTTTTTTGAGCTGGAGTCTTGCTCTGTCACCCAGGCTGGAGTGCAGTGGTGTGATCTCAGCTCACTGCAACTTCTGCCCCCCAGGTTCAAGCGATTCTCCTGCCTCAGCCTCCCAAGTAGCTGGGACTACAGGTGCGTCACGTTTAGCTAATTGTTGTATTTTTAGTAGAGACGGGGTTTCACCATGTTGCCCAAGCTGGTCTCGATCTCCTGACCTCATGACCTGCCCACCTCAGCCTCCCAAAGTGCTGGGATTACAGGCATGAGCCACCGCACCTGGTCTCAGTGTAGTGAATTTTTAAGAAAATAAAAATAAATACGAGAGATGGATCTTCTGGATTGCTCATGACTTTTGAGAGTATGACAGAAGTTGGAGAGTAACTGACTTATTTATTAAACAGATGAACAAGACACTGAATCATGGAAAAATGATCTATTCAGAATTTTTATTTTGGTATAAGTTACAATGTTTTATTTGCATTCACATTACTGGATCAAGGGAAGACATTCTTAAGTGCAGACTAATCAAAAGCTGACTGTATTTCCTGAGTTGAAATTTTAGGTGTGTTTTGCGACAGTTTGTAAGAAAGACAAGTGGAAGTTTCCTCTGCTTTAGCAAAGCTGCTTGAACATGAACCTTCTGGAAACTTTCATGCAAGTCGTAGGAGCAAGTCGTGCAGATTTTCAAGGATTTGTTTTATTCAGTAAAATAAAGTGCTGCTATACTGTAAGTTTTAGGAGGCAGGAGTTTTTATCTTTTGCTTATTAATATGTCACTGATGATTAAACAGTATGTAATGCAAAGTAGGTGTTCACTAATAATTATTGAAGAAATAAAGTGTCATTTCTGTGTTGTTTTAATTTGGATTTATTAGTAAGGGCAACTTATTTGACTATTAGTTCTAATGATTAAAATGTAATGAGCATTAAGGAAATAAAAGGTTCTATGTGGATTTTGAAGTTCATCTCTATCAATTTGAGGTTGAATGGGAAGAACAGTTTTCTTGACATCCTTCAGCTGTGTTACGAGTACAATTTTGTTTTTTACTCAGGCAAAAGAAAATATGTGTGTGTGTGTTAAATACAGTCAGTCCCCTTTATCTGTGGGTCCTGCATCCTCACTTTCTACCAACCTCAGATCAAAAATATTCCAGAAAAAAAAGGATGTTTGCATCTGTAGTGAACACGTACAAGCTTTTTTTCTTGTCATTATTCTTTATGCAATAAAGTGTAACAACCATTTAAGTAGCATTTCCATTGTATTAGGTATTGTGAGTAATCTAGAGATAATTTGAAGGATATTGGAGGGGGTGTCCAGGATGCAGGCAAGTACTATGGGAATTTATGTCAGGGACACCTACAGATTTTTGTTTCCAGCCATGGTTCCTGTATAATTTAACATTCCCACATGCTGAGGGTGTGATGGGTATGAGTTGGGTTGATCCCTCATGTTTGAGGCAGTGTGTCCATCATGATTGCACACCCTTGTTGTAAACTTTGGATATGTCTATTTCGATATTTAAAACATTTTCAGATTAAGTCTGAAAATGCCAAGACATTAATAATATTTTAAAAGAGAGTTGAGAAGTATTATTATAATAATAGAACTCATTATTAGAACTTTCTAATAGTAGAAAGGAAGTCTATTTATTTTATAAAATTGTCAGTTCACCTTAAGATCTAATAGTCCTTTCCAATTAGCAACAACTTAATTCAGACTACCTCAAAAGAATAATTTAACATTTATTTTTGTAGGAAAAAAACAATTTTAAAATAGCCTGGGAAAATTTAGGTAAGTTTTCCTTAATCTTGACTCTTAATTTGTGGCTAGAAGTGGTAATGATATGAACATAAGTTGTGTTATTTATTAACATATTGCTTTTCATAAATCAGTCCCTTTTTTGTAATTAGGTAAAAAGAGAAAAGAAAGACATTCTTGATTTTGGTGACTAGAGTTGTAGATGCTGGAAAGCTTTGCCACTAAAACTGACAAACCAGATGCTCGTCACTGGCCAATCACGCTGATTCTTAATGCCATAAGTATGAACATACAGTAAAAAACTGTTGATGGAATACATCGGTCTTATGAAATGAAATGTTTTGGTTAAGGATTTTTTAAACAAATTTCACATTACACTACTGGCTTTACTAAATCTGAGTCTTGTATTTCTGAACAGGGCACCATGGCCCAGCACTGTCACCTTTTCCAAGGAACCTGCTGGAGCTCCTGTGGAAGCTGCTCCTTGGGCCGATGAAATCCCTTAGCTGGTAGGACCTTCTTTAGTCACCACAGGATGCCTGCCATTCATGAACAGGAAGGAGAGGATGGGCTTTGAATAAAAAACAGGTAAGTTTCCAAACTGCTTTTCTCTCATTAAGATTTCAATCTTGGCCAGGTGTGGTGGCTCACGCCTGTAATCTCAGTATTTTGGGAGGCCACGGCGGGCAGATCATGAGGTCAGGATATACAGACCATCCTGGCCAACTGGAGAAACTCCATCTCTTCTAAAAAATACAAAATTAGCTGGGCGTGGTGGTGGGTGCTTATAATCCCAGCTACTTGGGAGGCTGAGGCAGAAGAATCACTTGAACCCAGGAGGCGGAGGCTGTGGTGAGCCAAGATCCCTTGCACTCCATCCTGGGCAACAAGAGCGAAACTCCTTTACAAAAAAAAAAAAAAAAAAAAAAAAAAACGCTCCTCTGAGTTGCACATGGCTTGTCCACTGCCTGGTTACATACAAACTGTGTGCTCAGTCTGCTCTTAGGACCTTACAGAAGAAGTGTCTGGCCCACATCAGTGTGAATGCTTTTGCTTGGAATGCTTGCCCACAGCTCCCCCGGGCTGGCTTCTTCTGGGAAGCTTTCCTCCATTCTGCAGATTACTCATAAATAGCAGTCCTTTAACTCCATGGTTTCCCACACTCCTTCTGCAGACGGTAATGTGACGTCCCTCTCCTTATCTATATTCTTCTCTGGAGCACAAGCTCTAAGGATGGGAATAACATCATCTCAGCACCTAGCTCAGTCGTTTAGACAAAGGAAACATGAAAGAAATATTTGCCAAAATAATTGAATACAGGATCTTCAACTCAGATTATTTTCTTTGTTAGGATCCGGAAAATATTTGTGAGGCCACTTGGACTTCAGTGTGAAATAAATATTTTCTGGCTTTGGGAGGTGTCCCTCTTGGTGGAACACAGTAAGTGTCAAAGATGGACACATAGTCCATTATTTGTAGTGTATGGGAGCAGACCACAAATTAATGTTTGGAGAACAATTTTGTCGTAACAGACACTGTTGAGGCTCAGCTGTACAGAACTGGAAAAGTCTTTCAGCTTGGCACATGTCCTGATTCAGCCTTTGTTTAACATATATTCCAATCTGGATTCTATCTTCACTGGCTAGAAAGACCACCTGATATGTGCACCACAACACAGGAGCTGCTGGAGAGGGGGTAGTATTATCACCTCAAACTCACAGCCACTCCATATTTTTCAAAAGCCAGCTTAGACAGAGGTGTACTGATAGCTGCACAGAGAAAATGCGGTCCATCCATTCTTCTCAGTGATGTACATTTCTCAATCAGCAACCACGTGGTTTTAGCAAAAACCACAGAAGTGGTTTTGATGTACCAGCCTTGAGTGTCACATCTCCCAACCATACCAAATGGGTCACCTAACTGGGGGTGGGGGGTGGCCGTCATAAACGAGATTTAGTATTTACTGTAAAATTGTGTTTTTTATTTCTTTTGAGATGGAGTCTCTGTTGCCTGGGCTGGAGTGCAATGGTGTGATCACTGCTCACTGTAACCTCCACCTCCTGGGCTCAAGCAGTTCTCCTGCCTCAGCCTCTCAAATAGCTGCAATTACAGGTGCATGCCACCACTCCCAGATAATTTTTATATTTTTAGTAGAGACAGGGTTTCACCATGTTGGCCAGGCTGGTCTCAAACTCCTGACCTCAGGTGATCTGCCTGCCTTGGCCTCCCAAAATTCCGGGATTAAAGGCACTAGCCACCCTGCCTGGCTGAGAATATTTTCATTTGCTGATTTGTCCCTTGTGTATTCTCTTTGTTCAGATGTCTATTCAGATATTTTTCTCACTTTTAAATTGTTTTTTAATTGTTAAGAATTTTCTATCTAGTTTAGATCTAAGCCCTTTATCAGATATGTGTTTTGCAAATATTTTCTCCTAGTCTGTGGCTTATATTCTGTCTGTCTGTCTCTCTCTCTCTTTTTTTTTTTTTTTTGCATGCCCCACGTCCCGGGTTCATGCCATTCTCCTGCCTCAGCCTCCAGAGTAGCTGGGACCACAGGCGCCCGCCACCGTGCCCGGCTAATTTTTTGTATTTTCAGTAGAGACGGGGTTTCGCTCTGCTAGACAGGATGGTCTAGATATCCTGACCTCATGATCCGCCCACCTCAGCCTCCCAAAGTGCTGGGGTTACAGGCGTGAGCCACTGCGCCTGGCTGTATTCTGTCTCTTAACACCCATTTTATTTTTACTTTTGGAACTAAAGAAGAGGAACAGTAGTCAGCTTTCTGTTATTCTTGTCACAGTAATGGCAGAACCAATTCTGCTAATGCTACGCTGAGCAAAGAAAGTCACATGGTCAAGTCCAACATTAATGAAATGGGGTAGTACGTGCAGGTGGGGGAGGGGAAAAAGAAATGCTTCTTAAGAGGGATATAATCTGCCATACCATCCAGGAACCTACAATGGCTTTCTATCACCTTATTCTCTGGTTTGTTTCATGTTGGAATCTTTCTGAAAGATCCTTCAACCTTTCTGTAAGAATCTAATCTGATAACACCATCAAAAACACACTTCTTTTGGCATAATTTAAATTCTAACACATCATTCACATTTATCTATGTTACATATATAAGAACTTACCCACCATATTCCTCCTTGAGGAATTACAGCATGTAATTCTGTAAACCATGTAATTCTATAACCATTTTTACAATCGTCTAACAATGTTATAATGGATTGGTTGCTTACTATCAATTTTTTAAAAGTCATGGTTTCTCCAGGCATTTCTTGCTCATCAAAATTATTTCATGAGATGGGTCTGTCCTTGTATATTTGAAAATGATGTTTGCTTCCTTCTACTTAAAAAACAACTTGAACATACCTGTTTGGATCACATGGTCTTGTCCTGATTACTTGGTAGAGGTTTCTTCAGCATTGTTATTATTGTTGGGGTGGTAATTATTAATGTATTTCATATTCTGTTTTAAAAATTAAAATTTTAAAGACCAATGTCTTCTTTTCAATTCCAGTACATTTTTCAGAAGTAACTAATGCTATTGGCTTGCGCATTATAATTCCAGACCATTTTATATGTCCTTAGTTATATATACAGTGTGCATATACATGTGTCAAATTATTCCATTTCTTCTAGCATTAAACATTGCTATGGAAAATTCTGAGAAAAATATATATTTGAACCCAACTTCTTCTTTTCTCAGATGTCCCCTCCTTAGGAATCTTTTTTTGATCCTTGAAGCTTGGTAACAACTTTAAATAGGTATATCCCGGCCCAGAGCAGTGGCTCATGCCTGTAATTTCAGCACTTTGGGAGGCTGAGGCAGGTGGATCACCTGAGGTCAGGAGTTTGCCTGGCCAACATGGTGAAACCCCGTCTTTATTAAAAATACAAAAAGTTAGCCAGGTGTGATGGCTGGCACCTGTAATCCCACCTACGTGGGAGGCTGAGACAGGAGAATCGTTTGAACCTGGGAGGCAGAGGTTGCAGTGAACTGAGATCATGCCACCGCACTCTGGCCTGGGCAACAAGAGTGAAACTTTGTCTCAAATAAATAAACGTGTAATTTCATCTCAAATAAATAAATGTGTATAGCTCATTGTTCATTATTGTATGGCATTTTCCTGGACATTTTGTACAATACATATGTGTACTTAACAATGGAAGAAAAATATTCCAAATATAGTAGAAGAAAAAAAAATTTTGGCCAGAGGTTTCCAACACATTTTATTTTGCAGATCACAGATTTAAAGCTTTTGAAGACCATCATCTCTATCAATTCCTATAAAATGTCCAATCAATTTCAGTTTCATAGCAGGCTCTTCTGTACTGCATGCCATGCTTATAGCTGGAGGTCTGGTCACACACACATGAAGGTTGCCCGCTGGTTCCTGGAGATGGTCATGTCCAAGAAGCCTCTTCCAGGGAGCTTCATCTTCCCGGCGGGGGGGTTCCTTTGGCAAGAAGTGGATACGTTTACACATGAGGCTTTGGTGCCTGTGAGCGGGAAGTGTCAGAAACTTTCAGGATATGCTGCTTCTCTTAGGAAGTCAGGGACCCAAGGATCTAGTGCCCTTGCGCTTAATGAGAAGGATTCCTCCTCATTGTTTAGTGGGTTAAAATACAAGGAAGCCGGCAGGGTGCGGTGGCTAGCACCAGTAATCCCAACATTTTGGGACGCCGAGGTGGATGGATCACCTGAGGTCAGGAGTTTGAGACCAGCCTGGCCAATATGGTAAAACCCCGTCTCTAACAAAAAATACAAAAATTAGGGGTGTGGTGGCACACGCCTGTAGTCCCAGCTACTCAGGAGGCTGAGGGGGAGAATCACTGGAACCCAGAAGGCAGAGGTTGCAGTGAGCCGAGATCATGCCACTGCACTCCAGCCTGGGTGACAGAATGAAACTCCATCTCATAATAAAAAGTATATATATATATATATATATATATATGGAAGCCTCTGTTTTTAAGTAACACAGATAACACCTTTTTAGATCACCTATTTATTCTAGAACTACAGTTTTTGTTGTTGTTGTTTTGTTTTGAAACAGAGTCTCACTCTGTCATCCATACTGGAGTTCAGTGGCAAGATCTTGGCTCACTGCAACTTCCGCCTCCCAGGCTCAAGTGATTCTCCTTCCTAAGCCTTCCAAGTAGCTGGGATTACAGGCACACACCACTACTGCCCGGCTAATTTTTGTATTTTTAGTAGAGACAGGGGTTTCACCATGTTGGCCAGGCTGGCCTTGAACTCCTGGCCTCACACAATCCAACTACCTCAGCCTCCCAAAGTGCTGGGATTATGGGCATGAGTCATTGTGCCCAGCCTAGAACTGTAAAATTTAATTCAAGAAAATATAGGTCCCATGAAAGATTTAAGAGTTTCATAAAGCTAAAAAGCTAAAATCTAGTCTTTTCCGGTAAATTGCACTTTAGTCAAAACCCTCCCAATGCTTCTAAAATAATACTAAAAGGGGCATCTAGTAATACAGGAGCAATTTTTTTTTTTTTTGAGGTGGCTCGATCTCAGCTCACTGCAAACTCTGCCAACCAGGTTCAAGTGATTCTTGTGCCTCAGACTCCCAAGTAGTTGGGATTGCAGGCGCCCACCACCATGCCCAGCTAATATTTGTATTTTTAGTAGAGACGAGGTTTCACCATGTTGGCCAGGCTGGTCTTGAACTCCTGACCTCAGGTGATCCACCCACCTCAGCCTCCCAAAGTGCTGGGATTACAGGCATGAGCCACTGCACCCAGCCATACAGGAGCAAGTTCAAAAATTAAATATTTATTTGAATAACAAGCTTACATTTGAGCTGCAACATTGGCAATTCAGACTTTGAACATGGATCACAAAAAGCATGTATAAAATACTACTGGCCCAGAGAACAAAACACTGCTAAGAATTAGGC
Source organism: Homo sapiens (assembly GCF_000001405.40). Taxonomy (NCBI): domain Eukaryota; kingdom Metazoa; phylum Chordata; class Mammalia; order Primates; family Hominidae; genus Homo; species Homo sapiens. Next base: position 32,633,748 of record NC_000016.10, read on the forward strand.
TAAATAGCTGCTGCTTTTAAGAAAATAAAAGGCCTGAAATCAATATACAAAATTTTACAAAATGTATTGGCCAGGCACAGTGGCTCACGCCTGTAATTCCACACTTTGGGAGGCCAAGATAGGAGGATCACTTGAGGTCAGGAGGTCAAGACCAGCCTGGCCAACATGGTGAAAGTCCGTCTCTACTAAAAATAAAAAATTAGCTGGGTGTGGTGATGTGCACCTGTAGTCCCAGCTACCCAGCAGGCTGAGGCAGAGGAATTGGCTCAAACCCAGGAGGCAGAGGTTGCAGTGAGCCCAGATCATGCTATTGCACTCTGGCCTGGGCAACAGGTGAGATTCTGTCTCAGGAAAAAAAAAAAAAAAAAAGATATTAAACAGTAGCATATACAGAACAATCTTTGTTATTGACTAAACTTAAAAATTATTTGCATAGTTAATTATATATTGCAAATGAGCATAATACATGAACTTCCTTTTGGAGGGCAATTCCTTGTTACACTAAGAAACATCTAATTTTGGCCGGGCGCAGTGGCTCATGCCTGTAATTCCAGCACTTTGGGAGGCCAAGATGGGCAGGTCACCTGAGGTCAGGAGTTGGAGACCAGCCTGCCAAATATGGCAAAAACCCATCCCTACTAAAAATACAAAAAAATTAGCTGGGTGTGGTGGTGGGCGCCTGTAGTCCCAGCTCCTTAGGGAGACTGAGGCAGGAGAATCGCTTGAACCGGGGAGGCAGAGGTTGCATTGAGCTGAGATTGTGCCACTGCACTCTGACCTGGGCAACAAGAGTAAAACTCAGTCTTAAAAAACAAACAAACAAACAAACAAAAATACCTAATTACATCGCATTGCAAAACAATCTCATTTTTGCTGTCAATAAACAGTTAATAGTATTACTGTAAATATCAGGAAGGCTACAAAAAAAGATTTCTTTTTGTCTTCAAAGTGTTTTTTATGCAGTGAAGCACTTACTGTGTTGAACAGAATGCAGTACTGGAAAGTGTCCTGGGTGTCTGGGTGTGCAATGCTCTTGAGTGACAAATTAGGCTTTTCTATTTTTTTTTTTTTTTTTTTTTTTTTTTTTAAACAGAGTCTCACTGTTGCCAGGCTGGAGTGCAGTGGTGCAATCTCAGCTCACTGCAACCTCTGCCTCCCAGGTTCAAGTGATTCTCCTGCCCCAGCCTCCCGAGATGCTGGGACTGCAGGCGCCACCATGCCCAGCTAATTTTTTGTATTTTTAGTAGGTTTCACCATGTTGGTCAGGATGGTCTCGATCTCTTGACCTCGTGATCCACCCACTTCAACCTTCCAAAGTGCTGGGATTATAGGCGTGAGCCACCGCGCCCGGTCCAAGACTAGGCTTTTCAAATCAAAGAGAATCTTGCAACCCTCTTACAACTGGGTTACCATCGTGTGCCACTTACCAACGCTGTCTTTCCAGAAAACCATTCAAGATACTAAAAAAAGATTAGACTTATACGATAAACATACATAAAATGAAAAGACACCAACTGCTATTGGTAATGTCTGTCATATGTGAAAACACTTTTTATTTTATTTTATTATTTATTTTGAAACAGAGTTTCACTCTTGTTGCCCAGGCTGGAGTGCAATGGCACGATCTCGGCTCACTGCAACCACCGCCTCCTGGGTTCAAGTGATTCTTCTCCTACCTCAGCCTCCCAAGTAGCTGGGATTACAGGCATGCGCCAGCGTGTCCAGCTAATTTTCTGTATTTTTAGTAGAGGCGGAGTTTCTCCATGTTGGTCAGACTGGTCTCGAACTCCCAACCTCTGGTGATCTGCCTGCCTCGGCCTCCCATAGTGCTGGGATTACAGGTGTGAGCCACCGTGCCTGCCCGTGAAAGCACTCTTAAAAACAGAGTACCTCTGCTGCCTGGTCACATTCTGTACCTGTTCCCAAACCCTGAAGCCAGTGATGTCAGTGGCTGCATGGGCACTGAACAGGTACATGATTCCTGCAGCTTTCCTGTTGACCTGGACCATGTTCATCAATGCTTTTCAGTACGTTAATTCTACATCTTCTTGGATGACCACTAGTTTAATTTTGTTTCATTTTTCAGGAATATCCAGCCACTGGTGCACAGCCATTGCCACTTGTGCCCCCACGGGATCTTGTCAACTCCAGTATGTCCCCTCAGCACTGTGTTATCTGGCATAATAAATGTAGTTGGGCTGTAGTTGTAGTGAGTCCTCCCAAAACAACCCAGGAGTTTAATACTGTTTGGCCACTGGTTACAAACATTCCTGCTTCTTCTGCTGTGACTTTAAAAGCCTATCTAATTGTCTGGGCATGGTGGCTCAGGCCTATAATCCCAGCACTTTGGGAGGCCGAGGTGGGTGGATGACCTGAGGTCAGGAGTTTGAGACCAGCCTGGCCAACATGGTGAAACCCCATCTCTACTAAAGATAAAAAAAAAATTAGCTGGGCATGGTGGCGCATGGCTGTAATCCCAGCTACTCGGGAGGCTGAGGTAGGAGAATTGCTTGGGCGACAGAGTAAGACTCCTTCAAAAAAAAAAAAAAAATCCTATCTATTCAGGGACATCACCTTTCCCTGCCAGTCATTTTGTTACCAATGAAACTATTCAAATCAATTTTTAGTTCAGAAAAAGTTTATTTTATTGTATCTTTTAACTTTTTTATTGTTCTGCATTTTTTACTTCAAAAACACCTACTATATGTATTTTTTTCTCTTTTGTTTCCTTTTTTTTTCCAAGAAATGTTTTTGTTACTTTCCTTTTTGATTTCTTCACTGACCATTACCATTATTTATATACCATGTACTTGGAGAGTTTCCAACATTTCTCGTTATTGACTTTTAATTTTATGCCATTTTGGTCTGAGAAGATACTTGCTATGATTTTCATTTTTTAAATGCTCTTTTGAGATTTGTTTGTTTTGTGTCCTAAAATGTGGTCTATCCTGGAGAATATTTTGTGAGCTGATTTTGTGAGCACGTTCTGCAGTTGGTGGGTGAAATATTCTGTAATTACCTATCAGGTTTCTTTGATTTATACTGGAGTGTAAGTCTGATCTTTGTTGCTTTTCTGCCTGGAAGGTGTGTCTGTTGCTGAAAGTGGGTGTTGAAGTCCCCAGCTATTATTGTCTGACTCTGTTGCTCGAATAACTCTTACTTTAATAACTGGGGCTCCTGTGTCAGGTGTGTTTACATTGACAACTGTTCTACCTTCTTACTGAATTGATCCCTTTATCATTTTATAATGACCTTTATTTTCTATTTTTGTGCTTTTTTGACTTAAAGCCTATTTTGTGTGACAAGCATAGCTACACATACCCACTTTTGGTAACACCTTTCATTTCTTATCATCTTCATTGAATCTCACTTCTTCACATTTACCAAAATGTCTACTTTTGAGCCATGGCACTTCTTTGAATCTTCAGATCCACCATATCCTGATCAAGCCTTCCTTTTTATCTGTACTCTGAGGAATCAAAAACAGGCATTTTTACAAGAAAGTCTAGGAGGGAAACATAAATCTACGTGTCAAAAGAATGAACATAGAAAATAATGTGTCCTGGTTAACAAAAGTTCTCATTGTAAAGTGTTATGCACAAGATTATGGAATTTTATGTGCCATAAATGAAATTGTCTTGATTTGTCTAAAACTACTTTTAAAAATTACATGTTACTCTAATAAATTTTGCTGCTGCTCACTCTTTGGGTCTGCTCCACCTTTAAGAACTGTAACACTCACCATGAGCATCCGTGGTTTCATTCTTGAAGTCGGCCAGACCAAGAACCCACCAATTCTGGACACAGTAGGAGAAATGTCCAGGTAGGAGCTAGGTGCTGCGGGGCTGGATGCAGGTAGGAACAGGGTGTGGTAGGAGCAGGGTGACAGCTGGGCCAGGTCCAGGAAGGGGCAGAGTGCGGGTAGGAGCAGGGTGCTGGTGGCGCAGGGCGCAGGTAGAAGCGGGGTGCAGGTTGAGCCAGGATGCTGACGGGGCAGGGCAGGGTCCTGGCGGGGGGAAGCGTGGGTAGGCGCAGCGTGCGGGTAGGATCGGGGTGCTGGAGGGGCATGGGAGGGTAGGACGGGGTGCGGTAAGGGCAGGGTGATTGCAGGGCGGGGCGCGGGTAGGATGCGGTGCTGGCAGGGCCAGGTGTGGGTAGGAGCAGGGTGCTGGCGGGGTGGGGTGCGGTTAGGACTGGGCAGTGGGTAGGTGAAGGGTGATGGCAGGGCAGGGCAGGGCATTGGTAGGAGCGGGGTGCCAGCAGGAGTAGGGTACAGGACGCGGGTAAGATCGGAACCTGGTGCAGGAAAGGCCACCAGTAGCCTGGGTCCCAGAACCTCTGCAGGCGCAGCCGCTCCTTTCACCTGGTGTGCCAGCTTGCAGTTTGTGCATTTGTCCCTTTTGGCTGCACAGAGAAGGCAGGGAAACTGCGTGGGAATGCAAGGTCGGGAACGGCCGGGGGTGCGACCAAGGGGACTTGGAGAACCGCCCCACCTCCCCAGGTTCCCCTGGCAGAGCGCACCACCCCCCGCCCCCGCGATTTTTCACAGGCCCAGGCCCTGTGGAGCTGGGCCTCTGTGGAAGGGGTGGGGGCAGGGCAGAGGCAGGAGGACAGAAAGAGCTGGGCAGGGAAGGGGGCCAAGAGAGCCTTTCTCAACATCCAGGTTAGTGGATAGGCTGGGGGTCCTGCAGGGCTAGCCAGGAAGAAATGTAACCATGTGTGGAAAAACAGGAATTGGGAAGGGGTGAGGAAGAGGAGTTGGTCACCAGGCAGCAGGTGTTGCCTTAGGCAATCATAGGGGCTGAGGGGCTGGCTTCTCATTGTCAGGCCCTGGGCTGGTAAGTTTCAAGGAAATCAAATGAAACAAATGTAACTTTCTTTAAGACTAGCAGAATCAATTTCTCTGTTTATTCAAGGAAGCTGTATACATCCGGTCTATGGGAGAATTGGGCACCTTTCAGTCTCATGCATTTTGTCACAGGGAAAAGAACTGGAGAACAGTTTGTTGATTGAGGAGCTGAAGTATTAAGTACAGAGCCACATACATACTTAAAGACCCTGTGAAAAAAATTAATGAACAAAAAATAATTGGAAGAAGGTGAGCAATTATCTGAAACTTTCAAAGGATAAAATGACTACTGGGCATTTGGCTAAGTAGGTAAAATTAAGTGGAGACAGGAGGAACTGTACAGAGCATAAAACTTACATAATTAAAAAGTTTGGGGCCAGGCGCAGTGGCTCAAATCTGTAATCCCAGTCCTTTGAATATTTATATGACTGGGCCAGTGCACCTAAATAATTAATAAATATCCTCCTGAACCCCACTGTTCTCTCTGATTCCTTAAAAATCCCGCTACAAATAACTACTTGTGTTAGGCACACAAGTCCTAAACAACTCTTGAACACAAAATTTTTAAACCAGATAAGTTTTATCCTTTATAAAACTGGAATAATTTATCAGAGGGTGAAGGGTGAGAGGAGGAAGAGGATCAGGAAAAATAACTAATGGGCACTAGGCTTAATACCTGGGTGATGAAATAATCTGTACAACAAACCCCCATGACACAATTTACCTATATAACAAAGCTGCACATCATATACCCCTGAACTTAAAAGTTAAATTTTTAAAAAGTAAGTTTTTAAAAATGTATATTATGTCCAGTACTATGGACGCTGTTCACTGAAATGGATATTTAACATTAAAGGTCCAATTAAAGCATTTCCAGAACTTAAAAAAGAAAGCAAATATTTTTTCTTGCAGTTAAGTTCTATAGCAGAAAAAAGACAAATAAATACACTTAAATTTTAATGTATACAGTGAAATAATGTATTACAGTATTATTTCAAACATACCATTGTTTAATAAAATATTAATAACTGTATAAGAGATTTTAGCTATTTTTGCACATAGTCTCAGATTTTTAAATAAGCACTTTTTAGATTTAATAACATTGAAGGAATATCTGTAAGAACTTAATATCAGAATTAATACAAATGATTTCTGTCACTTCCATGCTCATAAAATTAAGAAACTCTTAAATGTCAAATCTGATTAAATATCAAAAATTACTCATATAAATGCCATAGCTTGGAAATTGGATGTTACTGGATTTTATAGCACAAAAAGTATAAGTTCCTCTTTCAAAATGAAAATGAAATGTACTGTAGTTATTCCAGGGTATATTTAAAGAGCAATAAATTCAAGGAATATGAAAGCAAATAAATTAGGAAGTCAAAACAAGATTATCTGGACATTGTATAGAGTTATGTATCTATTATTTTAGCTCATTCAGAATATTGTGGTATAAGCATTTTCTAGAAGATATATATAATCCAACAATATGTTTCTGTTATTTTCTTGGACTAATTGAGATTTGCTATTAGATGAACAATAATGTCTTATTTTATATAATGGCTCAAATATAATTTTATATGATACTATGCCTGAACACAGTGAACAAAATCTATATAGGTAACAATGATGCAGCTTAATTTTAAGTAGTGAAGCAAAGCTGTCTTCTGCTCAGAACAAAGTTATTTTTCTTTAAATGCATTAAACATAAGGGAAATATTAGTAGGACTTGATGAACAACAGTTAATAGTGATAATTGAAACCATCCAATCACCTACCCATATACTATGACATTTATTATATAGGAAATTTCATCAAAATGTTACATTGTGTAAAATAAAATCATGGGGCTTGATTTCTTTAGGGTCTTTAATCTTTGTGGAAGAATTTCAACCTCAGCTAAAATTTAGAAAATGAATTCCGATGAAACTTGAAAGACTGAAATATTTTAATCTCCCTACATCAGGAACTGCAGATAGACACTGTTACTAACTGGCTTCCTATGGGCCAGGGCTGAGAGGAAAGGCAAAGCAAACATTTGGTGCCCTATCTATATAATGGAGCTTTTTTTTTACAACTCAGATTATTACCCATCCCATCTTTCAGTAGGCTGGGAAGAAAAATGAGGAAATACTCCTTTCTTTCTAATGCAAAAGAAGATTAAAATTGTATGTATTTACCATGTAGAACATGATGTTTTGAAGTATATATACATTGTGGAATGACTAAATCCAGCTAATTAACATATGTATTATCACATATTTTGATCACTTTTGTGGTTAAAACACTTAACACCTACTCTCTTAGCATTTCTCAACAGTACAATAAGTTATTAAGTGTAATTCACCATGTAGTAGGTTAGATCTACTGAATTTATTCCTTCTGACTGAAATTTTATATCCTTTGATTAACATATATGCAGCCTTCCCAGATCTCAACCACCCCAGCCTCTGGTCACCATGATTCTACTCTCTGTTTAAGTTCTATCATTTTAGCTTCCACATATAAGTGAGAATATGTGGTATTTGTGCGTCTGGCTTATTTCACTTAGCATAACGGCCTGCAGGTTCATCCCTGTTGTCACGAATGACAGGATTTCCCTCATTCTATGGCTGAATAGTACTCCTTTCTGTATATTTACCACATTTTTAATCCATTCATCTGTTGATGGGCACTTAGGTTGACTCCATATCTTGGCTATCGTGAATAATAGTGAAATGAACTTGGGAGTGCCAATTTCACTTCTTTTGGATATATACCCAGAATTAAATTGCTGGATCATGTGGTAGTTCTATTTTTAATTTTCTGAGGAACCTCCATACTGATTCCATAATGGCTATACTAATCAGAATCCCAAAAACGTACAAGCTGCCCTTTACGCCACAGCATCACCAACACTTATCTCTTGCTTTTGGTAATAGCCATTCTTAAATGTGTGAGGAAATATCTTGTGGTTTTGATTTGCATTTCCCTGATTAGTGATTTGAGCATTTTTTCAGACTCCAGTTGATCATTTGTATGTCTTCTTTTGAGAAATGACTATTCAAGTCCTTTGCCCATTTTCCTTTTTTTTTTTTTTTTTTTTTTTTTTTTTTGGTGAGACGGAGTCTCTGTTGCCAGGCTGGAGTGCAGTGGTGTATCTTGGCTCACGGTGACCTCTGCCTCCAGGGTTCAAGCGATTCTTCTGCTTCAGCCTCCAAAGTAGCTGGGACTACAGGTGTGCGCCCCCATGCCCAGCTAATTTTTGTGTTTTTAGTAGAGAAGGGATTTCACTATGTTGGCCAGTATGGTCTCGATCTGTTGACCTCATGATTCACCTGCCTCGGCCTCCCAAATGCTGAGATTACAGGTCTGAGCCACCGCGCCTGGCCTCAAATTTCTTTGTTTCTTGCTATTGAGTTGTTTGAATTCTTTATATTTTTTGGATAGTAGCTTCTTATCAGATGTGTGGTTTGCAGATATTTTCTCCCATTCTGTAGGTTTTCTCCACTCTGTTCATTGTATCCTTTGCTGTGCAGAAGCTTCTTAGTTTGCTGTAATATCATTTGTCTATTTTTGCTTTTGTTGTGTGTGCTTTTAGGGTAAAATCCAAAATATCATTGCCCAGATCAGTCTCATGGAGCTTGAGCTTGGGAGTCTGAGACCAGCCTGGGCAACATACATCACGTCTCAAAAAAAAAATAAATAAATAAAAGCCATGTGTCATGGCATATGCCTGTAGTTCCAACTACTCAGGAGGCTGAGGCAGGAGGATCACTTGAGGCAGGGAGGTGTGGGCTGCAGTTAGCCGTGATCATGCCACTGCATTCCAGTCTGGGTGGCAGAGACTGTCTCAAGAAAAAAAAATCATGTCATCTGCAAATGAACAACTCAACGTTTTTCTTTCCAATTTGGATGCCTTTTGTTTCTGTTGCCTAACTGTTCTAAGACCTCCAGTACTATACTGAATAGAAGTGGTGAGAGGGCATCCTTGTCTTGTTCTGGATCTTCTTTCTCTGTTGATTATGATGCTAGCTGTGACTCTGTCATATGTGGCTTTTATTGTGTAGTTGCACATTCTTTATATACCTAATTTGTTGAGAGTTTTCATCACTAATAGATGTTGAATCTGTCAGATTCTTTTTTCTGCATATATTTAATGCTCACAGAGTCATATGGTTTGGATCTCTGTCTCTACCCAGATCTCATGTTCAATTGTAATCCCCAATGTTGAAGATGGGGCCTCGTGGGAGGCGATTGGGTCGTGGGGACAGTTTCTCATGGTTTAACACCATCCCCCTTGGTGTTTTCATGGCAATAGCAAGTTATCATGAGATCATGTTTTAAAGTGTGTAGCATCTGCCCCCACCCCTCATGCTCCAGCCATGTGAAGTGCCAGTTTCCCCTTTGCCTTCCAATGAGCAGATGCTGCCATCTGTTATTGTAATCTCATCCTCTCATAAAAGTGTATTATATTTCTCATAACCAGCCCTTCATATTCTATTCCTATTTTGGTATTTTAAAATAAAATATCCTTGAAACACTTGAATTCAAAGAGAGAATCTGAATGGTTTTTAAAAAGTCAATGAAATGCCGTTTCTTCATGCTTGAACAACTAAAAATTGACTAAAGTGCTTCTCTTCAAACTTTCTGGAACATTTTTTATCTAAATTCTAAGAGCAATCACGATAGGTTTTAACCACAATTGTGAGAATATTCTAAATGTTAGGGTGGAAAAAAATTTAAAATAATTTTATAGTAATTTTTTTATCATGGTGACAGTGTGCTAAATTTTTTTAAGTGAAATATTACTGTAGACATTTAAGTCAAGATTCTAAGAAACTGTTGTAAAGTCCAAAATTTTGTTTCATATACAATGCTATTATATATATATTTGCATATAAAATTAATATATGTGAGCCATGTTTCAAATGCTTGAGAGATTATTATATCAAAGATTCTTGATTATATAAAATGCCAATTACTTATAGGCACACATGCTTTAAATAATTACAAAGGCAGTTGTGGTTGATTCTACTCTTGCTACTGGCATTTATGTGGACATAATACTATGGTCTGAAGAATATTTAGGCAAATTTATCCCTCATATGATCAGAAGAACAATGCAAGATAGCCTATATCTGAAAGGAAAAAAATTTTTATATGGTTCTGAAAGCCTAAATCATTAACAACTTGGATAATAATTGGCATAAAAATACACAAACATGCCCTCTTCCTAGTAGTAGGCACACAGTGACAACAGAATCAAAGCATGTGGCTATGTGCATGTTTATATTTCAAGACGCAGAGCACTCTATTCCTCTTCTCTGCCCTTTGTACATGGCACAATTCCTCATGAATCTAAGTGCAGTCATAGGGTGGATGAAGGTGACCTGCCATTTATATGCAACTGATCTCTATTTTGGAAGTAATTAAAGTAAAAATATATTTTTAAAAGATAATTTCAAATTTCAGTGCAAACTAGCATGGTTTCACCCCTTTTCTTTGTAACATTTTTTCTAAGGTTGGAAAAGTAAGGTAGGGTTTAGTACGATTTTTAATAATAAGTTTTCAAAGTGAGATGCAAAATGGTGGCGCCAACACATTTCAAGTCTGCTACATTTTGAGTACACTTATTGGAGAAAATACCTTCTCATCATTTTTCTCTTACAGGAAAGGTAATAACATGTACAGCTGACCCTTAAGCAACACGGAGGTTGAGGTGCTGGCCCCCCTGCACAGTAGAAAATCCACTATAACTTTGACTCCCCCCAAAATAACTACTAATAGCCTATACTAAGCCTTGCAAATAACACAAGCAGCCAATTAACACATATTTAATATGTTATATGTCTTATATACTGTATTCTTAACAAACATGCCAGAGAAAAGAAAAAGAAAATCATAAGGAAAATATACTTACTCGTTATTAAATGGAAGTAGATGATCAAACAGGTCTTCATCCTCATCCTTTTCATGGGCAGGGTGTGGAGAAGGATGTAGAATTCTTGGTTTTGCTAAGTGGACCTGCACAGTTCAAACCCTTGTGGTGCAAAGGCCATCTGTATAGCCTTTGAATAGCAATTTATTTTTAGAAATTAAACTCACTAAAATACTCTTAGAAGGATGCCAAGAAAAAAATCAATAAGTATTTTTGGTTCATCTATTTCATCATTTCATTTCATTTCATCATCATTTCATCATTTCATTTCATCATGCCATTTCATTTCATCCTTTAATTTCATCATTTCATCATTTCATTTCATCATTTCATCTCATTATTTCATTTCATCTCATTTCATCATTTCATTTCATTCTTTCATTGCATCATTTCATCATTTCATCTCATGATTTCATTTCATCTCATCATTTCACTTCATTTCATTTCATCTCATGATTTCATTGCATCTCATCATTTCATCTTTTCATCTTGTCATTTCATTTCATCATTTCATATTTTCATCTCATCATTTCATCATTTCATTTCATCAATTCATCATTTCAGTTCATTTATTTCATCATTTCGTTTCATCATTTAATTTCATCATTTCACTTCATTTCATCATTTCATATAATTTCATCATTTCATTTCATCATTTCATCTTTTTTCATTTCATAATTTCATCATTCCACTTCATCATTCCACTTCATCATTCCACTTCATCATTTCATTTCATTTCATCATTTCATCTCATCATTTCATCTCATCATTTCATTTCATTCATTTCATTTCATCTCATGATTTCATTTCATCTCATCATTTCACTTCATCTCATCATTACACCATTTCATCTCATGATTTCATTTCATCTAGTCATTTCATTTCATCTCATCATTTCATCTTTTCATCTCGTCATTTCATTTCACCGTTTCTTTTCATCTCGTCATTACACTTCATTTCATCATTTCATCAATTCATCATTTCATCATTTCATTTCATTATTTCATCATTTCGTCATTTCACTTCATTTCATCATTTCATATAATTTCATCATTTCATTTTATCATTTCTTTTAATTTCATTTCATCATTTCACTTTATTTCATCATTTCATATCATTTCATTTCATCATTTCATCTTTTCATGTCATTTCATCATTTCATCATTTCATTTCATTCTTTCATTTCATCATTGCATTTCATCATTTCATCATTTCATCTCATGATTTCATCTCACCATTTCACTTCATCTCATCATTTCATCTCATTATTTCATCTCATCATTTCATTACATCCCATCATTTCATGTTTTCATCTCGTCATTTGATCATTTCATTTCAGTTCATCTTTTCATCTCGTCAGTTCATTTCATCATTTCATTTCATCATCATTTCAGTTCATTTATTTCATCATTTCATTTCATCATTTAATTTCATCATTTCACTTCATTTCATCATTTCATTTCATTTCATATCATTTCATCATTTCATCTTTTAATTTCATTTCATAATTTCATCATTCCACTTCATCATTTCGTTTCATCATTTCATTTCCTCATTTCATCATTTCATTTCATCCTTTCATTTCATCTCATCATTTCATCCTTTCATTTCATTCTTTCATTTCATTATTTCATCTCATCATTTCATCTCATCATTTCATTTCATCATTTCACTTCATCTCATCATTTCATCATTTTATCTCATGATTTCATTTCATCTCATCATTTCATTTCATATCATTTCATTTCATCTTTTCATCTCGTCATTTCACTTAATCATTTTATTTCATTTTATCTTTTCATCTCATCATTTCATTTCATCATTTCATCATTTCATTTCACTTCATTTCATTTCATCATTTCGTATCATTTCTTCATTTCATTTCATCTTTTCATTTCATTTCATCATTTCATCATTTCATTTCATTTCATCATTTCACTTCATCATTTCATTTCTTCATTTCATTTCATTTCCTCATTTCATTGCACCATTTCATCACTTCATCATTTCATCATTCCATTTCATCATTTCATCATTTCATTTCATTTCATCTCATCATTTCATTTCATTTCCTCATTTCACCATTACATTTCATCTCATTTCATCATTTTATCATTTCATTTCATCATTTCATTTCTTCATTTCATTTTGTTTCATCATTTCATCATTTCCTTTCATTTCATCATTTCATCTCATCATTTCATCTCATCATTTCATCTCATTTCATTTCATTCATTTCATCATTTCATCATTTCATCTCATGATTTCATTTCATCTCATCATTTCACTTCATCTCATCATTACACCATTTCATCTCATGATTTCATCTAGTCATTTCATTTCATCTCATCATTTCATCTTTTCATCTCGTCATTTCATTTCATCATTTCATTTCATCTTTTCATCTCGTCATTTCATTTCATTTCATTTTATCAATTCATCAATTTATCATTTCATTTCATTTCATTTCATTATTTCATCATTTCATCATTTCATCATTTCACTTCACTTCATCATTTCATTATTTCATATAATTTCATCATTTCATTTTATCATTTCTTTTAATTTCATTTCATCATTTCATCATTTCACTTTATTTCATCATTTCATATCATTTCATCATTTCATTTCATCATTTCATCTTTTCATTTAGTTTCATTATTTCATCATTTCACTTCATCATTTCATTTCATTTCCTCATTTCATCATTTCATTTCATTTCCTTTCATCATTTCATCTCATCATTTCATCCTTTCATTATTTCATTTCATCATTTCATGTCATCATTTCACTTCATCATTTCATCATTTCATTTCATCATTTCACTTCATCTCCTCACTTCATCATTTCATCTCATCATTTCATCTCATCATTTCGTTTCATCTTTCCATCTCATCATTTCATTTAATCATTTCATTTCATCTTTTCATCTCATCATTTCATTTCATCATTTCATTTCATCAATTCATCATTTCATTTCATTTTATTATTTCATCATTTCATCATTTCACTTCATTTCCTCATTTCATTTCATCATTTCATATTTCTTCATCATTTCATCTTTTCATTTCATTTCATCATTTTATCATTTCATTTCATTTCATCATTTCACTTCGTCATTTCATTTCATTTCCTCATCTCATTTCACCATTTCATCATTTCATCATTCCATTTCATCATTTCATCATTTCATTTCATCATTTCATCATTTCATCATTTCATTTCATCATTTCACCATTTCACTTCATCTCATCATTTCATTTCATCATTTTATCATTTCATTTCATCAGTTCATTTCTTCATTTCATCATTTCCTTTCATTTCATTATTTCATTTCACCATTTCATCATTTCATTTCATCATTTCATTTCATTTCAGTGATACATATATTTAAGTGCTAATGTGATGCCCAGGAGACATCCTACTTCCCTTTGTAAAATACCTCCTTCAACAAAAGGCAACCTCTCATGGCTGGCTAAGTCTACAGGGATACCAGGCTCTCCTCAACCACCCAATTTGATTTAGAACCTCAAACAGCACCTCAGTTTCATGAAAACCTAACACATAAACACAACACTTGGTTGTAAGTGAGCCAACAGCTTCTTGTCTCTTTCTCTGCTCAAGGCTTAAGGCCGTGTCTCCCCAACTACGTTCAGTGGAAGAAAAGATCCCCTGGACAAATAAGTTTGAGGACTGTCATTGCAGGACTTCTCAGAACCTTTAAAACACAAATCCTCATCCGCAGGGATCTTCAGGAGGGAGACGGCTGATGCAGCACAACTTTCTTTCACAGGAGCATCTTGCAGAATACAGTATGAGATACAGAAAGGCTGCACTGAGTCTTTTTAAGGGTCTGGGCCTTGGTGGGGGTGGGGTAGGAGCTCTCCAGATAGCATCTAATGAGTAGGAACATTCAGGTTGCTTTTTTTTTCCCTTATTGGCAAAACTGTGTGTGCACCATGAATGAAGCTGGTCTCCCTTATCCACATCAAAACTAAACCCAAATTAATTGGCTAAATTGGGACTCAACACCACCAGGAGCCACGCGGAAGACAGCCCTACCACACTTTAAAGTAGCTTACCTCATCATGTTTGAGGAAAGCAAAACGCTTATGACCAGTATGCTGCTAATACAAGTCTACAGATAATGCTGTAGGAAAAATTATTTTTCCCAATCATAGCTGGCATAGTCCACATTTTGCATTACAATTTCCCCTTTTTTAAAATTTAAACACAGGTCTTTTTCTCTTCTTTTTAAACATTTTAATTTAATTATACAAGACGGAGTCTCAGTATGTTGCCCAGGCTGGTCTTCAACTCCTGAGCTCAAGTGATACATCCCTCTCCGCCTCCCAAAGTGCTGGGATTACAGGCCTGAGACACTGTGCCCGGCCTTCAACATAAAGTTTAATTCATTCTTACAATTATCCTGAAGTTAGAAAAATGGAAGGGGAAGAAAAATGGCAAGCAGGTAGGCTGACTTCGACTTCATTATTTGGAAGGACAGTTTGCTCGGTTAAAACACACTACTGCCCAAAAGGCCAAGACAACAGAAAAATACAGACTTATATAAATAGATTTTATATGTGACAGCAGTTTGAATGGAGACTTTTTCAATGCAAATGACAAACAGCTGTGCTTGGGAATAAATGACAAAGAATTTTTTATCTCAACAGCTGTCCTGAGAGCACGTCTCTACATCTATACCTGCATTCTGGAATCAGGGAGAAAGCCAAAACGGATGACAAGACACTAGGTCAGCCGCCTCCAACCCTTTGACTACAAGGACTTTTCCACCTATCTGTGGTGGTGGGTGCCATGAAAATTATGCACAAACCTTTTTTTTTTTTAAACTCATCAGCTATCGTTAGCATTAGTGTATTTTATATGTGGCCCAGGAGCATTCTTCTTCCAATGTGACCCTGAGAAGCCAAAAGACACCTGTGCACTAGATCAAAAGGCTACTCCTTCTGGAAGCAATTGTAAAGAATTTCTAACATTATCTTCACATGACAACCAATGGGTAGTGGGACAGAATGCAACAATCTTCAAGTATTTTTCTTGTTGGTTTTTTTTTTTTTTTGAGTCAGGGTCTTGCTCTGTGGCCCAGGCTGGAGTACACTGGTGAGATCACAGCTCAGTGCAGGCTCAAGTGCTCCTCCCACCTCAGCCACAGTAGTAGCTGGGACTACAGATGTGCACAACCACCCCTGGCTAATATTTTATTTTTTGTAGAGACAGGGTCTCACTATATTGTCCAGGTTAGTCTCAAACTCCTTGACTCAAGGGATCCAGGACAGGATAACAGGTGTGAGCCACCACATCTGGCCATGTGCATGAACTTTTAAGACAAACACAAGGCCCCACAAAAGTTAAGGTTTTCCCACCTAATTTCCAGGGGATCTTTTGGTGCAAGGATGAGAAGCCCTTAAAAGTACACAGACAACTCCAAAGATTCAAGACAGTTCATTGGGGCTGAGCCAGCCCACTGGGCAGACTGACCTTCAAAAAAGGCCCACCCATGATATACACCAGATGGCTCTCCAAGAATCTCTCCAGTCCTCAGGGTCCCTAAGGTACTGGACAGAGCTAGGAAAGCAAACCCATGTGCTTCTTCCTTCAGGCAACCCCTTGAGGTCAAGACCCCACAATCAGATGAGGATGGAGTGGCTCACCCTCAGTCAACAGGCCAGACTCAAGGTGGTATTATGTCTTAACCAAGGGTGTGGGCCTCCAGGTCTCACTCCCAACTCAGTGCTCCTTTAATAACCACACTTTGTTAATTCTCCTTAACAGGGGTTCCAGGCAAGTCAGTTCTCCCTCAGGCCTTCGGTTTCCTCACCCACAAGATGAGAGGGCTGGACCAGATGGAAATTCAGGGGGTAAGGTGATGTCCGCTCGCAGCCCACCTCGCCCATGGGCCCCTCAAGCCTCCCTGCCAGTTCCCACGACGCACCCGCCCCACAGATCCTGCCCAAGGTGAGGGCTGGTCCCGGGTCCTCCGGCTGCCGCATCAGCGAGTGCAGGAGGGAGGGGAAGCCTCCAACGGGGCGACTCGGGCTCAAGGATGCAACTCGGCCAGGAGTGAACTCGGGCACGGAGGGAGGTGTCTGGGCCGCTCCTCGAGCCCAGCCTGGGTCCACGACCCCCTTACCTCCAGGGTCCGTATCTCCTGCTGGGTGAGGTCCTTGGACACAGCGCACTTGTTGCGCAACCGGCTCAGGCTGCCAATGGAGATGCGGATAAGCTTCTGGAGCTGCCCACAAGCTTCTGGAGCTGCCCACACTGCTGCAGCGTCTGGCTGGCTGCGGCCCCTGCGCCTCCCAAAGAGGCCGCCGCATCACCCCCGCCACCGCCCTCCTTCTTCTCTCCCCTGGCCGCTACGCGCAGCGCCGCTCTATGCAGGCTGCAGCGGCCAAGGCGGGGAGCCCGGGGCGCGGGCGCCTAGGCAAGGAACCCCTGAGCCGGGAGAGCTGGACCAGGAGCGCCCCTCGGCTCCGCCCGAACAAGGACGCCGGTAGAGCCGGCAGCCGAGTGTGCCGCTCCCGCCCTCAGAGCCGCGTCGGTGGTGGCAAAAAGCGGCGGCGGCGGGGGCAAAAAGCTGGGGCGGCGGGGACAAAAAGCCTCGGTGGCGGGGGTAAAAAGCCACGGCGGGAAAAACCGGCGGCGGCGGGGGCAAAATGCCGCAGGGGCAAAAAGCCGCGGCGGCGGGGGCAAGAAGCCGCGGTGGCGGGAGCAAAAAACTGCGGCGGCAAAAAGGGGCGGCGGCGGGGGCAAAAAGCCGCAAAAAGCCTCGGCGTAGGGGGCAAAAAGCCGTGGCGTCGGGGGCAAGAATCCGCGGCGGCGGGGGCAAAAAATATATATATATAATTATATTATAAATATATATATTTCTATATAAAATATTATAAATATATATTATATTTATATATAATTATATATATTTATAATATAAAATATATTTATATATTATATATATTAATTATATATATATTATAAATATATGTAATAATTCTTGATTCTAAGAATGTTTTCATTATCACTAAAACTTATGATAAATGTTTTATTCATTCGTTTGTGACTATATTGCATGATAAAAATTTAAAGATTTATTATGTTTGAATCAAACCCCACGATTTGTGTCATTTCCCCCTGTAATGTGGAAGTCTGAGTTTTTAGTTCACAAATTTGGCAGAACAATAAACAGAGCGGCACAGCTCAAAGCACTAACTCCTCCGGAAGCAGCAGGTCAAAGTACATGCCAGACATTAAGCAGCAGAGCAACTTAGCAAGAGAAGACAGATCCTCAGGTTGGTGGGCAATGTCTGAACAGTCTGCTCATGGCACCAATTGTTAGTCACTTGCAAAGATGTGGCTTTAAGAGGGTAAGAAATTACTACTCACATAAATTACATTTGTGAGGTAAGTAGGAAGGCCTTTCAAGGTGATCTGACATGGCTTGAATGTGCAAGAAAAGGAGCCAGGCCTGGATTTTTATTGAGGGTAGGTGGCATGCTAGGGTGAGAATTTATTCCCATGGACAGGGGTTTGAATGGTTTCAATCTGCTGCTGGTACCAGAAAAGGGACCACCCAGGTTTCCTCTTACTGTATTATTTTATACACACACACACACACACACACACACACACACACGGTTTAGGATTAAAAATAGAGACAACCATCAAAAAATGAAGATAGTTCCTTTTGGTCAGCCTGGCAAGTAAGGACGTAGAAGGTGACATTCGCATCAGCGAAAGTAAAAAGGGAAACATAGGCCAGCAATTCTCCTAACATCTATCAGAAAAATAAGTTCACAGGGCAAATCACCATCCCAAATTGGACAGAAGGACACACACATCCAGAGAATTATAACTTACTTGGTTAGTAAACCACAAGAAACCCCTATGGGAACAAATACAGTTGTAAGAAAACAAACCATTATTGATGAATGGCTAAAAGTTTGAGAATTAACATTTTCAGGGTATACAAATTTATGAACTTTACTTTCAGAAACATGACATGGCTTTTACAGGGAAGATGATAGAAAAAATGCTTCTTGATTCCAGTAGGAGGAAGGGAAATGTAGCCATTTTTAACTATTCCCAGAAAATTTTCTTTTTAACATTCCTATCTTCAATATAAATTATGTATCAAAAGCCTAACCAACTGAGATTTTACCAGAGCCAGACTTCCTGGAGTAAGAGAAATGCCCAATTCCATCCCCCTCTAACCTTCTTGATCCAGTTAAGAGAGGTAAAGAGTGAGAAGTCCTCATGAAATTCACAGCCTAGGGATACACTGTTTTGTTTTGATTTGTTTTAATGAGGCTAATGCATAAGTCAATAGAGTGCTTTGCCTAAGCTCTCACATAACCACTACATCAACAGCAGAATAAATACATGGTAGCAGAATACAACTGAAAGAACTGTATGCCTCAGATCTTGTTAAATAAGTCTCTAAGAGACCACAAGGAAATTGAATAATGTTGATAAAGTCGACACATGTATATGTAGAAATACACAATGTACTGACACTGAGTCATGAACAAATAGAAAATCTGAACAGACCTATAGTTGCAGATTGATGCAAAAATCACCCCTCCAGAAAAAAAAGTACAAAACTGTTATGCTGCTGAATCTATCAAACATTTTAAGAATTAATTACCAATTATCCTCAAACTCTTGCAAAAACCTGAAGATGCAGAAACACTTCCAAATTTATTCTATGAGGTAGGCCAAAATTACAGTGACATAAAAAATGAACAAAAGCACTACAAGAAAAGAAAGTTGAAGAAAAATGTTCTTTATAAATAATATAAAATCTATAAAATAAATATTAGCAAAATATATTTAGCAGAATAATAAGAGGGTTATCTACCAAGACTAATTGAGAGTTATTACTGAAGTGCAAAGATGCTTTAACATATAAATATCAATAAATGTAGCCAGGCACAGTGGCTTGTGCCTGTAATCCCAGTTACCCAGGATGCTAAGGTGATAGGTTCACTTCAGTCCAGGAGTTCAAGAGCAGTCTAAACAACATCATAATATCCTGTCTCTAAAAATAAATAAATAATAAATAAATAAACAAATAATCATAATATACCGCATTAGTACTGTTAAACACCACAATATCTCAATTTACACAGAAAAAGCATTCTACAAGATATTACTCATTCATGGTACAAACACACAACATAATCAACAGTGAAATACAAAAAATGTTTTCCCTTAATATCAGGAACTAAAAATAGTTCCTCTTTTTTACCACTTCCACTCAACAGAGTATATAAAACTTTAGCTTAAGCAATAACAAAAATAAAATAAAGACAAAAATGCATATGTTAAAAAGAATAAAATAGAAATATCTCTGTTCACAGTAATCATGTATGCACACAATTCTGAAGATTGTACAAACAGAAAAACACCTCAAAACAGTTTAAACAAATTAAGTAATGTTGCAGGATACAAAATTAACTTACAAAACTCAGTTGCATTGATGCACACCAATAATGATTAATCTGAAAAGGAAATTAAGAAAACAATACCATGAACAACAGTATTAAAAAGAATAAAATGCTCTGGAATCAATTTAACCAGGATGACAAACTATTTGTACAATAAAAACTTTCAAAATGCTGCTGTAAGAAATCAAAGGTACAAATAAATGGAACAGTATCTTCTGTTCATAGGTGAAAAGACTTTTTAAAAAACTTCAACTTTTATTTTAGATTCAGGGGTTACAGGCACAGATTTGTTATGTAGGAATATTGTATAATGCTCAGGTTTGGAGCACATAGGTAGTGAGCACAGCAACCAATATGTAGTATATTAACTTGCCCTCCCCTCTGCACACTTTAGTAGTCCACCGTGTTTACTGTTCCCATATTTATGTCCATATATGCTCAATGTTTAGCTCTTATAAGTAAGAACATGCAGTATTTGGCTTTCTGTTTCTGCATTAATTTGCTTGAAATTATGGCCTCTGGTTCCACCTATGTTCATACCAAGGACATGATTTCATTATATTTCACAGCTGTGTAGTATTCCATGGTGTGTACATACCAGGTTTTCTTTATCCAATATACCATTGATGGGCATCTGGATTGATCCCACATCTTTGCTATTGTGAATAGCACAGTGATGCATTCAAGTGCATATGTCTTTTTGGTAGAATGATTTATTTTCTTTTGGGTATATACCCAGTTGTAGGATTGCTGGGTAAATTGGTAGTTCTGTTTTAAGTTCTTTCAGAAATCTCGAGACTGCTCTCCACGATTGCTGAACTAATTTACAATCCTGCCAGTGACGTAAAGTGTTTCCTTTTCTGCACAGCCTTGCCAACATGTTATTTATTGACTTTTTAGTAATAGCCATTCTGACTAACATGAGATGGTACCTCATTGTGGTTCTGATTTGCATTTATCTGATAATTACTGATGCTGAGCAATTTTTCATGTTTGTTGGCCACTTGTATATCTTCTGTTCAGGCATATCTGTTCATCTCATTTGCCCATTTTTTATTTTTTAATGGTTTTTTTTTTTTTTTGGCTTGTTGATTTGAGTTCCCTATAGAGTCTGGATATTAGGCTTTTGTTAGACTCATAGTTTGTGAATATCTCCTCCCATTCTGGAGGATGCCTCTTTCCCCTGTTGATAGTTTATTTTGCTGTGCAGAAGCTATTTAGTCAAATTAAGTCCTACTTGTCTATTTTTGTTTTGGTTGCAATTGCTTTTGGGGACTTAGCCAAAAACGACTTGCCAAGGCTGATGTCAAAAAAATATTTCCTAGGTTATCTTCCAGAATTTTTATAGTTTGAGGTCTTACACTTAAATTTTTAATCCATTTAAATTTAATTTTGGGGCATGTTGCAAGGTAAAGGTCTAGGTTCAATCTTCTGCCTATGGCAAGCCAGTTATCCCAGAATGTATTGACTAGGGAGTCCTTTCCCCATTGCTTGTTCTTGCCAGCCTTGTCAAATATCATATGGTTGTAGGTGTGTGACTTTCAGCAGTGTTTTGTAGTTCTCCTTGAAGAGATCTTTCATTTCCTTGGTTATCTGTATTCCTAGGTATTTCTCTTTTTTGTGGCTATTTTAAGTGGAATTGTGTTCTTGATTTCACTCTTGGCCTGGACATTGTTGGTGTATGGAAATGCTACTTATTTCACCATAATCAGTACTGTTTACACTGATTTTGTATCCTGAGACTATACTAAAGTTATTAATTCTAGGAGCCTTCTGGCAGAATCTCTAGGATTTTCTAGGCATAGGATCATATTTTCAGCGAAGAGAGATAGTTTGACTTCTTTTCCTGTTTCGTTACTTTTTCTTTCTCTTGCCTGATTGCTCTGCATAGGACTTCCAGTACTAAGCTGAATAGGAGTGCTGTGAGTGAGCATCCTTGTCTTGTTTCAGTTCTCATAGAAATAGTTTTAAGTTTTTAACCTATTGAGTATGATGTTGACTGTGGGTTTCCCATAGATGACTCTTATTATTTTAAGGTATGTTCCTTGGATGCCTAGTCTATTGAGGATTTTTACCATGAAGTAGTGTTGGATTTTATTAAGAAGACCTTTGTGTATCTGTTTAGAAAATCATATGGTTTTTACTTTTGATTCTATTTAGCTGGTGAATCACATTTATTGGTTTGCATATGTTGAACCAGCTTGCATCCCAGGAATAAAGCCTACTTGACCATGGTGTATTACCTTTCTGATGTGGTGCTGAATTTGGTTTGCTAGTATTTTGTTGAGGATTTTTACATTTTCTGTTCATGAGGGATCTTGGTCTGAAGTTTTGTTTTTTCACAGTGTCTCTGCCAGATTTTCATATCATGCTACTGCTGGTTTCAAAGAATGAGTTAGGAAGGAGCCCCACCGCCTCGATATTTTGAAATAATTTTAGTAGGATTGATATCATTTCTTCTTAGTATGTCTGGTAAAACTCAGCAGCCAATCTACCTGTTTCAGGCCTTTTTGTTGTTGTTGTTGTTGTTGGTAGGTTCTTTAGTACTGACTCAATGTCAGAAGTTGATATTTGTCTACTTAGAGTTTTGATCTCTTTCTGATTCCATCTTGGGAGACTGTGTGCTTCCTGGAATTTATTCATTTTCTCCAGATTTTCTAATTTGCGTGCAGAGCTGTTCATAGTACTCGCTGAGGATCTTTTGTATCTCTATCTGATCCATTTTAATATAACCTGTCATTTTTATTGCGCTTATTTGGATCTTCTCTTTCTTTTTTATATTTGTTAATTTGGCTAGGAGCTTATCAATTTTTTTTGAAGAACCAATTTTTTGTTTTCTTGGACTGTTGTATACATTTTTGCATCTCAACTTCATTAAATTCTTCTCTAATTGCTGTTATGTCTTCTCTCATGCTAGCTTTGGGGTTGGTTGGTTCTTTTTTTCAAGTTCCTTTAGGTGCAAAGTTACATCGTTAATTTGAGACATTTCTAACTTCTTGATAAAGGCATTTAGGGCTATAAAGTTTCCTCTTAACACTGCTTTGGCTGCATCTTAGAAATTTTGGTAAGTTGTGTTCCTATTTCTATCAATTTCAAGTAATTTTTATATTTCTGCCTTACTTTGATGTTTACAAAGGATTTATTCAGGAGTAAGTTGTTTAATTTTCATGTATTTCTGTAGTTTTGAGAGATCTTGGTATGCATTTGTATTTTTTATTGTACTGTGCTCCAACAGTGTGCTTGGTGAGATTTCATTTTTCCTTAATCTATTCAGGCTTTATTTATCACTGAGCACGTGGTTGAACTTAGAATTTTTTTTTGTGCAGATGAGAAAAATGTACATTCTGTGGTTGTTCGATGGAGTTTTCAATAGATGTCTATTAGGTCCAATTGGTCAAGTGTGGAGTTTAACTCCAGAGTTTTCCTGTTAGTTTTTTTTTTTTTTGACCTCAGTGATATGTCTAATGCTGTAAGTAGGGTGTTGAAGTCTCTTACTACTATTGTGATGTTGTCTAAGCCTTTTTGTGGGGAAAGAAAAAGTCATTTTGTAAATCTGGGTGCTCCAATATTAAGTGTATATATATTTAAGATATTTAAGGCTTCTCACAGGATTTTATCCTTTATCAATATGCCCTTGTTATTCTTCTTTTCATTGGTAGGCAAAGAAGAAGTCATTTTATGAATTTGGATGCTCCAGTGGTAATCACATATATATTTAAGATAGTTAAGGCTTCTTGTTAGATTGCACCCTTTATCAAAATGCTCTTCTTGTCCCTCTTAGTGTTTTTTTTTTTTTTTTGGTTTAAATTTGTTTTATCTAATATAAGAATAGTGACTGCTGCTTGTTTTTGTTTCGTTTGCATGGTAGAATACACTCCACCCTTTTACTCTGAGGCAAAGGGTGTGTCTTGAAAGCAACAGATGGATGGGTACTGTCTTTTTATCCAGGATGCCACTTTGTGTCTTTTAACTGTGGTGTTTAGCTTACTTACATGTTAGGTGAGTATTGATATGTGTGATTTTGAATTCACCATCATGTTGTTAGCTGGTTGTTATGTAGAGTTGATTGCATTATTGCTTTATAGTGCCTGTGGGCTATGTGCTTAAGTGAGCTTTTTTGGTAGCAGATATCATTCACTTGAATCCATGTTTAGCACTACCTTAAAGACCTCTTGTAAGGCTGGTCTAGTTTAAATGTATCACGTCAGCATTTGCTTGTCAAAGGAATTTTTTTTTTC
This sequence comes from Homo sapiens, assembly GCF_000001405.40. NCBI lineage: Eukaryota > Metazoa > Chordata > Mammalia > Primates > Hominidae > Homo > Homo sapiens. Next base: position 32,658,225 of record NC_000016.10, read on the forward strand.
CTCTTTCACCTATGAAGCTTAGTTTAGAGGGATATAAAATTATTGGTTAATTTTTTTTCCTTTAAAAACTCTGCAGATAGGCCCCTAACCTCTTCTGGTTGCAAGGAGTCTGCTGAGAGGTCTGCTGCTAGTCTGATGGAATTCACTCTGTGAGTAACCTGCCCTTTCTCTCTAACTGATCTTAAATTTTTTTTTGCACTGACTTTGGTGAATCTGATGACTATGTGACATGGAAATAGCAATATGGTTTGGATCTGTGATTCTGCCCCAATCACATGTGGAACTGTAATCTTCAATGTTGGAGGTGGGGCCTGCTGAGAGGTGATTGGATAATGGGGATAGATCCTTGTGAATGGTTTAACACCAGCCCCTTGTGCTGTCTTGCGATAACGTTCTCATGAGATCTGGCTGTTTAAGAATGGGTAGCACCTCCCCGCTCTCTGTGTTGCTCCTGTTCTTCCATGTAAGATGCCTTGCTCCCCCTCTTCCTTCTTCCATGGTTGTTAGTTTCCTGAGGGCTCCCCATAAGCCAAGCTGATGCTGCCATGCTTCCGCTGCAGCCTGCAGAATTGTGAGCCAACCAAACTTCTTTTCATTATAAATTACCCAGTATCAAGTATTTCTTTATAGCAATGTGAGAACTGACTAATACAGACTGTCATATATTATTGTATCTGACTAGGGGCTGACTGGGGTTCTCTTGGATTTGAATGGCAACCTCGCTAGTGAGATTAGAGGTACTTTCATGAACTATATCTTCATACATATTTTCCAACTTGCCTATTCTCTTTCCTTCTCTCTCAGAAATGTTGATAAATTGTAGATTTGTTCTCTAAGTAATCTCATATTTCTCAATGGGGATGTTGATTTTTCTTAATTCTTTTATCTTTATTTTTGTCTGACTATGTTGATTCAATAAAACAGTGTTTGAGCTCTGAGATTCTTTTCTCAGTTTAGTCTATTCTGCTGGAAATACTTCTGATTTTATTATAAAATCCTCACAGTAAATCTTTCAGCTCAAGAATTTTTTTAGTTTAGATATTTCTTAAGATTGCTATTTTATCTTTCAGGTTTTGAATCATTTAACCGGATTGCTTGGCTTCCTTGGGTTAAGTTTCAACTTTCTTCTCAATCTAAATGAGTTTCCCTGCTCTTTTTTCCATGTCTGTCATTTTAGACAATTCAGACTGTTAAAAACCATCACTGGGGCACTAGTGGGCTCTCTTGAAGGAGACACTCTGGCTTTTTGCATTGCCAGAGATTTTGAGCCAATTCTTTCTCATCTGAGAGAACTGGTATACCTCTAATTGGGGTATAAATTGAGTATAGTCTATTGGCTTTCTTTTTTTGAAGGTTTTCAGAGGACTAGGACTCTGTACAGTGTCTTTGTTGTTGAATTCTTGCTCTTGGTTTCACAGGGGAAGAATTAGTAAAGTGATTTTTGGTGGTGTAATCTCTACTGCGATCCAGTAGATAGCACTTGAGAGCAGTGGGATGTAGATAGGTTCTTTACCATGCAGTTCCTTTGTGTATCTTCTTTATTTGCAACTATGTTCTGTGGTACAGGTCTGTTCATGAGTCTTGAGAGACTCACTTCCAATCACTGGCACTATGCCCATTATTATTACTATCATTATCTCCTTTTTTTTTTTTTTTTTTTTTTTTTTTTTTTGAGACAGAGTCTTGCTCTGTCGCCCAGAGACTGGAGTGCAGTGGCAGGATCTCAGCTCACTGCAAGCTCTGCCTCCTGGGTTCATGCCATTCTCCTGTCTCAGCCTCCCGGCTAGCTGGGACTACAGGCGCCCGCCACCACGCCTGACTATTTTTTTGTATTTTTAGTAGAGACAGGGTTTCACCGTGTTATCCAGGATGGTCTCGATCTCCTGACCTCGTGATCCACCCGCCTCCGCTTACCAAAGTGCTGGGATTACAGGCGTCAGCCACCGCGCCCGGCCTATTACTATCATTATCATTATTGTCATTGTTGTTAGGTGTTTCAAGCTGTGGGGCTTCCTCAGGGAGATGTCTTCTAGAAAAATACCCTGCATCTTTACCATAACAGCCCTGTGGAAGGAGGTGTGCCTAGGGCCCACGCCAGCCTGTGAACCTGTGTGAATCTGGCCTCTCAGTTTCTGAAGAGTGTGGGTTCCTCCCCCATTCAACTGCCCAGCACAGATCCCAGCTTGACACTCCTGAACCACAGGCCACAGCACTGGAGTGCCACGACTTGCTTATGACTCCCTCTTCCTGATGCTTAGGGCCAGGTTCCAAGTGTGGTGAGGGATCTGAGGGATTTCTGGGCTGCCAGAATGCATTCAGGTGGAGCCAAGCATCCAGGTTGGGTAGCAGAAACTACAATGTATACATGCTTCTCCCAGGAAGCCAGGCAGGGGCCATGTAAGAGGCTGGTGGACAGGCATGCCTACAGGATAGACATGTCCCAGTCCTGCGGGTAAGCAGGCCTTGCTTTCTCCCTGCAGTTTAGCTGGGGCCAAAGCCTCTGAGAGAGATAGGCAGCTGCAGAGGTGGGACTTTATGGTTGAGCTCCACCAGATCCGACCCATGCTAAAAAGTCCTGGCTCTGTGCCTGCTACAGCTCCATCTCCATCTACTCTCCAGGGAGAGCTCCTTGCCAACTCACATGTCCATGGGGGTGTGGAGTTTCCTGCAGCCAGGATCCCAGTGGTCTGCAGCGAGAGTGAGCAGCCTCCCAGTCCCTTTACTCACTTCTTCCCCAGATGCCACTCAGGGCCAAAAAGCAGTCATAGCGTTCAGGCACCCCATAAGGGCACCCCAGCTTCCTTGCTCTTCAGTCTTAGAAAACGCACCTTTTCTCCATCCACACTATCCATTTTCTCTCCAAATATCTATTCAAACTATGTTGATGTAGTCAAAATTGTGGTCTTTCTCTTTGGGAGCAACACTTGCTGGCTGCATCCAGTAAGCCATCTTGGAAACTCTCTTAAAAGTACTAATGTGGCAATTTCTCCTAAAATTATCTATAAATGCAGTGCAATCCCAATCAAAAGCCCAATAACTTTTTTTAAATGGAAACAGAAACTAACATTCTAAAATTCAAGTGAAATCTCAAGGAACCAAGAATAGTCAAAACGATCGCAAAAAAAAGAGATAAAAATGTTCAGAGCTCTAATTTCATAATGAGAAATTTCCTAACGTCAAAAGTTACTCACAGTCATGTTACTCAAAACAGTGTGGTACTGGGATAGAGACTACAAACAAATGAAATAAAATAGTGTCTCTCAGAGGACACTATCAATAGAGTAACAGGACAACTCTGAATAATAGAACATACTCCATAACAATACTCTAATAATACATCTGGCAAGGTATTAATATAGGGAAAATACAAAGTAAAAAGGTTTGAAAATCTTCAACACTCCTCATGATAAAAACATTAAATAAACTGGAAATAGAAAAGATATTGTAAGACATCTATAAAAACCCCACAGCTAACATCATACTTGATGTTAAAAGACAAAATGCTTTCTACCTAAGATCAGAAATAAGACAAAGATGTCTGTTCTCACGACATCTATTCAACATGGTAAAAAAAAAGCTGTTAGCTAGGAAATTAGGCAAGAACATAAAAGTATTAGTGATTTTAAAGCAAATACACACATAGCACCCAGGCATAAATACAAAAGCAGACTTTTCACTGCACATAAAGGTGGATACACGCAGACAAAGACACGCAAGCTTGTTAACTGTCAGAGTTAGCAGCTGAAACACATAAATAAATGCTCAGAGAGACACCCAGTTTAGACCTCTGCTCTCTTTACCACACTCTCCTCCCACATTAGCAGTAACCACTATCTTACACATTGTTTATTTTACTTGTATTATATATTTATTTTTTCCTAGAATATCAGCTTCAAGTGGGCAGAATTATTTGTTTTGTTTTAGTCATTGCAGCACCTCCTAGAACATCTGCTACACAGGGCAAGATTAATACATAATAAATCACTGGGCTCAAATTCACACAACTATACACAGTGCTTTTCCATGAACCTCATCATAGGCCCATATAAACTTGATTTGCACAAAATGAGTTTTTCTTAACTCGATCTTATGTGGCAGGGTGGTGTCTTCTGAACTCCAAACAAATTCCTAAAGGTTAGCTTACTCAAATGAATTGAAAATGTAAGTCCACACAAAAACCTGCACAAAAAAGTTTACAGCAATATTAATTGTAGTTTTCACAAAACTTGGAAGCAACCAAGATCATGTATTCACCAAGGTCAGAGGTACAAAATTATTATACAAAAATCAATTCTACTTCTATACACTTGCAATGAAATATCTAATAATGCAGTTGAGGCAAAAACAAATCCATTTACAATAGCAATTAAATAATAAATCATAGAAATAAATTTTTAAAAATGTGAAAGGAACTTATAATCTGAAAACTACAAACCTTATCGAAAGAGGTTGAAGATCTAAATAAATGAGAAACCATTCCATGTTTATGAATCAGTAGGTTTAATACATTATGATGACAATAACTCCCCAAACAGTCTACATCCAGTACAATTAGATTCAGTACAATTAGAATTCAAGGTGACTACCATGTAAAAACTGAAGCATTGATGCTGAAATTCATATAAAATTAAAAGGGACTAAGAATATCTTTAAAAATCTTTAAAAAGATGCCAAATAAAAGGACTCACAAATTACAACTTCAAAATTTGCCTCAAAGCAACCTTAATCAAGATGGTGTAGTAACGACACAAGGAAAGTCATTTAGATCAATGAAATACAACTGAGAGCCCAGAGAGAGTAAAATCAGCAAAATGTCAAGAATGTACAGCTCCAAACACCTGCTCCTCCACAGAAACAGGGAAAACCAAGCAGAACTGTCAGAAACGATGTTGTAAAACCTGTTGAAAACCATCAAGTTGTACAGCAACCATGTAACTACAAAATCAAGAAAAACAATGAAGAACAGGAGAAAAGCCTCGTGGACTTTTTACACGTCCTTGCCCAAATCCTTCCCTTACTTGATGGCAGTCTTAAAAACAACATCCTGAGTTGCCAGTATGGGCCTCTGCTCAGTGGTTCCAGAGGGAAAAGAGGAGGTCTTACTTGCAAAGTATTGTGTTGTTACATTAAAATCTGTATTAGGGCTATCCAGAGGTCTGAAACAAGGCTCTCTTTTTTCTCTAAGTCAGAAAAAAAAATCAGTTTAAAAAATTGGCACGAGTTACTTGGGAGTATTTTAAGGAAACTGAAAGCCAGCAGCCCCCTGGAGAACAGATTACAGACGACACATACAATAGGTCACATAAAGCCAAGAATAAAAAGCTAACGTGAGATTTTGTTTTGTTTTACAAATTAGGCTATTAAAAAGCACCCAGGTATGCTGGCAAATTGACAAAGCACTCTGTGCATAACCACGAAAAACACATTTTCTTAAAGACCCAAGAAGACCCTCATTTTCAGCACTGGCTGACCTTCAGGCTCAGCTCAGCAGAAAGTGAAGACTGAAGCAAAGTTTTCAACAGTCTGCACATGTGTTAAAGGAACGCCCCAGCCCAGAGCCATCCACAAAAACTGGAAGAATCCGTCAGTTTGTCTTTGTCTCAGTTTTGTCATATAGACCTTTGTGACACACAGATCTATATACAATGGAAACTACAAATTTCTAATGAAAGAGCCATGAAAGATCACAAAAGATCTTAATAAATAGAAAGACATTTAATGTGCATGATCATAAAATCTCAATATTGTCAAGATATAATTTCTCCCCAATTTGAGTTATAGGCAAGAGAGTCACATCATCTAGGTGATTGGCCAAACATATGTCACAATCCCTTCCATTGACAGCTCCCAAAAAAGGAGTTACATCACCTAGGTGCTCAGCTCTGAGATGTGTCACAACATTGCCCAATACAGGCAGGCCACAGGCGGGAGAGTCACATTTCCTGGGTGCTTGGCCCAGTGGTATGTCACATTTCCTTATGTAGGAAGGGCACACGTAGCAAGAGAGAGTCACATTACCTAGGTACTGTGCTAGAGCTATCAGTCTCTGTGTCGTTCAATGTGAGAGTTATGATCTCTTTAGACATCCATGTAACAGAGCCTCAACTCCTTCATCCTCAGATGTAAAGGCTAGTGAAGACCAAATAAGCCTTGAAAGGTAATTCCCCTAAAAAGGCAGAATGTCTTAGGCTTTGGCCTCTCCCCTTCAAGCACAATGAGATCATAACCTCTCTTTTGACTTCTCACTATGCCCAGCACTGGAACAAAGCTCCTGACTCCACACCCTCACCTTTCCACCCTTGTGCCTTCACTGGGCAGACAAGAGATGAGAAGACCTGAACTCTGGGACAGTCTGGGGAGAAAAGAATCCAAAAAGGGTTGAGGCGGCAAGGGCTGAGCTCCCACGGGTGCCCCGGCCCAAAGGTGCAGGTCCAGGCTGTTTTCCAGGTGGCATTCAGTGCAGGTTCTTCAATGCCACTGGAAGGCATGAAAAACCCACTGTAGCTGCTGCTGCTTCCTTTTCTTAAGCTGTGAAAATGCAAACACTTTTTCAAGGTTTTCAGATATGCCCAGGTACCCCCAACTGAAAAGGAGGATAATGGCATTGTTCATCATGGCTTATTGTCTTGCCCAGGCAGGAGCCAGCCCCTGACTCGCCAATCCAGCTGCCCCAGGCTGGAGGTGATCCTTTCGAGCCTCCTCCCTGCAACTCCACTCCTCTTTTTTCTCTTCCTCAACCACCGGCATACTTTTGGTCATCCTCCTTGTTGTCACAATGGGGGCGTGATGCCATAAAGACCTGGGAACCCCAATGATCTCAGGTCCCGCAGGGGTCAGGTGAGCATATAGGAAGTCCAGAAGGACAGTCATCTGCCACCTCCAGTTGAAAAAGAACAAAACCCTCGCACTCCAGAAATGAGTCAAGAACCCAGCGAAGGCCACAGGTCTAGCCCACAACCACCTAGGTATGTGGGGTCCTCCAAGGCTCACGCTTGTGTCCTGCAGGCTGGAGCCCATGCGAGGGTCTGCAGTCTTTGTTCCGGATGGGGAACTACTGCTTCAGCTGGTTACCCAGGTGTCCCCGATGGGGAAAGGAAGGAAATGGTGAGAATCTTCAGCACAACGGATCACATCACCCTGGCAGAGACCAGTCCGGCCTGCGCATGGCACCAGCAGCCGCAGGCTAGAGGCAGTCATGTCAGGCCTCCTCCATACAGCATCTCTCCTGCTTTTTTTTCAAACGGTCCTAATCACTTAATTTGGTCATCTTCCCTGTCACAATGGGGCACCTGGCGCTATAGACACTTGGGAAACACACAGATCTGGGGTCCTACAGTGTCCAGGTGAAGACGCCGGGAGTCAGAGAGGAAAGTCTTTTGAAGCCTCCAAAAGGAATGCACAGGACCCCACTTGAAGAGGTGGAGTGCCCAGTGGCGGATACAGGCCCCACACATCGCAGCAGTAAACAGGTAAGGCGCTCCCTGGCCCATGCCTGTTTCCTGGAAACTGAAGCCATGCCCAGGCTGGGAGTCACCATTCCAGAAACAGAATAAGCTGTTGGGCTGGCTACCTCACCCAGCACCCGGCCACGCCAGAGAGAATCTTGGATGCTGCTTTCCCACAGGCTGTAGTGCCTTCCAAGTTAGGCCACCCTAATAACAGTTCTCCCACAGGGACTCCACGGTGTCCAGCTCTCCAGCCTGGGGTTTCTCATCACCCAGTGATTCCAAAAGAAAGGATCTACAATGGCATGACTAAGTTCCAGAAACAAATAAACAAAATACTGAGGGAAGCCCGTTGGTCACTTTGATTCTTCAAAGGTGACAATTGTCCCTCCCTGAAATCTTGTGAGTGCATGAACAGGCTATTCTAATGTAAATGAAATTCACACTAAAACTGATTGAAAGATGATTCTGTTTCCAAGGTACTTTGTATTCTCAAATTGCACCTGCTTACCCTGGCCCCCTCAAAATGGAAGAGTGATGACTATTTGTCTTCGTAGCACTGTGGGGACACAGAGCCTTAAATGGAAGAGTGTCAAAAGCAACATTCCATAAAGGGCTGTCACTTCCAATTTTCAAGCAAGGTTGGAAACCAACCATGATGTATGAAACACTGTTGGCCAAAGTGCACAATTAGTAATACAAAATGAATAATATAAACTATTGTAAATATGTGTGGACATCGTGGCAATTTGGACATCAAAAAACACTGCCAAATTCAGAAAGAGGAAGCTGTAAACTCATGGCTGTTAGGAAGCTTAACTTCTGTGTACTAGAACCTATCAAAATTAAATTTCTCCATGTCAATCCGTCCAAACAAACATTGAGATGTTTATTTCTATATAATTCCTATTGAATCCTACTGGGCAGGACCCTTCTGGCCCCATCCTCACAGCACTGGTGCAGTGAAACTGCACTTGCTCCTGCTTCCCCCTATATTGTTAGGAGTGGAAATATTTAGTAACAGGGTGGATTGGGAGGCTACTGAGGCCTCCTGCGTGGGTGGGTCAGGTCTCCTGCAGCCCAAACCTTTTTACAATAAATAAGTTATAGGTAAAATTAGAAAAAAATTAAAAAATGGAACTCATTCTGTTTCTTTGCTCACCACAAAGAGAAACACAGCATCTAGAGATGTCTGTTGGAGCCAGGCTTGTCCTGGGAAAGTAAGAAGTGCTGAGCAGGAGCCCTGGGGATGGAGGGCAGGTGAGATGGGGCTCCCAGGAAGATGCAGCCAAGCCTGGCTCACTCAGGCTGGCAGGGGCCCTCTGAAGTCCAGGAAAGTTGGTCCAGGACACTGAAACTCAAGTGACTCATCTGGGCCAAAGATCTGACCAGGTCGCACTGAATCTCATCAGCCCTGCCAACTGGAGGTCTGATCAGCCTTGAAGATCTTGCTCACTGGAGGCAGACAGCTGGTGGATGGGTCAGGAGAGCTGCCTACTGCCAATGTAGGAGTGCACTCAGTGTAGGCCCGCTGCCCCACTCAGTGGCCTGGATAACCTGCTGAGGCTGCAGCTTCTTCCAGTTTTTGAGCAATAGGGGCATGCACCATTTCCGAAGGTTTTCAGGCAATCCCTGGTGACCTCTGGCAGGGGGTGGTTATCTTGGCAATCTCCAGCAGGGCCTATGGACTTGCTCCCAGGCAAAACCCAGCAATCCCTGTGCCTACCCAGGCACTAAGCATTTGTGGTGGGGCTTTCTGGAAGCTCGCCTTCTCCTGCTGGCTCTTCGTTTTCCCCACCCCGGTACTTCTGGCCATTCTCCCTGTCATCATCACAATGAGACAGCTGGGTGCTGGAGACTCAGAAACTGCCATGCAGACCTTGAGTCCTTCCCAGGCCCAGCCAACAGGGCAGAGAATCCAGGAGAAAAGTCATTTTCACCTCCTGAAGGACCAGAGCTGACCAGGCACCTAGAAGCTGTGCCCCACTGCAGGCTGCCGGTGGAGCTCATGACAAGGCCGGAACAAGGCCGGAACGTGAAGCACTCCCTTGTCTGTCCTTTTTTCCTGAAGGCTGGGGCTTGCCCGGCCAATGTCACCCTTCAGGACAGGGAATCAGAGCTTTGCATGGCTGCCTTACCCCACCAGGGCAACGCCACAGAGAATCATGGCTGAGGCTTTCCTGTGGGCTGCAGTGCCTGACCCTTTAGGGTCCCCACAAAAACACCTTTCCTGCAAATAATCCACCGTGTCCTGCTTGCCAGCCTAGGCTTCCTCATCAGTTGGTGATTTCAATGAAAACAAACTACAGTGGAATGAACAAGTTCTAAATCAGGAACACACAAAGAATCTGTGGAAAGTCCATTTGTCATCTAGATTTTTAAAAGATACACATTTTCCCTTCTTGTTATATTCAGTAGTGCATGAAGCCAATATTATAATAGATGTGCAACTCACACTAAAGCTGACTAAAGGGTGAATTCTTATTCTAAGGTACTTTGTGGTCTCAAATTTATCTGTTCCCACCCCCAGGACCCCATTAAAACTGAATAATTGTCATTGAGAGCAGATGTAGAAAGAAACTAGCTAGGCAGATAGAGCAAAGAGTTCTCAACAGAACGTCCCTTCTAACAGAAAGCAACCCAGGAATTCACTTCTCTTTAACAAAGAGCAGCCTGGAAAATTGGGCTGCAATCATACAAAAGGAAGCTGGAAGCTTGTGTGGGCAGGGATGCCTGCAGCTGCATGGGTAGAAATGACCACCTTGGGCCAGACATATCCAACATGGGGGGCCCCACCCCTCTTTGTAGCATATGCACAGTAGAAAAGAGATAAGCAACTTGGAGTAGCTCAGGCTGAGAATCTGCCTGCATAATAAAAGGTTGGGGTGTGAGCTGCCAGAGATTCATGCTCTAAGCAGATGACACACCTGGTCCTAACCACTTTTTCATGCCCTATGTGGATAACATACCCCCTCCCACTAGCTCATCTATAAAAACACTTGTATTTCACTGCAGAATGGCAACTCTTTTTTTCTGGATCCCTCTCTGCAGCAGAGAGCTGTTCTCTTTTTCTCACCCATTAAACTTTTGCTCTAACCTCACCTTTGGCATATCTGTGTCCTTGGTTTCCTCGGTCCTGACACCAAGAAGTTCAGGTGTAACCCCAGAAGACACGGCCAGTTTATCATGACTTGTCTCATTGCCTCTTGGGACATAGAAACGTCAATGAAAATGTGTCCAAAAGGACATTTCATAAAGTGCTCTCTCTTCCAATCTTCAAGCAATGTGGGACTATCCATCATGTATAAAAAACTTGTGGCTGAAATGCACAATTTCTAATACAAAAATGAATGCTATAAATTACTCTATGTATGTGTATTATGGCCATTCAGACATCGTCACACATTGCCACATTTAGATAGAAGAACCTGTGAACTTGTGGCTGTTAGGAAGCTTAACTTGTGCATACTGTCACCTATGAAAGTTAGTTTTCCCTGCGTTTCTTGAAACCAACCTTGAAATGTCCATCTTGTACACAATTTCTATTTATCCCCAGTGAGGTTCACCCATCTGGCCCCGCCCTTACAGCCCTGGTACCAATGGAATTGCACTTGCTTATGCTTCTTCAAATTTTCTTGAGGTCATAAACATTTAGTGACAGAGTGGAATGAGAAGGTACTGAAGCAAGGGCTGATGCCTTCTGGGTAGATGGGTAGAGATCTCCTGCAGCCTGGACATCTTCAAAATAAGTAGGTTATAGGTCAATTTAGAGAAAAAAATAATACTCTTTCTTTGAACACCACAAAGAGAAAAGCGCTGGATCTAGATGTGTCTGTGAAGCCAGGCTTGTCCTGGGAAAGTGAGAAGAGCTGAGCAGGAGCCCTGGCAATGGAGGGTGGGTGAGATGTGGTCCCCACGGAGAGACCGCTAGGGTCAGGGCTTGGTACAGTGAGGCTGGCAGGGACCTTCGGAAGGCAAGGGAAGATGGCCAAGGACACAAGGCTGAAGCAACCCATCTGAGCCAAAGATCTGTTTAGGTCCTTCTGAATCTCAGCAGCCTTGCCAAGGAAGGCATGATTACCCATGGGTATCAGAGACACTGGAGGCTGGCAGCTGGCGGGTGGGCCAGGAGGCCTGACTACTGCACAGGTGTGATTTCACTGGCAGGCCAACTGCAGGGAGTGGATAAAGAGAGAGCTCTGTGTGGGAATCTCTCTCGGTGGATCATCGAAGAGGTGAAGTCTTCTTCATAGCCTCAAACCCAATTTGTGGGATAGCAATTCCAGTGAAGCTGGGACAAGCTGGCACTGCTCAACCAGGCCTCCCAAGATACCAGGTTTCTTTCCACCACAGCTGGGCCTGGATTGGGATGTGAACATCTATCCCAGAGTCCAGAGGATGGGACCCTGGTCAGTGATGGTGCTGGTGTGTGGTGTGAAGCCAGGTAGGGCAGACTCTTCAGGTGGGAGGAGAAGACAGCCTCTCCTGTGGGCTCCTGGGCAAGTCAACACCCTCTTTGGGCCTGTCTCCTCAACTGGAAAATGCAGAAAGCCTGTTGTGCAGGCCTCACAGGGTCATGATAAGGGGCAAAGGATGAAGGAAACTTCAGAATTCTTGTGCCCACCTCTTCCTGAGAGGGATGATGGTGAGAACAATGGTGATAGCCACATGCAACTGAGTCCTCAGGAGGTACTGTGAGGAAGGTGTTGTTCTCATCACACTTCCTAGATGAAAAAACAGTTTCAGGAAGGCCTGGCTGCATGCCCAAGGTTACACACACAGTGAGTGTTAAAGCTGGGAGTAAATCTAGAATCAGGACTCACTGGAGCTGGTGGGAGCATTACACCGGCTGACTCAGGCAGTTATCCAAGATCTGAGGTCGCTGGGGCTGGAGTGTAACTGTGAGACAGGCACAGTCTCACTGACCCTGTTTCTGACTCTACTAGGTAGGAACCTTTTTAAAGAGTCCAGATGGGGCTGCAGCAGCAGGTGAATTGGCCTATGGTAGGGAGGGGCTCCAGAGAGTCAAGGACAGGGCTCCTCCCTCCCAGCTGGAGTTCTCCACATCAAGAGACCTGGGTGTCTTCCTCCTCCAGCCCTGCCCTCCTGTGGCCACAATGCTTGGAATGCCTTCATTAGAGAGACTAGAGAAAGGGCCTGGGAGAGCTAGGCTCAGAGTAGATTAGACGAAGAGTGAGGGTGGGGACGATCTGACTTTGTGATTTATTAAAATCACACCATAGAGGTAACTAAGAAGTGCTTAGCGTCTTTGGAGGTCAGCTGTGGAAAGAGGAGGGAAAGATTTTGGGCAAGGAGGTGAAAGGTCCTTGGATGCTCTGAGTGAGAGACTTGGGTACGGGGGTCAAGGAGAAATAGGTTGGTGAGAGTTCAAAGGAGAGGTCTTGTGCAGTTAGCTGAGAATTGGTGCTCATCACTGCTACCACCTTGATAACACAGGCTGCTGTGCCCCCACTCCCCTCCCCCCCACCCCCCACCCCGGGCACACTTCTCAACAACCTGCAGATGCTGGAAATTGCCATAGAGGATTATAGAGATGTGAGTGAGACTGGGGCAGGCAGGCAGGGTGGGGACCAGGATCCTGAAGCTTGCGAGGACAGAGTCCTGGACTGAATCCTGAGACTGCAGCACTCAGCAAACCCCTTTCCTGAGAGCCTACCAGATGCCCCTGTAAATGGCAGTGTCAGTTCCGTCTTATCTATGAGTGACGGAGCCTCCAGCAAAGACACCATTTCCTGTTCCTTGAGTAGTAAAGCTGCAGAGCTAAGTCTCAGCCTCTGCCTTAGCTGGTACCCATTGCAGAAGAGAGAAATTGGGCCCCTCCTAAGACAGGCAGGTCCTAAATTGTTGAGTAACTTCTTTGTTTCCAAGGCCTTTGTCTCCCTATCATCACAGAGAATCAGGGAGAAAGGTCACTGAGCCTCAGTGTCCCTTCTGTGGAGCCCAGAACCTGATGCAGGTCTAAGTCCTGTTTTATGCACATGCTCTGACCCTGGTGGCCCTGGTGGTGGTGCAGCATAGGAAGTATAAGGGATGAGGTCTAGTCCTGTGTCAGGAAGCCTTTCTCATGAATCTTGGCTGTCTACCTCCTAAGAACATATAATCAACACTAATAAAGGAAGAAGGTGAGCAGCTGGCGCTGTCGCTTTGAGGGAGGGTGGGGATGTGAAAGTCAGACACCACCCTGAGGAAGACACTCCTTGGCTCCATCCTCTGCATCTTAGATTTATTGGGAAGGTTTGATACACAGAGAAGCAGGAGCCCCATCCCAATGGAGGGTTTGATTAGGGGAATAGAATCAATGATAAACTCCTAGAGGAGGGACTGTTTATATCCAACTCTTGAGAACAGGTTGGGGCTACATGGGATTGGAGGGGAGGGTAGGACCCCTTAAAAGAAAGGCCCTAGAAATTGTCCCTACCCCTTCACACCCCCACAAGTTCCCTTTGTCATCTTCCACCCAGGACCTGTCAGAATCCTGCCCTTCCTTCTGTCTCCAGATCAAAGTCCTCCAGGAAATGCAGCTGCTTCAGTGACAAGAGATAATCGTCATCTTCTGACTGAGGAGGAATTTGGGGTTTGGTTCCAGTGCATGAAGCTGCACAGTCAGAATAAAAGATGAGGGCCTAGCAGATTAGCAAAGACTAGGAGAAGACTCTATCTTGTGGCCAGCTTCAGAGAACCTGGGGCCATAGCTCCCTGGTCAACATTAGGCCTGCTGCATGGGGACCCTGGGCAGGCAGTGGGAAGCCTGAGGTGTGGCTCCTGGTAGCCTCACAGCTGCCACTATTTTCTGAAGCTCCTCCTACTTGTTTTGTCAGACGGGCCCCTATTCCAGCAGGCCAGCAACACCCTCAAGACCAAGAACAGGCCATGGTGAATCTCAGGGCCATTGAGTGCCTGGGCTGGCAGGGGCAGAGTGCCTCAGGGCTCAGTGACATTTGGCCTGAGTGTTGGCTTTGGGAGTCAGACAGCTGCACTGGGCTCCCAGCTTCACCATGACCAGTAATGTGTCTGGGGCCGGGGCCTCACTGCTCTAAAACTTGAGACACCATAGTGATAAATTTTACACACCCTTCTAACTGCTTTTTCTTTTTTATCTGTCTTTCTCTATAATCACCATGTACTACTGATCTCTGTTTATTTAAATTAATAAGCATGTTATACAGTGTGTATTATTCTTCCTCGTGACTTCTTTACTACATTGTATGATTCCACTCATATGAGGTACTTACAGTAGTTCCATTCATAGAAACTCAAAGTAGAAGAGTAGTTCCTAGAGGCCAAAAGGAAGGTAACGGGAACAGAGTTTGAGTTTTGCAAAATGAACAAATTTCCCTATGAATGTGGATGATGGTTGTAGAACAATGTGAGTATGATTAATTCCTCTGTCCTGCACTTTTAAAAATTGTTAAAATGGTTAATTTTATGTATATTTTACCACAATGTAAAAAAGGACTTTTTTAAATGAACAAACTGTAGATATCTGTAACAGCATAAATATCACAAATATAATATTGCATTAAAAAATTGATGTAAAAGTATCCATACTGTGTAATTTTTTATATTACACTCAAAAATCAAAACTGAGGTTCTGGCTTCCACTAATGATGAAGTAGCTAACTGAACTAACACTCTCACACAGAAAAATGATGAATCCTGGGTAAATTATTATATATCATTATAGAAACATTTCTATATACAATACATACATGAAATATGTGTATATAAAAACTGAATGCATATTTTGGCTATGACTTCCATAGGAGAGATAAGTATTGAAGATAGAATCCAGCCCATTTAACACCATCTTTTAAAAACAACACTCTTCACAGGGACAAAACAGAATCCAGTCTTTTTAATCCAGTCTTGTATACAGTCTCCAGGGCACAATTTCCAATTCAAGGGATGCGTGAAGACACGTGAAAATGTAATAAATACACAAGATAAAAAGCAGGCAGTAGCCATCTCCAAGATGTCCAAGATGTAAACGGCAGACAAGAATTTGAAGGCAGCTATTATAAACACGCTCATGAGGGCAAAGGAAAATATTCTCATAAATGAATAGATGTGAAACATCAGCAGAGAAAAAATAGCCATATAAAAAATGAGAAATAAAAATAATAATTTTGAGCTTTTCTATAGTTCAGAAACAGAGACATAGCAATATAATTTATCCAATCTGAGGAGAGGAAAAAAAAAAGAAGTTTAAAGAAAATGAACAGAGCCTTACAGACCTGTGGGATGACTGAGTCTGAGAAAAGGTGAGAGATAGAAAAAATCAAATGGAGTATAAAAGTAAATCAACAAAATTTAAAGAAAATAAACACAGCCTTAGAGACCCATGGAATTATTGAGCCTGAGGAGAGGAGAGAGACAGAAGAATTAGATGGGTTGGAAAAATAAATCAATAACTAACAGCTGCAAACTTGCAAAAATTGTTCAAAAACCTATTTTTTTTTTTTTAATCTAAAGATCCACGAATCCCCCACAAAAGTACAAATAAAACCATACCAAGGCCATATTGCAATTTAGGAAAGCAGCAGGCAGGACTTTCAATTGACTTGATATGATTTATCATTTTTACTATTTGTAAGAATGGAAATAAGTTCTTAGAGTTTTGGTCTTGGAGAAAGTCTGACGTTAAGGACAAACGACAGTTATTAAAGGCAGATGACTTTCCAGACTTGTCTTAAATGTTCCATTCTTCACCTTAGAACTTATTTAAATTTGTTTCTTCCAAATACTGCAGTAATATTGATGCTCCAGAGAGATGTCCCACGGAGATTCTGCTCTTGTGCGTCTGCCCTGCACGGAGCTGAGGCAGTGTCTATCAGTTTCAGAAGCGAGTAGTCGTGCAGTACTTAACCTGAAAAACTTAATGGAAACATGAATTAAGAGAATGATCACTGTTTAGTTCTATCAGAAAACTATTAAAAGTGGTCCAAGGGGGTATTTAAAAAGAGATATTAAAGTATTTTCCAAGGGAGCCCTATTCAGGGTAGAAGCGCAGACACTATCCCTGACCTCACCACACAAACTACCCTCATGTGTTGGGAGGGACCAAGGGGCGCTCTGGTCCTGCTGACCTGCATTAATCACGGCCCGGAGGTCCACACTAAGACCCTGAGGCCTGGGAAGCAGCCTGGGTGGGGTCAGAGAAGCGGTGGATGAGGCTCCACAGCAGCTCCCAGGGTCCCATCCCCGTAGCTGTTTCCTTAGTGGATGCAGCAGGGTCAGGCCCTTCCGCTGTGACGTTTTCTCCTCTTTATTACACTGGTGGGAAAGTCTCCGTGAGAGGCCCGACCTAGATATGGACCACGCAGCGAGCCCGGGGGTCCAAGCGGCGCTCCTGGGGTGCAGAGGATTTGTGACAGCCTAGAGAACAGAGGAAATGGTTTTGAAAAGGCAAATGGCAGGTGACTAGGGACACGATGTTTTCACTTCTGGCAGTCAAGTGACAGTTTCAGACACTCATGAACGGGCTTCTCGAGGGGATCCCAAGGAGCCTCCAGGTCGGCCGCCATTACCCTACACCTAGGGACGGGCTGCACTGCGCATTTCCGAAAGGGCAGGCCCCTTAGCCCCACCCCTAGGAATGGGTGCACTGCGCATGTGTGAAAGGGCAGGACTTTTATCCCGCCGCTAGGGACGGGCTACACTACCCATGTCTGAACGGGTGTGACAAGAGGGAGGAGCGAGAAGGGACGGGGCGGAGCGGGAGATGGGCAAGAATAGGGGCGCGGTGCGGCCAACGTCCGGCGGAGGATCGTTACCACGGCAACGCTGCTGTGGAGGCCATGAAAGGCGAACGGCCCTTTGTTGGCTGACAGGAAATCGAGACACTCGTGAGGGGGCTTCTTGAGGCGATCCCAAGAGGCCTGAGAACTGCCACATCCGCGGCCCTTAACCCAGCCCTAGGGACGGGCCGCACTGCGCATGTCTGAAAGGGAGTGACAAGAGGAGGAGCGAAGGAGGGTGGGGCTGAGGAGGAGGCGGGGTGAGAAAAGGGGCGGGTCGCGCCCCACCCTTGTCTGAGGAGCGTTACCTTGACAACCCTGCCGCGGAGGCAGTGAGAGGCCACCGGCCCTTTGTTGATCTGCAAGGTATCAAACTTCGAACATGACAAGCATAAAAGCCTGCAGCTCGAGGAGACAGGGTGTCACAATTACCAGGTGAAACTAGCCGCCCTAGCTCCAATGTCTCTTCAGCAGGAGAGATTTGGAAACAGCAAGGCTCCTCTCCGCAGGGCGAAACTGCTGGGCTGCGAAAGGCGGGACAGGGAGCGGAACCGTCTTCAACCGTTCCGGGAGTTCTGGTGTCTGGTCCGCTCCCGGCTGTTGGTCGCAGGGCAGAGGGTCTAGGATGCCAGCTGGCTGCGGGCTGGGAGATGCAGGGTGAGGCGCGCATCGCGGTGCATACTGGGAGTTGTAGTCTCTCCACCGTTCCCCACGGTGGATGGTGGGGCTACAGGAGGACAATCCCAGATTGAGACAGGAGCGGAGGCGGGGCGCGGCCGTGCAGGGAGGGGGAGGGCGGTGTAGGCGGCTTCGTTTACCAAGCTTGCTGGCCATTGATTTCATGCCAAACCCTCGCCAAGGGGATTAAATCAGGAGAGGAACTTGAAGGGCAGGCCTGGTCTCGCCAGTGAGGAGGATGTGTTGTTGGGAAGTGCACCCCGCCTTTGCCTAAATCGAGAGTGTCTGGTCCTCACTCACGCGACTTCGACTTCCAGCTGCTCAGCTCGATTTTCTTTCCCACTCGCACCCGAGTTCTTTCCAGAGCGTCCCACCTCCTCCAGCCCATGGAGCCGTCTGCTTTCATAAGTGGCTGTGGAAACTGGTCTGAGGTCCCAGACGCTGTCACTGTGCTGCTGCCCTCCGCTCTCTCCAAGCAAAGCACAAGCTGAGCCGCCTTGGAAAGACAACCACGGCCTGGCCTGGGAATGCGCAAGTTCAGAGCTTTGCAGGGAGTGACCATGGGCTGTGGCTTCGTGAAAATGTCACGTTCACCAGTACCCTTTTTGCGGATGTGGCCGTGGAGCCATGAGGGGGGTAATCACTGGGTTACAAAGGTGCTGCTAAGAGCGGAGGAGAAAAACCCAATTCCCAGCCATGTGTCTGGTATGACATTTCACCAACCCATTTAAGTGTGCAGGCCTCCAAATATCTACCTAAAGATTATGATAGATTAGGCATTTTACACTAAAAATCTGTGGCTTCGTGTCCACTAAAGCCTGACTGACCAGTGCCTAAAAGAAACAGACGATAACCTGATCCCTCAGGAACAGATGGTGTTCTAGCTTTGTGGAAGTGAATTTCAAGGTATGGAGCACTTGAGGGGTCTTTGAAACCTGCCAGGTCTCACATCTCTGCTTTTGGTGAAAAGCTCATCAACTAACAGTAGTCAGGAATGTGCCTTTACTTCCTGGGGCTGGTCTGTTGAAATTTTGTGTGTGGACAATGGAAACATCCAGGAGCATTTCTGCTTTCCTATAGCCTCTTAATAATTGATGCCCTAAAGTCCTATATCCTTTGATTCCTGGATGGTACCAGATTTCATGCTGTTAAATCTAATCTGCAAAAACCTGAGCGTTAATCTCCATGAATAGAAGAACTTGTTGTTTCTTATTTAAATGCTCTTTTTTCTCTTGTCTTAGATTCTGAGCAGGATTTCCAATACGGTGTTGAAAGAAGTAGTGAGAGTGGGCATCTTTTTCTTATAATAAATCTTAAAAACAATTCCAAAATTTCACCATTGACAATAATGTTAACCATGGGATTGTCCTATAGCTTATAAAGAACATATCTCTTTATTTTGAGGTATATTCTTTCTATACCTAATTTGTTATAGATTTTATTTGGAATGGATTTTAAATTTTGTCAAAATAATTTTAGGCATGCATAAAAAAGTCATGATTTTTAATCTTTTTGTTGTGTAAATAAGGAGTATGGCATTTATTGATTTCCACATATTAAAATATTATTGCATCCCAGGAATAAATCCAACTTGATCATAATAAATGATCCTTTTAAAGTGCTTTTGAATTTCATTTGCAACTACGTTGCGGATGATTTTTCATCTATGTTCATCAGGGATATTGGCCTGTAATTGTTTTTCTTGTAATGTCCATCTCTGGTTTTTGTATCAGTGTAATGCTGGCTTCATAAAATGAGTTTGGAAGTATTCCTCCTCCTTCAATTTTTTCAAAGATTTGGTTCTTTTTAAATGTTTAGTAAAATTCAGCAACAAAGTCATCAGATCTAAACTCCTTACCCATTACTGATCTATTCATATTTTCTATTTCTTTATGCTTCAGTCTTGGTGGGTGGTACTTGTCTAGAAATGTATTCATGTCTTCTCCCTTATCCCATTTGGTGGGATATCATTGTACATAGGAGTCTGTGTACATAGCAGTCTTATGACCTTTTTTTATTTCTGTTTTACCAGTTGTAATGTATTCCCTTTAATTCTGATTTTATTTATTTAAGCATTTATTTCTTAGTCTAGCTAAAGATATGCCAACTTCATGTTTTCATAAAACAAGCTCTTACAATTTTTCTACATTTTCTATTGTTTTTCTAATCTTCAGTGTATTCATTTCTGCTCCGATTTTTTTTACTAATTTTATTATCTGGGAACGTTGGGATAAGTTCTTCCTCCTCTAGTTTCTTGAGTTGTGTCATTATTTGTTTATTTGTGATCTGTTTTCTCTTTGGTTGAAGGTGTTTACTGCCACTCCATTTCACTGGGATTAGCACCCATATGCATTGTGGTCTTTTTGTTTGAGTTCATCAAACTTCTGATCCTAAGTCTGCACCTTTAGCATACTGGTAAGCAGCAGTGCTAAAAGCCTACACGATGAGTAGGGGATTTAGGATGAGAGAATTACCCAGTAAGTTTTGGGAGGGACTAATATTAAGTTATCTTTCTCTTTTTTATTTCTCATCAGTGCCTGAACCATAAGGCACAAGGAATGAGCCCCTCATCGTGAGAGTGCATGTGACAGGAGCAAAGGAAGCGGCAGCTCAGGAAAGACAAGGTCACTGTTCTTGCTCCCATGACGGTAGCACTTGTTAGAGCAACTGAGTGACGTGCATAATTCTCTCCAAAGTAAAAGTCCTTTTTGTTTTTTGCAATTTTACAAAAAACCGTCCCTGGGCCTTTCCTGAGAGTGTGCAATAATAAGCAATGTTCATATGACTACCCGGGCATTTAGTAATGGTAAGCAGACCAGATGAAGTGACCACAGGGATATAGCCTGACTCTTGGTAATCAGGACTGAAGTACTCACTGATTAAGGTTCTGTGTTTTCACTGCCTTGAAAGGCAAGTGTCTTGCAAGCTGCATGCCAAACAAAGGCTAAATATGATGACACATCAGGCTGCAGCAGAGTCAACTGACCATATATGTCTAGGTGATGAGTGTGCTTTAATGTGGTCAGGGAAGGCAACTCATGATAAAGGCCACAAATGGCTATTTAGACCAAAGCAAAAGCCCACCAGAAACTGGTGGCTCTGACTGAGGTGACTTTTAATGTATCATGAAATCAGTAGGCCAAAAGCAGTTAAAGTTGAGCCGATGTCCTTAGTCATAGTTGGTTAATCCAGTTTGTATTGTGAATTGTTTGATTAGCCTCCCCTTTACCCCATTGGTGAGGGATAAATTACCACCCTTGTACTACTGGAACAGTTAAAACCATGGCACCAATCATTGGACAAATGAGATTGACAGCAGTTATTCGTTACATATAATCATGGAAGAAGGAAATTATATAAGGTATACAGACCCACACAGGGATTGCACTTGGGAGCAGAGAGAACAAACAGGGGGTGTTGGGGAAGGCTTTGTAGTATCAAGAGGGTGAGATGCACCTGGTTCCCACAGGAAGTTGTTATTGGTTGGTCTGGATAATTCTGTGACCTTGGGAGAAACTGAAACACATTATACTACCAATTGCTAAGACTACAATAACATACTATAATAGTGTAATGCTATAATGTACCATATACTGTAATACTAATGACAGTATGTTCTCCCTTTTTTGATAGATTCTCAGAAACTGTGACTTTAAGTAAAACAATGTACTATATAATAAAACCAATTTTACCATTGGCTAATTGATATAAACAAGAGTTAATTTTCCATGGCATATAGTATTTTGTTTCACTTAAAGTCAGTTTCCAGGGACCTATCAATGATGTTAAGTGAGCACTTACTGAACATGTATTTTAGTGATGTGTAATAGAAAGTAGCTATAAAAAATATACTATTCATGTACAAAACTACATGTGGCACACATTACAGTCATGAACCACATAACAATGTTTGAGAAATTGACAGACTATATATATGAGGGTGTTTTCTTGTGAGTATATATATATATATATAAACCTACCTTTAAAGGCCAAAGGAGCTGAGAGTTTGAAGAATGAGGCTGACAAATCAAGTTTCTCAGAAAGAAACATTTAAGAGGAACATTTATTAATAGAAGCTATGTCTCAGATAGCTGAAGATGGTGGAACCTCACACTGTGACCCCCTAAACCCAGACACTTATCACAGGAAAGGGAATGTGAAGGACAATTGAAATCACTATATAAATTTGCCTAAGGGTAGGATTTGTGCTAAGTACCTGTTCACAATAGCATCAGGGTTGTTTTGATTTAAGGGTAGGGCTTATAGAACTGTAGGTTTCAATATATGACATAGGTATTTGAAACCCTCACCAAAAAACATTAGAGGAAGTAACTCTGTCATCATTTTAAGTTTCTTTTTTTTTTTTTTAGTAATTTAAAATCTTAAAGTCTGGTTATGTTAAATTAAGTAATCTTAAGTTTCTCACTAAAAATTAGTATTGCTAAGCATTAAAAGAATAGTTTTAAGACAGTTTTTACCCCAGCACTAGTGATTGGATAATACGGCCCCAGGCCCCACCCCTTCAGGTTCTGAATGAGAGAAGATGTGAGCCAACTCGTAGCCAGATGACAACAGGGTAAAATGTTCCAAGCCGCAGCCTTTTTCAGGCAGGACTTCCTCCTTATGCTGAAGCCCGGCCTTCACTGTGGGATATTTGCATTTAACCTTGTATATAAGGTTATTTTTATTTATAAGTTGTATATATGTGGCCAGGCATAGTGGATCTCACCTTTAATACCAGCACTTTGGTAGGCTGAGGGGACAGAAGCTCTTGAATCCAGGCGTTTGGGACCAGCCTGGGCAACAGAATGTGAGGGCCCCACATCAAAACTTTTCTACAAAAAAATGAAAAAATTAGCCAGGCATGGTCACACGTGTCTGTGGTCCCAGCTACTTGGGAGGCAGAGGTGGGAGGGTCACTTAAGCCTGGGAGGTAGAGGCTGCAGTGAGCTGAGATCAGGCCACTGCACTGCAGCCTGGGTGACAGAACAAGATTCTCTCTTTCTTTCTCTGCCTTATTTGTGTGTGTGTGAAGGGGGAGGGGTGTGTGTGTGTATTATTCAAAATAGAAACAAAATAATAACAATTATTTTTATTTTTATTTACATTTTTTTGAGACAGAGTCTCACTCTGTCACCCAGGCTCGAGTACAGTGATGAGATATTGGCTCACTGCAACCTCCGCCTGCCAGGTTCAAGTGATTCTTCTGCCTCACCCTCCCAGGTAGCTGGGATACAGGCACCCACCATGTTGCCCAGCTAATTTTTGTAGTTTTAGTAGAGACATGGTTTCACCATGTTGACCAGGCTGGTTTCGAACCGAGGTCAAGTGATCCGCCTGCCTCGGCCTCCCAAAGTGCTAGCATAACAGGCATGAGCCACCATGCCCAACCAATTACAATTATTTTTAATTTTTAGATTTTACAATCTTTCTGGCCTCTTGGCTTTTGAGGCAAACTGAGCTTTGAAATTAGGCAATCCTCTATTGCACCAATGTGCAATAGAAGTAAAATGTGAGCCACATGTGACAATTAGAATTTGCTAGTAGCAGCATAAAGAAAAAGAAAAATGAGTGAAATTGATGTTAACAACATAGCTCAATATATCTGAAATATTTTAACATATAATCAGAATGAA
Organism: Homo sapiens; assembly: GCF_000001405.40. Taxonomy (NCBI): domain Eukaryota; kingdom Metazoa; phylum Chordata; class Mammalia; order Primates; family Hominidae; genus Homo; species Homo sapiens. The sequence continues at coordinate 32,681,742 of NC_000016.10, forward strand.
ATAATTAAAGAAACATATATATGTGTACATATATACGTACACACACATAGACATATGTTTCTTTAACCCAGCATTATATATTTTTATGCACATATGTATATGTAACTAAATATTTAAATATTTTCTTGTATTTCTCCCCAGCATATCTTAGTTCATGCTGGGCACAATACAGTTGTTCAGTAGCCCCTGTGCCCAGTGGCTGCCACATTGCAAGTGCATCTCTGAGGGCTCTGACTTTTCTGACCTTAGGGAGGTTAAAGGGCCTGAATCCTCCTTTTCTGCCAGATAGGAGTGAATGCCCCTTCTCTGCCAATATCACTCCTGTTTAAAGGATAAGAGAGGTGGTGCCCTGAGAGACAGTAGGGCCTACAAGAAACAAGTGTTCACAGGTAGAACACTGCTGTCCACTTTTGCTTGGTGTGGACTCATCAATCCTCCAGAGATCATACAGCAGTCCAAAAAGTGGGGCCCCAGAAGAGGGAAACCTCATGTTTTTAGATCTGTCCATAGGCTTGATCTGATGTGGAGAGACTAGATTAAAGGCAAACTTTTTATCTTGCAACTTGGCCTTGGCAAATTAAATAGAAATATGTCACTATAAAAATCAATTAAATAAAAAGGAAGGCAGTAAGAGCAGAAAAGAGGAGAAAATACCTACAAGAAACAAATAGAACTATTAACAAAATGGAAGTAGTCCATTCTTTTCACAATTAAAATGAATATATACATAGAGTAAAATTTCCAACAGAAATGTGTAAATTGGCTAAAGAGATTGAAAGAAAAAACGATTTGTTTTCTGCTGTCTATAAGAAACTCACTTTAGATCTAAGCACACAGATAGGCTAAAAGTGCAAGTATGAAAAATATCTTCTAGGAAGATTGCAATCAAATGAGAGCAAGAGGGGTCATAATTATGCAAAATACACATTAAGTCAAAACTGAATTAAAGGACAAATAAAGATAGTATATAATGATACAAGTGTTGATTCACTGGGGAAGCTGTGTTAATAATAAATATATGTACACTTCACATCGGGGTTTCCAAATGTATAAAGCTAAGATCGACCCAGATGAAGAAAGAAATAGCTATGCAAAAATAGTAAGAGACATAATTATCCGACTATCAGTAGCAAACTCTGTAAACCGAACAGACATATAGAAAACACTCATCACAGTGAATAGATTCAGGAAGCTGAAGGCCCATGGGACATGACCAACTCAGCATTCCACTGGAGGCTATATGATCAAACAGCAAACTGTTTATCATGAATGCAGGATGTGGGCAAACTCACACTGCCCTGCCACCAAAAGGTTTGCTGAGGGCCTCATTCCCTGGCACCAGGCTCCTTGAAGTTATCTACTGAGAAATCCAGTGCCTATTGTTCTAAGAATGCAGTCTCTCGAGTCAGCTGTGAATCAAGCTGCTGGTGGAAAACCACCCCCGCCTTCTCACTATCTCTTTTACCTAATAAATATGGAGGGCTGTGTAAAGCTCAGGTACCTTGTCCACTAGAGGCAAGGTGCCCCTGACCCCTTTTTCCAAATATACCCCTTTGTCTCTTGTCTTTTATTCCTGCATTCACCCTGCTTTGTTCAGTCCAATAGGTCTGTGTAGGCTACAAATAGAAGTGAAAAAAAAAGGAAAAAAAAACACTTCACACAACAATATCAGAATACACACTTTTTCCAATAGGTCATGAAACATTCTCCTGAGTAGATAACCTACTAGGACACAAAACAAGTTTTACCAAATTTTAAAATGTTAAAATATGGGCTAGGCATTGTGGCTCATTCTTATAATTCCAGCATTTTGGGAGGCTGAGGTGGGAGGATTAGTGAGTTTAGGAGTTCGGCGCCAGCCTGGGCAACATAAAGAGACCCTCTCTTTAGAAAATATAAAATTTAAAAATTAGCTGGGCATAATGGCACATGCCTGTGCGTCCAGCTACTCAGGAGGCTGACGGGGGAGGATTGCTTGAGCCTGGGAGATCGAGGCTCTGGTTAGCCATGATTGAGCCGCTGTGCTCCAGCCTGAGCAACAGAGCAAAACTCTGTTTCAAAAAAAAGATTAAAATATTACAATCATTTTTTATTACAAGGGAATAAAATTAGAAATCAATAGCAGAAGAAATATGGAAAATCTACAAATATGTGGAAATTAAACAACGCACTCTTCTGCATGCTCTCGTTCAAGGGTTGGAAGACAATATTGTGAAGATGTCCACACTACCCAAAATGATCTACAGATTCAATGAGATCTCTATCAAATTTTAACTGTCATTTCACTTGGCAGAAATACAAAAAACATTTCTAAAACTTATATGGAATCTAAAGTGACTCTCAGGAGCCAAACAACCTTCAAAAAAAGAAATAATATTGGAGGCATCACACTCCTTGACTTTATAATGTATTACAAAATTACAGTAACCAAACTATTTAGTACTGACATAAAGGCAGACACACAGACAAATGGAACAGAATAGAGCACAGAAATAAACTGTCATATATATGGCCAAATGAAGAGTTATTTGTATATCCATATTCATTGCACAACATTATTCACAACAGCTGATAGGTGGAAGCAACCCAAATGTCCCTCAATGAATCAGTGAATAAAGACAAATTGGAATATACAAATAATGGAATATTATCCAGTTTTTTAAAAGCAGGAGATCTGATTATTTTTACACTAAGGATAAATCTGGAGGACATTATGTAAATAAAATAAATGAGTCATAAAAGGACACTGTGTGATTCCAGTTAAATATCTAAAATAGTTAAACTCTTAGAAACAGAAAGTAGAATAGTATCAGTCAGAGCCTCAGGGGAGGAGATAAAAGGGTAGTTGTTGTTTCATGGCTATTGAATTTTAGTTTTGCAACATAAAAACATTCTAGAGATATGTTGCATAACAATGTGAATATATTTAATATTATTTAACTATGTACTTAAAATATTTAAGATGGTAAATTTTATGTGGTTTTGACTACATTAATAGTGAAAAACTTTCTAAAGAGATACATATTTATCAATCTTTTCAAAAATTACCTTCAAATCCTAAAAATATCAGAAAAACAATGAAGAGGCCAGGTGCAGTGGCTCATCCATGTAATTGAAACACATCAGGAGGCTGAGGAGGGAGAATAGCTTAAGCCCAAAAGTTGGAGACCAGCATGGGCAGCGTAAAAAGACCTCAGCTGCAAATCACAAGCAGAAGGAAACTGGCAAATGAAAAAATATGTGAAACTTAAAACAGAACACTCTTGACTTCTTGTTCAAGGGTCAGAAAATTTAATATTATTAAGATGTCAATACTACTCACAGTGAAGCACAAATTCAAAGTATTTTCTATCAAAATCCCAATGTTACATTTTTTTTCAGAAATATTAAGTCTTAAAATTCATATGGAATCTCAAGGGACAATGAGTAGCCAAAGTAGCTGTGGAGAAGAACAAAGTTAGAGGTATCACACTTCCTGATTCCAAAATATATTATAAAGCTATAGCAATACAAACAGAAAGACAAATAGATGATGGAACAGAATAGAGAACCCAGAAATAAACCTTTATGAATATCATCAAATAATCTTCAATCAGGCTGCCATGACCGAACAACAGGGAAGAACAGAATAGTGTTCTAAAATTGAGTATCAAAATGGAAGAAAATAAAATTGGACTTTTCACTTGCACCATATAGAAAACTATCTTAAACACTTAAATGTAAGTAAGATCGCTATAAAAGTCTTAAAATATAAGGTAAAAATCATGACATTTGTCTTGATAATTTTTTTAACATGACATTAAAAGCAGAAGTAACAAGAAAAAAGCAGGAAAATGGGACTACCTCAAATGTAGTAAGCTTTCTGATAAAGAGAAAACAGCTGGGCCTGGGGGACCACTACCACCAAGACGCAGAGACCAGTAGTGGCCCCGAATGGCTGGGCACGCTGATATTTATTGCATACAAGACAAGGGGGCAGGGTAAGGAGGGTGAGTCGTCCAGGTGATTGATAAAGTCAAGCAAGTCATGTGATCATGGGACAGGAGGCCCTTCCCTTTTAGGCAGCCAAAGCAGAGAGGGAAGGCAGCATACATCAGTGTTTTCTTCTATGCATTTATAAGAAAGATCAAAGACTTTAAGACTTTCACTATTCCTTCTACCGCTATCTACTAAGAACTTCAAAGAGGAACCAGGAGAATGGGAGGAACATGAAAGTGGACAAGGAGCGTGACCACTGAAGCACAGCACCACAAGGAGGGGTTTATGCCTCCGGATGACTACGGGCAGGCCTGGATAATATCCAGCCTCCCACAAGAAGCTGGTGGAGCAGAGTGTTCCCTGACTTCTCCAAGGAAAGGAGACTCCCTTTCATGGTCTGCTAAGTAACAGGTGCCTTCCCAGGCACTGGCATTACCGCTCGACCAAGGAGCCCTCAAGCGGCCCTTATGTGAGTGTGACAGAGGGCTCACCTCTTGCCTTCTAGGTCACTTCTCACAATGTCCCTTCAGCACCTGACCCTATACCCACCAGTTATTCCTTGGTTATATGAGTAATACAACAAAGAGTAATATTAAAAGCTAGTGATTAATAATGTTTATACTAATGATGGATAATGTCCATGATCATCTCTATATCTAATTTGTGTTATAACTATTCTTTATTCTAACTGTTTTCTTTATTATACTGCAACAGTTTTTACCTTCAGTCTCTTGCCTCGGCACCTAGGTAATCCTTCACACCCACATGTTTCTACAAAGGAGATATACAAACGGCCAAGAGGAATTTTAAAAGATGCTGCAAATCATGAATCTTTAGAGAAATGAAAAGCAAAACCCCAGTGAGATATTACCTCACATTCATTAGGATGGCCACTATCAAATAAGAGAAAATAACAAGTGTTTTCAAGGATGTAGAGAAATTGGTATATTTGTGCACTGGGTGGTGGAAAAAATAATCATGCAGCCATTATGAAAAATAGTACAGAGTTTCCTCAGATTATTAAAATTGGAATTATGATGTGGTCTGGCAATACCATTTCTAGATATCTATCTAAATGTGCAAAGCGGGACCTGAAAGAAACATTTACATACCCACGTTTATGACAGAATTATTCTAAAAATCCAAAAGGTAGAAGCTACTTGAATGTCCCTTGACAGATAAATAAGTAAATATGATATATACATACAATGAAATATGATTTTAAAAGGAAATCTTATCACATGCTGCAATGACAATAAACCTTTAGGGCATGATGTTAAGTGAAATGTGCCAGGAAACAAAGTGACAGTGATTGTGTGATTCCACTTATGAGATATCTTAAGTAGTCCAACTCACAGAAATGGAAAGTAAAATGTTAAGGGCTCAGGAGAGGGTAAAATGGGCAGTTGACGTATATGGGTATTGAGTTTTAGTTTTGCAATGGAAAAGCTCTAGAAGCCTGTTGCATAACAATGTGGATATATGTACCACTAATAAATTATGCAATTACAAATGTATAGACTGGTAAATTTTGTTGTGTTTTATTACAGTTAAAATATTGTAAAGTGATACATAAAAGAGATACCGAGTTACAAACTTTTTGGAAAATTACCTTCAAATTATAAATGTGTTTTCCTCACACAAAGAAAATATAGATTTGTTCAATAAATACGTGGGTAAGTTAAGACTACTTATATGACTACTGTCCTGAACAAGATAAAACAACTTTTGACACCAGCCAAGAAGAGAAATATGCAAGATAATTAAGAAGAAATAGACTATATTTATAGAGGCAAACAAACACACGATTTTATTGGTGGTAGATATGGCTGATTCATATTTTGATTAAACATCACATTGACTTAACATGTATATAGAGTTGCAGATTTACATCCAAAATCATAATACGTAGGTAAAACCAAACTCACAAAACACGAATGTCAAGGAACTTACCAAAAAAAAAAAAAAAATAGTAATATGAAATTTCAAAAAAGAATGAGAGAAACAACGAAAAAACTCCTATATAAAACATAGATTTACAACTAAGAAAGAATCCTCCTAGATAACTACAATCTTCAGCTGTGACTGTGCATCCGTGGTGAGCAGGGATTTTGAATCAAGACTGCGTTAGGAAGAGGCTCAAGGGGGCAGACAGTGCCACCTCCAGAGAAGCCACTGCTCCTACTCCTGCCTCTCCTGCTACTGCCGCCACGGTCCTCTGCTCCTGCAGCCCCCACTGGGCGCCGGATTCCTTCTTGGAGTGCGGAGGTCCTGTTCCTTCAGGAACGACAGACAGCTTTTCTCCCCGTCTCCTCGTTTGCTCAGCCGGCAGGTGCAGGACTGGAGATCTGAGGTGGTCCTGCGTCTCGAGGAGCCGGGCGCCCGACTGTGAGAAGGAGGAGGCAAGCTATGGGAGAGGGGGCGACAGGAATGCCAGGCTCATGAGGCCGGCGGCCGCGGCCCAGGCAGGGCTGGCTGCTGCCTGGGCCGGATGGTAAGAGATACTGTGGAAAGAAAATAAAATAAAATAAGTAATAATAAAGTTTAAAATAATAAACCTAACATAGGTAATAGTTAACATTCAGCATAGGTTACTTAGAAGTTATACATAGGCTAAGAAATTTCAGCAGTCCATTCCAGCATTGCTAACAAGTTGCAGCTGCGAGCTTATCTCAATCTTCCAAGCTTATTGCCTGCCTCCAGACCCCCGCATATTCCTGTAATTCGTGTTTTCCCTTACCCCAGCTCTGTTCAGCTTCAAAGTTGACTGGACAAAATAACTAAATTGTAAGTTCTCTCCGAATTGTCACGGGTTGGATAATTTACTGTCTTTGTCTGAAACCTGTAACCTGCCTTGTTTTCCCGCCTCAAACGGCACTTAAGCCAGCCTGCTTTCTTTGCAGGGGTCGGCAGCCATTTTGGGCATGAGCCTGCTGTTGGCTCAGGTGCCTGAATTAAATAAAGTTCTCTTTGGTCTCCAAAGGTCTCTTCGTGTTCCTTGGCTGGAGTTTTACTACAACAGTATCAGATGTCGCCACCATCCCCATCCTTGGCTCCCTAGCCGTCATTCATACATCCTGTGTTCAACAAACAGAAGTGGCAGCGGGAGCTGCTGCTCCGCGAGGGGGAGTGGCCTGGCAGGGGGCACACAGCTGCTACCTGCTGCGAGGCGAGTTGGTCTGCAGCCTGGGCCTTTGTGCAGGACACATCGCCGCCCTTGTCCCGCTTGCTCCCCCGCCTGCCACGCAACATGCTCAGGTGCCAGATCTCGGGCATTCCTGGCAAGCGTACTGTGGCGGGGAGGCAGCAGGGAGGAGGGGTTTGCCAGGAGCCCTGAACAGAGGTTCTTGGCATGGAGAAGAGACAGAGGTGGCTGACTGGTTCCAGTTTTAGGTGGGTGGGGGGAGGGGGTGGCAAACCCCATGGGACTTTGTTTTTTTCAAGGAGACTTCAGTTCACTTCTTATCTGTTCTCCACCCGCTTAAGCCTCTGAGAACAGAGGAGATGGGGCTCTTTTAAATTGGCCTGGCCGTAACGGTCTGGACCCTTGCCGCAGGGCAGATCTCATTTGGGGGCTCTTTGAAGCCTGGAGGCTCACGCCTGTCCATCCCAGGTGTCTTCAATATAGGGTCAAGTTAGGCCTGGCTGGCAATGATGCTGGAATGCAGGACGATCTGGCCAGATCTTCGCCTGTTACAGGATATTTTAGCCTTCAGCACCCTGCACCATTTCCCTCACGTGCAGAAGCCCCCGTGAGCCTCAGTGTTGCTAGGGCCCAGACCCTGGATGCCTCTCTATTAGAGTCCCACTTTACCCCACCTAAATGCACCAGGCCCTTACTCTGCCTTTCCCCTTTTCCCAGAACATGCCCCATTCAACTCCAACAGGACATGTCTGGACCACGTGCACCCCTCTTCAGTGTTAAAACAGAGAAAATAATGTATTTTTCACTGAACATGTAACTGATTTAACATATAAGGAGATCAGCTTTATGTGTAGATATGCATGTAAATATACACAAAATTTCTAACGTTGTGGGAAAATTAACATCTTTACACTTTGTTCAGTGATTTTATAGTTTTCTCTCTCTTACTCACTTGCTTCTTTTTTTTTTTTTTTTTTGAGACAGAGTCTTGCTCTGTTGCCCAAGCTGGAGTACAGTGGCAAAATATCAACACACTGCAGCCTCTGCCTCCTGGGTTCAGAAGATTCTCAGGCTTCAGCCACCCGAATATCTGGAATTACCAGCATGAGTAACCATGCCCAGCTGTTTTTTGTGTTTTTAGTGGAGACGGGGTTTTGACATGTTGCCCAGGCTGGTCTCGAACTCCTGGCCTCAACTGATTTGCCCACCTTGGTCTCACAAAATGCTGGGATTACTGGCGTGAGCCTCTATGCCTGGCCTACTTGTCACTATCTCTATGTTTATTTGTTCAATAGGAAAATTCTCAGTGAAGACTCCTCAGCATGATGAAGATAAGCTTGCACAATCAGTCATTGATAGATGCTTAGTGGAAAAACTTCCAATTCCCATTTGCAGCTCTCAGAGCTAGGATTAAAAACTCCTGGTCATAACCTCATGTGATGAGAAGTTATAGCATGCCCTCATTTTCTACATATCCACCTGCATTTACAATTAGCTTTCAAACTTGCTAGAAGGGAAAGAAGTGGGAATGTGTCCCCCTTAGAGCTACTTTCCTCCCCTTGCTGGGTTTCCAGTTTGTGCATTGTCCAGATGGCCCAGGAGCTTATGATCAAAGTGAAGAGGTCCTGTTTGTCATGAGAATGCTGCTTTGCTGCATCAGGATTCAGTGAAACTGTTCACCGCCTGGAGCCCATGTGGACTCCAGAGGCAGGATGAAGCTCAGAAACCGTCACTGAGGTTAGGAAGTGAGCACCAAAGTTGAGGGCTGCCCACAGGAGAGGGCCAAAATGCTCCCTTTGGATTTCCAAGTGGTTGCTTCTTGCATCAGTCTTGCTTCTGACCACACTGTGTTCCTGGTCCCGTCTTCCTGGCATTTTGCTGTTTGTGTCCAAGGGAAAGAGTCCTGGATGGCAGTGCTGAGAAGGATGCCTGCCTGCTAAAGCTGATCCCCTGGTGAGCTCTGCAGCCTGTTAAGCAGAGCCTGAAATTCTTTCTCACTGAGTGGTGATTCAGACCACGGAGGGCCCTCCTCTTGTGGATCTGCATTCCGAAAAGATTGTGCCTTTTCCTGAAACTCTGGGACTTGTAGAAGATCATGCAGATGACTGGTGTGGTTGCTCCAGCAGATAGATGGCTCTTTCATGGCTTGTGCCTGTTTCTGCCACAGGTAGACCTATGTGCATGGGCTACTAAGGTGCTCCTGCTCCAGGTTGCCATTGAATCATGGCATCCTGGGACCCGTTGCCTAAGCTCCACCACTTGTGAAGGTGGGATGTGTCCTGTTGACCCAGACTCTAAAATTGTGGCTAAGGATGACCAGACTGTGGCTGTCCCTTTAAGGCAGAACTTCCAGGCCAGTGTCTTATTTTTCTTGTCATCCTAAAGTTTTCCTTTCGACTGAGGCCAGAAACAAGTCTGTGTATGGGAGAGCCTCCCTCCTAGAGTTGGTACCATTGACATATGACTCCTAAGTGCCAGAAGAGGTTGAGAGAACTCTCCCATCTGCACAGCCAGGGTGCTATGTGCATCGTGACCCTTGGTGCCTGGCTCACACAGCCTGCAGAGGGATCCAAAAAATCACAGGTTGTGGGAGGTGAAGGAAGAGCTGGTACAAATGACAGGTGGCTGCTGACAGAATAGGAGGCAGGAAGAAGATGAGACCTGCCTGGGGTAGTGCACATGTTTTGTTCCAGCCAAACAGTCAGATGAGGTCTTGGTCTTGGACCCGCTGCCAGGGAATTCACAAGCCCGCTTCTGCTGTGGCCTGGGAGCTGAGGTCTTTGGTTCTGAAACCAAATGTAAATTTTGGACTCTGAAATGCCTGTCTGTTTAGCCAGTTTCTCTATAATGGTGATTCCAGGAAAGGAATTCTCTTGGAAAATGTTGAGGGTCCTTCTCAAAGGCTTTAATGAGTACACTGGTGTGTGATTGAGTGATGGATGTCCTTTCCTCCTGCCTTCTTATTTGACTTGCACAATAAATATTAACTATGGCAGTTACGGTCATATCTTTCATTACAACATAAGAAACTTCAAGTCATTCATTGATGACACCAAAGCCTCATTCTCCTACATTAAACATTCTCCTACATTAAACTTCTTGAATCTTCTGTGCCAACTGTCTAGAAAACCTAAACACATGAAATACTACAAATTAGAAATAAATACCTCAATAGGCACCAATTATAAAAGCAAATCCAAGAAGGAACAGAATATATGAATACACATATAACAAGTAAAGAGATTCAATTAATTAAAAATCTTCACAAAAAGAGAAGCCCAGAGCCACATGGCTTAACTGGTAAATTCTACTAAACATTTAATGAAGAATTAATGCCAACTCTTTACAAGACCTTCCAGAAAATATGGGACAGTTATTGGGAACACTTCCCAATTTGTTCTGTGAGGCCAGTATTACCCTGATACTAAAGGCAGACAAAAGCATCAGAAGTAAATATGTGTATGGATGAATTTCCCTGATGAATACACACAGAGAAATTCTCAAAAAAGCAAAATGAATCAAGAATATATCAAAATGAATGTACACCATGACCAAATGGAATTATTTTACAGATGCAATATTGATCTATCCGATAATCAATCAGTGCCTTACACAAAGTAATAGGATAAAGGAAATTAACAGAAAGAGCCTTTCAACAGACACAGGGAGCATTTGACCAATCCAATATTCATTCACAATCTCCCTGGAAAGGAAGGGTACAAGCAAACTTCCTAAATCTGCTAAAGAGCATCAGTGAAAAACTTACACCTAACGCCATAATAGTAAAATACTGGTTGTTGTGTCTTGACATTTTAGAACAAGGCAAAAATGTTAACATCCAAAGAAATTACATGAGAGAAAAAAACAAAATCATCAATGTGGGAAAATAAGATGTTAGAATTGTCTATCATTGCAGAGGACATAAGTGAATATAAAAGTTTATAAAAAACTCATTAAAACCCACTAAAACCAATACATGAGTTCAGCAAGGTCACAAGATACAAAATCAATATGCAAAGTTCAATTGTACTTTTATGTACTAACAATGATCAACCTGAAAATAAAATTAAAAAAACAATCCATTTGTGTATGTATGAAAAAGAAAGAAATATTTAGGAGTAGATTTAATGAAGTGCAATTTTACCGTAAAAAGAAATCTTTGTTAAAAAATTTTAAAACACTGAAAAAAATAGGCATCAATGTTTATTTAGTTAATGTTATTCCATTATCCAGTGTATCCATTTAAACTCCACACAATAAAACAAAATATATTTTAGCATTATTTTAGTGTAATAAATACAGGTTTGTAGAAAACCCATGAAAGGAACTAATTCTACATGTCCAGAATAGCCCATCCTAATTTTTCTATTTTACATCTACTGTAAATCAAACCGATTTTGTTCCATATTTTATAGCGGAACGTAAGATAAAATCCAAATTGTTAAATATGTGAGATTGATTATAAGCCCACCAAGGAGGTTTTTACTCAGTGTGGGAATTCAGAGAGCATGAAGTTGCAAAGACAGAAGCAAATGTTTTTGAATGAATTATGAGGGACAATACTCACAGGAGTGCTTCACACTTTTATCAACTGACTCATGTCATCTCACTTTAGGAGAAACTGCCTCTAATTTTAGACATTGGTTCGTAGCAAATGCTAAATGAACCAGCACCAAGTTTATATCCAGGAGAACTGCTTACTCTAGAGGATTTTGTCTCTTGGATAATGACATGATTCTGTCTTTCATAGGCTACTCCAAAACTTCTATAATGATGGTAGAGTTTAGTGAAGTGGAGCATCGGCATGCCATCCCCATGCTCCTGACAAGCAGCAGCAGCTAACCTAAGCACAGTCACATAGGGCATGCCATTGACACCCACCTTGCTGTTGTTCACCTCCACATACTAAGTTGCCATACACTTTGCAGTGGAATTTCACCTTACTGCATCTGGTTGGTCAGCAGTCCTGCAGGTAGAAAGAGTTGGTCAGGAGGGCACATTGAGAGAATAGATGGGAGCTCAGAGGCTGCCTAGCTCCCTGCACCCTGCCCACAGGCCACAGTCCTCACCCAGCTGTCCAGCATGCATGTCTGCTGAAGGCTGCTGCACTTGTTCTTCATCACAGAGGTGGGATGAAAGCAGTCTGAGGGCACCACACTCCATGATCAGGGTCTACTTCTGGTGCCATAGCTCCAGGTGGAAGGACAGGTAAGCAAAAGACAGGTCCCACCTTCCACATCCAGCCCACACTCCCACCAACTTCCAGGCCCACCTCAATATCCTGATGTGATGCTCTCCTTAGACCTCTTGTGGTTCTTCAGCCAGGAGATGGAGAGAGTGGGGTTGCTAGGAGCCAGGCAGTGAAAGTTGGTTGTGGTGGCCAGCATGGCTGGCAGTTTCCTGTCCATCCACTGGGGCAAAGTCCAGGAAGGGGTCTCTGCTGGTGGAAGCACACATGAAGGCCATAGCTGAGGCGAGGAACAGAGACCCATCTGACCAGACCCCCGATTCAAGATCACCCTGCCCACTCCGAGTCTCATGTTTTTCTCCTGTGTAGGGAGAGTGTTGACATGTCAAGGACATCTACTTGGGCTGAATGAGGCTCCCAGGAGCTTCAACACAATGTCCCCACCCAGTCATGCTCAGAGCTGGCAATGTGTGCCTTTCTATTCCCTCTGCTTCCCCCAAGTGGCTGCTCCTGCTGAGAGGCTGGGGTTCTTCATCCTGGCCTGAAAGCCTCAAAGAATAATGGAGTCTCGAGGGGATACCCCACCTGCACAGGGAGGCACATGGGGAGGGCCCACCAGGAAGGAGGCCCAGCAGGTAGCCCAGCTAAGTGAGTGAGTCAGGACAGGCATTGGGAGCAGTTTACCAGGAGAAGAAACCCAGCCCCTTGCAGAGCTGGGAGCCTCAGAAGCAGCTGAGAAGCCTTGGTCCACAAGCCTCTGAGCCCATAAGCCACCCCCTGCAGAGCTTCAGGGCCCGGTGGGCACTGGTGAGGATGGCGGCCTGGAGGCTTCGTCTCTTTTTTATCCTGACTTCCAGGGCTGTCACCATTCCCCCTCTCACACCTCAGCTAGTTTTTCTAATTTCTGGGTGCTGGGGTGGGGCTGCCTTCCTGCCTGGACTTGTGGGTAGGCTCAACTGCCTTACCCCCAGGAGAGAAGCACCAGGGGCCCAGGAAAGAGAAAGGAGGCAGCCGCTTCCCCACAGTGACCTCCTTGCCATTCACATGCAGCGACAGGCCCACCTTTCGGTGGAGGATGCTGAAGCACAGCCGGGAGCTGTGTAGAGAGACGCTGGGAAGAGGCACCAATCACAACTCTGAGCTGTCCTCTGGGATTCCAGGGGTGGGAGATGGGGACCCACTGGTGATTAAGACAGCTCAGCAAACTGTGGCACAGGATGTTCCCAGGACTGGGAGACAACAGTGACTCAATGCTGCTCACTTCTAGACTGTGCCTTCTTAAAGTGGCTCTTCAGTTACCCCCAGAGCTTGAGCCCACACCATCCTGGGATGGCTGGGTAGGCAGAGGTGAGTAGGGACTCAGGGGGAGTGCACAAGGGTGTGTGGGCAGGGGCAGAGGCTGCTGAGGCAGGTGAGGGGAAATTTTCATCCTTTCCTGTCTGCTCCTCCCGGGGTCTACTTTCCTCTCTTCCCTCTGCCTCTGGCTCCCTGGCTGGCTCCTCCTCACTTTCTTTCCTGCTCACTCCAGAGGTCTCAGGGGCTCAGCCCACCACCAGTGGTCCCCAAGTTGCAGCTGCCTCTCCCATGCCTATCCCATGAGGACCCTCATCTGCCTGAGCACATCTCTGGGCTCCTCTGAAACCAGAAGCCCCATCTTCCTGACAGACCCCTCCACAACTGGGCAGAGTTCACCTGCCACTGTTCCAGGCCAGAATGACTGGGAATTGTTCCGCTGCTGCTGTTTCACACCCACAGCCAATCCCCCACAAATGCTGTTGGCATCACTTTTACAACCCTCATGGCCACCCTGCCCTCCTGCTGGGCTGTAGCTTTTGTCCCCTCCATCCATCTGCCCCTTGGCAGCCACCTGAGCCCCCAAGCACTGCTGTGCTCACACCTACAGTAGCCACCTCACCCAGAGCCAACATCAAAGTCCCCACAGGCCAATCCTGGCCTCCTCACTGCTCCTGGAACCCCAGGACCCTGTGCCCCAGTCTCCCCATCTGCAGCATGTGTGTCTCCTCTGACCCCCAGCCTGCCCCACAGAGCCCAAGACATCCAGAGCCATCTAATAGATATGTAATACATATCATTTACATAATAATTCATGATACATCATATTATATACAAAGTACGATGTCATAATGTACTGTGATGCCATAATACATATGAAGTATAATGTCATAATATATTGTGATGTCATAACACATACTGATGATGATGTCACAATATACTGTGACGTGATAATGCCTATGAATTTTGATGTCATAATACATGTGCATTATGATGTCATGATATATTGTGATGTTGTAGTATAAATTATGATGCCATAATATATTATGATGTCATGTTGTGTGTGCATTATGATGTCATAATATATTGTGATGTCATAATACATATGAATTATGATATCATAATATGTTGTAATGTCATAATATATTTATTTATCACATTAATGGTATAATAACATAAACTTTGTCAGGTAATTTTACAAGAAAATTCAGTGAAATTTTGTAACAATATTAACATCTAAAGTAGCTTATAATCATGATGAAAAATGAAAGAGCTGCAGGAATCTCACATGGTAGGAGTTGAAACAGGAAAGATCAGGGAGGGGTATGCTTCACTTTTAAACCACCACATCTCGTGAGTACTCACTATGACAAGGACAGCACAGAGCCATGAGAAATCTATCCCCATGATTCAACCATCTACCACCATGCCCCACCTGTAACATTAGGGATTAAAATTCAATATGAGATTTGGAGGAGACATCTAAACTATATTATATGACCATTAGTGTGGGCGAAAGGTCACCAAGGTGCCAAGGCAAGAGACTGAAACAAACTGTTTCAGTATAATAAAGAAAATTGTTAGAATAGAATAGTCATAATACAAATTAGATATAGAGATGATCATGGGCAATTATCAATCATTATTATAAACATTATTAATCATTAGCTTTTAATATTACTCTTTATTGCATTGCTAATATAACCTAGGAATAACCGGCGGGTATAGGGTCAGGTGCTGAAGGGACATTGTGAGAAGTGACCTAGAAGGCAAGAGGTGAGCCTTCTCTCACGCCCCCATAAGGGCCGCTTGAGGGCTCCTTGGTCAAGTGGTAATGCCAGTGTCTGGGAAGACACTCATTACTTAGCAGACCATGAAAGGGAGTCTCCTTTCCTTGGAGGAGTCAGGGAACACTCTGCTCCACCAGCTTCTTGTGAGAGGTTGGATAAATTATCCAGGCCTTCCCACAGTCATCCAGAGGCCTAAACCCCTCCCTGTGGTGCTGTGCTTCAATGGTCACACTCCTTGTCCACTTTCATGTTCTTCCCATACTCCTGGTTCCTCTTTGAAGTCTATAGTAGATAATGGTAGAAGGAAGTCTTAAAGTCTTTGTTCTTTCTTATAAGTGCATAGAAGGAAACGCTGACATATGCTTCCTTCTCTCTGTCTGCTTCGGCTACCTAAGAGGGAAGGGCTCCCTGTCCTGTGATCACATGACTTGCTTCACCTTGTCAATCACTTAGAAGATTCACCCTCCTTACGCTGCCCCCTTGTCTTGTATGCAATAAATATCAGCCCGTCCAGCTGTTCGGGGTCACTAGTGGTCTCTGCGTCTTGGTGGTAGTGGTCCCCCGGGCCCAGCTGCTTTCTCTTTATGTCTTTGTCTTGTGTCTTTATTTATTATAATCTCTCGTCTCCGCACACAGGGAGAACACCTGCTAAACCCCGTAGGGCTGGACACTACACATTAGAAAAACAGATGAGGCTGGATACGGTGGCTCATGCCTGTAATCCTAGCACTTTGGGAGGCCGAGGCGGGTGGATCACAAGGTCAAGAGATTGAGGCCATCCCGGCTAACAGAGTGAAACATGGTCTCTACTAAAAATACAAAAAATTAGCCAGGCATAGTGGCACACACCTGGAGTCACAGATACTCGGGAGACTGAGGCAGGAGAATCACTTAAACCCAGGAAGCAAAGATGTAAGCTGCACTCCAGCCTGGGCAACAGAGTAACAGAGCAACAGAGCAACCAGCACTCCAGCCTTGGCAACAGAGCAAGACTCCGTCTCAAAAAGAAAAGAAAAGAAAAGAAAAACAGATGAAACATTCATGGTTTCTACAGATACTTTCATTCCAGAGTAAACGGATACACGATTGAATTCTGTGGTTAGAAGAGAAAAGGGAGGTGTACGGGGGACTTTGGCTGCATTTGTTCTACTTCCCTTATGCTGTTGTTGTGAGTTCTGATGTCACCACCTGAAGGGCTCTTCATAGACAGAAGAATTATGGCTATTGTTGTGATTATTCCTTTTTCTTTTACCTTAGTAAAAATAAATTTTTTAGCTTCTCATATAATTTTTTAAAAAACCCTAAGAGATTTAGTCAAATTCCTTGTTATTGTATGGTATAAAAATTGACAGGGAAATGGCTAAAATATATTAAAATTACACAAACTCTAGGAGTCAAGTTTCTATTGGGCAGTATTAGGAAAGACAGAACTGGAAACACTCCACCATAATAGACATCGAAGGGGGCCAGCCCCTCCACACTTGTGGGTATTTCTCGTCAGGTGGGAGGAGAGACTGAGAAAAGAAATAAGACACTGAAACAAAGTATAGAGAAAGAACAGTGGACCCAGGGGACCGGTGCTCAGCATACAGAGGACTCGCACCAGCGCTGGCCTCTGAGTTCCCTCAGTATTTATTGATCATTATTTTTACTATGTTAGTGATGGGAGTGTAGCAGGGCAACAGGTGGGGAAAGGTCAGCAGGGAAATATGTGAGCAAAGGAATCTGTATCATGAATAAGTTCAAGGAAAGGTACTGTGCCCAGATGTGCACATAGGCTAGATTTATGTTCCTCTTTACACAAACATCTCAGTTTAGCAAAGAGTAACAGAGCAGTATTGCTGCCAGCATATCTCACCTCTAGCCACAGGGTGGTTTTCTCCTATCTCAGAATAGAATGAGTAGGAATGGTCAGCTTTACACTGAGACATTCCATTCCCAGGGATGAGCAGGAGACCAAAGCATTCCTCTTATCTCAACCGCAAAGAGACCTCCCTTACCATTTACCATGCCATCTCACTGCCTTGTCTGGTGATTTTGAGAACTCCTGTGTCCAGTTCAGAAGTCAGAGACTTCTATCCCATCTCAGTGGGGGCAAACCTTGGACAACACCCAGGCTTTCTTGGGCAGAGGTCCCTGAGGCTTTCTGCAGTGCATTGTGTCCCTGGTTAATTGAGAATGGAGAATGGCGGTTTCATTTTTCTTGTATGCAGGATGATTTTTAGGATTTTTTTTCTGTTATATTTTTTGCATTCTGGTTACCTAGAAGGTAGTGATTATTACCCCAAACCAGGGCTTGATATTGTGTTAGTCCACTTTCATACTGCTATGAAGAAATACCTGAAACTGGGTAATTTATAAAGAAAAAAAGGTTTAATGGACTCACAGTTCCACATGGCTGGGGAAGCCTCACAATCATGGCAGAAGGCAAAGGAGGAGCAAAGACATGTCTTACATGGTGGCAGGCAAGAGAGAGAGCATGTGCAGGGGAGCTCCCCTTTATAAAACCATCAGATCTTGTGAGACTTATTCTGTTTCACAAGAGCAGCACAGGGAAAAACCCATCCCCATGATTCAAGTTCCTCCAACTGGGTCCCTTCCATGACATATGGGGATTATGGGAGCTACAATTCAAGATGAGATTTGGGTAGGGACATGGCCAAACCATATCATTCTTCCCCTGGCACCTCCTGAATCTCATGTTCTCACATTTCAAAATCAATCATGCCTTCCCAACAGTCCCCCAAAGTTTTAACTCATTTCAGCATTAACTGAAAAGTCCATAGTCCAAAGTCTCATCTGAGACAAGTCCCTTCCACCTATGAGCCTGTAAAACTAAGAGCAAGTTGGTCACTTCCTACATACAATGGGGGTACAGGTATTGGGTACCCCCAATGTATTTACACCTGTTCCAAATGGGAGACATTGGTCAAAACAAAGGGGCTACAGGCTCCATGCAAGTCTGAAATCCAACAGGGCAGTCATTAAACATTAAAGTTCCAAAATGATCTCCTTTGACTCCATGTCTCACATGCAGGTCACACTGACACAAATGGTGGTCTCCCATGGCCTTAGGCAGCTCTGCCTCTGTGGCTTTGTAGGGCACAGCCTCCCTCTTGGCTGCTTTCACTAGCTGGCATTTTGTATGGCTTTTCCAGGTACACAGTGTAAACTGTTGGTGGATCTACCATTCTGGGGTCTGGAGGATGGTGTAACTACCATTCTGGGGTCTGGAGGATGGTGGCCCTCTTCTCACAGCTCTTCTAGGCAGTGCCCCAGTAGGGACTCTGTATGGGGGACAGAGCCCACATTTCACACCTCTACTACCCTAAAAGAAGTTGTTCATTAGCCCCTGCGCCCGCCCCTGCCCCCCGCCCTGCCAAAGCAAACTTCTGCCTGGACATGCAGGTGTTTCCATACATTCTCTGAAATGTAGGTGGAGGGTCCCAAACCTGAATTCTTGACTTCTGTGCATCTGCAGGCTCCACAGCTTGTGGAAGCTGCCAAGGCTTGCGACTTGCAACCTCCGAAGACATGGCCTGAGCTGTACCATGGTGTCTCCCACCCAAGCCATGGCTGGAGTGGCTGGAATGCAGGGCATCACGTCTCTAGGCTGCACACAGCAGGGGGACCTGGCCCTGCTCCAGGAAATGATTTTTCCATACTAGGCTTTTGAGCCTGTGGTGGAAAGAGCTGCTGTGAAGATGTGAAGGTCTTTCATGTCCTGGAGACATTTTCCCCATTGTCTTGGTGATTAACATTTGGCTCCTCGTTACTTATGCGAATTTCTGCAGGAGGCTTTAATGAAAGTCGGTTTTTCTTTTTTCTTTTCTTTTTTTTTTTTTTTCGTTGACGGAGTCTCACTCTGTTGCCCAGGCTGGAGTGCAGTGGCGCAATCTCGACTCACTGCAACTTCTGCCTCCTGGGTTCAAGCAATTCTCCTGCCTCAGCCTCTCGAGTAGCTGGGACTACAGGTGCACGTCACCACACCTGGCTAATTGTTTGCATTTTAGTAAAGATGAGGTTTCACCATGTTGCTCCAGCTGGTCTCGAACTCCTGAGCTCAGGCAATCCGCCCGCCTCAGCCTCCCAAAGTGCTAGGATTACAGGCGTGAGCCACTGCGCCCGGCCAAGGGTTTTTCTTTTCTATTGCATTATCAGGCTGCAAATTTTCCAAACTTTTATGCTCTACTTCCTCTTGAACACTTTCCCACTTAGAAATTTCTTTCACCAGATACCCTAAATCATCTCTCTCAAGTTCAAAGTTCCATAGATCTCTGGAGCAGAAGCAAAATGCCACTAGTCTTTTTTGCTAAAGCTTAACAAGAGTCACCTTTGCTCTAGTTCCCAACAAGATCCTCATCTCCATCTCCGGCCCAGATATTAGGGTTTATATCACTATCAGCATTTGGGTCAAAGCCATTCAACATGTCTAGGAAGTTCAAAAATTTCCCACATTGTCCTGTCTTCTGAGCCCTCCAAGTCTCTAGGAAGTTCCAAACTTTCCCACATTTTTCTGTCTTCTTCTGAGCCTTCCAAACTGTTCCAACCTCTGCTTGTTACCCAGCTCCAATGTCGCTTCCACATTTTTGGATATCTTAATAGCAGTACCCTACTCTGCCAGTACCAATTATTGTCTTAGTGTATTTTTATACTGCTATGAAGAAATATCCGAGACTGGGTAATTTACAAAGAAAAAGAGGTTTAATGGACGCACAGTTCCTGGTAGCTGGGGAGGTCTCACAATCACGGCCGAAGGCGAAGGAGGAGCAAAGGCATGTCTCATATGGTGGCAGGCAAGAGTGTGTTCAGGGGAACTTCCCTTTCTGCCCCGTATAAAACCATCAGATCTTGTGAAACTTACTCACTATCACAAGAACAGCACATAGAAAAACCCAGCCTGATGATTCAATTACCTCCACTTGGGCCCTCCCAGGACACATGGAGATCATGGGAACTACAATTCAAGATTAAATTTGGGTAGGGACACAGCAAAACCATATCATTAATATCTAACAGGAAATGATCATTTTTTAAATGATTCTTCTACCTTTGAGAAATTGGCTAAGGCCCTTTCTCTGATCTGCAGGGGATGCACAGCTCCTCTCAGTAGTGAGCAAGTATTTATTGGAATAGCTCAGCTAAGCTAAAGTGGAGACCTCTAGTATTTTGTTTGGCTTGTCGTACAAGACATACACAATACCTAGCATGCACGGATAATGCAGCGTGCTGGTGGTGGCAAGAATGAGTGCTACTTTATAGATTATTGATGTTACTGCTTTCTGGGTAGAGGTTCTAAAGGAAGGCTGTATTTTACTTGAAAAATAATCTTCAACGGCCAGTTGGTATGATGCAAGTTGCTTATCAGTAGTTTCCTGTTTTGCTTTATAATCCCTCTCTACTGGCTCCCCAAACTTATTAAAATCCCATTGTATGAAATAACAATGTAACATAGGGAGGGAAGGAAAGAAAAGAGGCTGAGTTCATGCTTGGAGGGAAGCAAGAAGGGAGAGAACAATGCCAGCCAGGTCATGTGGCTAAGACCTGGGCCACTGGAGTTACAAATTGCTAGACTGGCAATTCTGCTGCCTCCCCTCCCAGGGCTTTTCTTGAGTGAACTGTGTGCCCAGGCCTGACAGGCACCTGACACATGGTTGGTTGGTTGGTTGGTTTTTATTGTATCCTCTATCTTTCTAGGAGCTTAGTATGTAAGATATGTGAGAGTGGCTAGGACCTGTCCCCTCAAAAAGTAAGAATGGAGCCGTAAAGGAGTAAGTGTCCATTTGCTGGGACACTCCGAGAGTCTGACTCAGGGACAGGCTGGGAAGAGGCAACTACCGTCTTACATGAGTTTTATATTGAGGAAATTCTTCCATTTCATAAAACAAAATATGGATGGGCCAGTTTAACTTAATTGTTCTTATAGTTAGTAAAAATTCCTTCTAGATTAGTCTGCATATTGGGTGTCAGTTTTACTAATTAGTGTTGTTTTAAGTTTACATTGTTTGCTTTGTTTTACTGATTTTTTTTTCTTTCTTTTTTAATAGGAACTTAGATGGGACTCCATTACAAAGGATCATCCAGATGCTGTTTAAAATTGGGCCAATTCAGCATTAAAATGAAATTACACATTCATGGGATTTGTTACGAGAGTCGGTACTGTTTTGGAGTGATTCATATAGCATTTATAAGGACCAACTCTGAGAGAGATAAATCATTGGTATAAATTATTTTTTAAGTTACTTTAGTATCAGTCATATATTCACTCACATAACAAATATGCATTGAGCTCATCTGGTCCAAGGAATTTGCCAAGCCCTGGAACTAGGGAATGATTTAAACAGACATACTACTTGACCTCAACAAATGTACAGTCAAGAAGGAAGTTATGAGCATTAAGCAAATGATTGCACTATTAATACTTAATTACAACAATGATAAGTGCATCCTGGAAAATAAATGTTATCAATCAATAGGTGCAAGGTGTCAACCTAAATAACGAACAGAGAGAGAGACTCTGTAAAGAACACTGGGTTGGGGATAGGGTATTTCAGTAGGAATACATGTGCCATAGTCAACTATGTATGCATTCAGGGAGGTAAAGGAAGACAAAGGTATTTAAAGAAAAAATGTGGAGGATTACACAATTGTTTTGACATAGTTATCCTTGATTACAAGGATCAATAACAAGGGTGGTGCCAGTCCAAGGTTGGACAGGCATTTGCTGGACATATGTCCTTGCAGAAGTGTTTTTTTACAAGGTTGCAATGGCAAGATTGTGGTTTTTGCAGTCTTTCGTGATAGTTCTTGTTATCAGGCATATGTGCGTGAGAATTCTCTTTTCATGGCCTTCTCCAGCTGCATTTGGCATGTTCTTCCTCCTCCTCCTCTTCTTTCTTCCCTCCTCCTCCTCCATCAAATACTTTAAAATATACAAATTTTTATTTTGTGATTCAACAGAACATAAAATGAGATTGTTGGACAGGACTTTAAGTTGGAATAGAGACAAGATTGAAACTGTGTTATGCTCAAATTCTAATGGCTTTTTAAAACAGTAATTACTACAGAGTTATTTTCATTAAGAAAAAGTTATTTAAAAATCTTTTCAAACTTCATATTTCTTCCACAGGCCCAGGAACACAGCTTGTTTGCTATTCAAAGTAGAAGTAAATATGGAGAGTGCTGTGTGTGTGTGTGTGTGTGTGTGTGTGTGTGTGTGTCTGTGTGTGTGTTTATTTTAAAAATTTATTTAGTTCTTATGTTAATATACCTTGCATTTAGGAATACTAACTAATTTGTTTGGTAAAGTCAAAAAGAAGAGCAGCCAGAGAGGTGTTCATAATGAAAGCTAGGAAAATCAGCTTTTGACTCATTTGATAGCCTCCCACCCCTGATTCAAAAATACATGGACCACATATCAAGGCCACTCAACTCATAGAGCGTTGGTGATGGGCCTGACTTAAAGTCTGAAAATTGCATATGTAAAACCATGTTCTCTATAAAAATACACACATTTGCCAAAGTCAGGAAAGGAAAAAAATTCCATTAAATCTAGGTTCAATAAGTGTATTAGAAAATATTTAATTAACTATCTCTGTTAAAACACATCTTGTGACTGCTGTTCCCTCTCTCATTGGTGTTTATTTGCTGGTAAAGTGCTCACTCATTTTTTTTTTTTTTTTTTTTCGAGACAGAGTCTCGCTCTTTCGCCCAGGCCTGAGTACAGTGCAGTGGCACTATCTCGGCTCGCTGCAAGCTCCGCCTCCCGGGTTCACGCCATTCTCCTGCGGCAGCCTTCCGAGTAGCTGGGACTACAGGCGCCCGCCACTGCACCTGGCTAATTTTTTGTATTTTTAACAGAGACGGGGTTTCACCATTGTTGGCCAGGATGGTCTGGATCTCCTGACCTCGTGATCCGCCCTCCTCGGCCTCCCAAAGTTCTGGGATTACAGGCGTGAGCCACCGCGCCCGGCCTGTGCTCACGCATATTTGTTTGCTGTGTGGTGCAGTGCGACCGACCACACGGTTCTTCAGACACAACCTCTGCTTTCTCATTTACCTCAACACTTTAACCCTGAGATTCTTTTTTACTATACTTCAGTATATTTCCCAGAACATATATTGTCTATGAGGGATAAAATAAAATGTCAATTAAAAACAAAAAAATTCAGAGAAATATTAACCATTCACTCTTCTAAGTTCTCAAAGGTTACATTCTTCACCAAGTCATATAACCAGGTCCCAATAAAATACCATCATGGAGGCAATGTAACATCATGTAATTTAAAATACCATCATGCGGGCAGCTTTCAAAAGCATCCTGTAAGAAAAGGTCATTTGTACTTACATCTTTAAAAGTTTTGAAATTACTATTGAAGATTATTTTTATTGTATTGTCCATTGTCTGTTGCTTAAAGACTTATATATTTTGCTTAAGAGTTTAGAGTTACCAAAAAATAGCTGCTGACATATGCAGATACTATTTTATTAACTAACGACACCTATTTGAATTCTGGTTTTCCTTTTGGCCCTAAAGAACAAGAGGCTTAGGACTAAATTTTAGGCTGAAGGGTAGTGTTTCCTTCCCTAGGTTGTCCCATGTAATTGTCACCTCCTTCTCTTCATTATTCTGTCATTTTGCCCTTGTTTTATAGCGTCTGTGCCTTTCATTCTAAGCTGTCTCAGAGGCTTTTCTGGAAACACACAGTGTATAAGTACAAAATGATGAAATAAACATGCTTCTTTTTTTTTTTTCTTTTTTTTTAAGACGGAGTCTCCCTCTGTTGCCCAGACTGGAGTGCAGTGGCAGGATCTCGGCTCACTGCAAGCTCCACCTCCCGGGTTCACTCCATTCTCCTGCCTCAGCCTCCTGAGTAGCTGGGACTACAGGCACCTGCCACCATGTCCGGCTAATTTTTTGTATTTTTAGTAGAGAGGGGGTTTCACCGTGTTATCCAGGATGGTCTCGATCTCCTGACCTTGTGATCTGCCTGCCTTGGCCTCCCAAAGTGCTGGGATTACAGGTGTGAGCCACCGCACCAGGCCAACATACTTCTTTATTTTGTTTTAAAAGATACTTGAGTGGGACTAGATGACCTCTAAGGTCCTTTCCAGCTCTAAATTTACGTTACTGTCACCAAAGACAAAAAAAAAAAAATCTATTAGGTTATAGGTCTAGAGATGAGTGCCAAGTACTATATTCCTGCTCTAGGTGCATTTCTTGTTGAAGGCAGTGACCTGTTCGGCCGTTTACAGTCTTATGGTGATAAAACAAGAGAACTGATTGCTAAAAAAAAAAAAAATTCAGTTGAAATACCTTTTTACTCTTAAGCATCAACAAAAATAAATAGAAAACAGAAGAGTTGAATTATTTATTTTGAGCTATTTGTAATAAATTTGGACAACAAAGCTAAGCCTGAGTGTAGTTAATTTAATGAAATTAGTCATATTTGAATATCATCACAACCTTACTATCACATTAGCATTCAGTGTGATTAAAATTTATTCTTTGTTTCTTTGTGAGTCTCCACAGAATCAGCTATCAACAACTTCATAATAAACTAGCCCTTCATTGCTTTCAGGAAACTTTTAGATTCAGAGCAGGTGGTTGGACTTCTGCTTTCAAAGAGAACAAATCATTTTTTAAAGTGCCTTTCCTGTTTGTGTGTGTGAATTTAGAACACAGAAATTGTCCATTGCATTGTTTATTTTTGCTAGGAGGTAGAAGTTATCAAAAATACAGGAAATATTAGATATCACGTACTGATAATTTTCAAAGCTAATTATTTCTCTTAAGGCCAAGCTATAATTTAAGAGGTGTACTTGTGAAATATGAATATTGTTTTATAGTAATAGAATGTTTCTCACGGAAAAATAGAGTATGATTTTGTCGAAGTTCAAGGGAATATCCATTTTCATTTAGGTAGCTTCCAGATTTTTGTCTTTACATGTTCTGTGTAGTGATTTAAATACCGTACCTCCAAAATTTATGTCCACTAGTAACTTTAGAATGCGACTTTATTTGGAAGTAGGGTCTTTGCAGATATAATTAACCCAATGATTGAGATGAGGTCATCCTGGATGAAGGTGGGCCCTAAATCCAATGTAAATGTCCTTATAAGATACAAGAAAAGACACACGCAGAGAAGGTCATGTGAAGATGGAGACAGAAATTGGAGTTATGCAGTCATAAATCAAAGAAGGCCAAGGATTGCCAGGAGCCACTGGAAGCCAGGAAGAAGCGAGGGAGAATTCCTCCCTAGGGTCTTCAGAGGGAGTATGGCCCCACCAACATCTTAGTTTCAGAGGTCCAGGCTTCAGAACTATGAGAGAATATATTTCTGTCCTCTTAACCCACCAAGTGTGTGATAATTAGGTATGATGGTCCTAGGCAACTACTACACTCTAATTCAGAAGTTCTTCTGGATTTTATTATATCATGTGTTGGTAGGAAGTACCTGGGTGTTTCATTTGCATGATATGTTGGTAATCTTAGAATTATCATATCTTGCAAGTCATTTTTAAGTATGTTGTAATGTAGTCAGAAG
The DNA here is from genome assembly GCF_000001405.40 of Homo sapiens. Taxonomy (NCBI): domain Eukaryota; kingdom Metazoa; phylum Chordata; class Mammalia; order Primates; family Hominidae; genus Homo; species Homo sapiens. Next base: position 32,707,683 of record NC_000016.10, read on the forward strand.
CTTTTTAAATATGAAATTTAATTCTTGCTGGTGTCAATTACATTTGAAAAAAATACAAAATAGCTATATAAGATTCTAGGATCTTTCAGAATTTTATAATGTTTATAATGGAAAGTTGGTTAAATAAAAATTGTACCCTACACAATTTTGTTGTTGGCTTAAAATAGCATTTAATTTATTAGTGCTCAGATAATAGTTATCCCCTCAATAGCATTTTTACTTTCATATGTTGATATCAAACAGTGAAGTGAGACAGCAAATCAGTACAACGTGGTGATTATCAAACATCATAAATCCATGAAGGATAGCGTTGATCTTACTGAGAAGAGTTTAATCTTAAAATGCATACCTGGAAAAGGCAAGTTAGATTAACATTTCAAACTCATATAGCATTATCTGATTGATTATAGTTATGACTGATCATTTTATGTTTGGACCGTCACTTTGAATCCAATTGGGATAATTATAAATTAAGGATTTATTATTTGCTTTGAATTTTAGATTAAAAAATTTAAAACCATAAAAACAGAGCTTTGACTATAATAAAGGTATTTATCCTTTCTTGGTAAGAATTGGGGAGAGATTTAAGAAAAGGCTAAGCAATGTTCTATTTTTTTACATAGGCAAAAGTTCATTTGTGCTACTTTTTAATTAGGTAGTTTTTTTTTTTTTTAATGACAGCTTCCTAAACACTACTGATTTTACATGTGCAGTCATTAGTTTTTCATGTGGAAATATTATCTTTCAAATTCACACAGCAGCTTATTTTATGAAATGCAATGGGACTACTTACTTGCCACCTGACTAAACTGGAATGCATAGATTCATACCTCGCCAAATGAGGAGTTAGGGTGAAAAGTGATTAATATCCATTCTTTAATGAGTTTCTAAGTCTTTCTGAACATGTTTTTATTCTATTTATTGCAGTGGTATGTTAACATTTTCGTGTTGGTTGCTGTACAAAGCATGATAATACCTTTATTAAAGTAATGTTAATGACATCAAAATACTATACTTTTAGTGTGAATCTGAGCCAAATTCTGTTGTATTCCAAATAAAGTGAAATTCCTGTCAGCCAATAGGGCCTGGTATCAGTTTCAAATAAGACAAGTTGGTCAGGTCAGGAGAAATGACTTCCTCCTTCCTCCTTACGTGCCGTATATAGATTTATTAGCACTGCCTTTTAATATGTTATGTGTTCAACAGAGAGGGAACTAAGATCTTGTTAATCATCATTTGAAAACAATTTTGTGAATGGAAATGTAGCAGGGCTTTTGCCTTTTTTCCTTGTTCATGAAAAACAAGTCGCGCTTGGGGAGCAAGTATTCCCGTTCAACTGCTGTCACTCATTCTTAGCTCTGTTTAGAAGAAATAAGCACAGATGGTTGGTCTACTACTTCCCCAACGAAAAATTTGCCTGTTGGCTGGGCGCGGTGGCTCACGCCTGTAATCCCAGCACTTTGGGAGACCAAGGCAGGCGGATCACAAGGTCAGAAGATCGAGATCATCCTGGCTAACACGGTGAAACCTCGTCTCCACTAAAAATACAGAAACTTAGCTGGGCGTGGTGGCAGACGCCTGTAGTTCCAGCTACTTTGGAGGCTGAGGCAAGAGAATAGCTTGAACCCGGGAGGCGGAGCTTGCAGTGAGCCGAGATCGCGCCACTGCACTCCGGGCTGGGCGACAGAGCAAGACTCCATCTTAAAAACAAAACAAAACAAAACAAAACAAAACAAAACTGCCTATCTTTTTTATGTTTTATTCCATCCTTCTCATTGTAATGTGAACAATATTTCAAGTGAAGAAACATCTGTAGGGATCTTTGAAATGTTTTATCCATTGCTTGTGCATTAAAGAGAAAAAGAAGAAATTAATGATTTATTAAAATTTCATGAGGGGAACTCAAAAACTCTTTGTTACAAAAAAATTTAATTTAGAAACAGTGTATTTTGCATGCAAAATTAAAGTCTTCAGGGAAGTAAGTTTTTATGTCAGACTTGGATCCGAAAGTACTCATTTAATGATGACAGAACCACTTCATCCACGTCATGTTAAAAATACTGGTGTGGGTCTTTTTTATTTATACTGTGGCTTAATGAAAATTTGTCTATGGTAAATATATTAAGAAAAAGAGCATAAAGACTTTTTAACATAATTTTCTAAGGCTGAAAATACGTACAAACAGTAAAATACCCAAATCTTAACTGTACAGCCCAATACTTTTTTTGTTTTTAAACAAACTTAGCCCTTCTGCGTATCCAGTACTCAAATCATGAAATTTTATATTATTACTTCTTCTAGACACTATTTCATAGGGTAGCTCCTATGGTGATTTGGAACATAACTGATTAGTTTTACAATTTTTAGTGGATTAGATCATAGAATATGTTCTGTATCTTGCTTCTTTCATTCAATATTTAGTTTATAAGATTTGTCAATCTTTTTGCATATAGTTGTAACTTGTTAGTTCTCATTGCTATATACTATACCATTATACAAATATAATGTTCAATTCGTGGTTATTTTGAACGGTGCTTCTCTGAGCATTCATGTATTTGTCTTTTGGTAAATATTGCTGCGTATATGCTCAGGGTCATAGAATATGGTTAGATTTAGCACACATGGGAAATGGTGGTGTCCGTCAGTTTACATTTTCATCCACAATGGGAGAGAGTTCCAGTTGCTCCACATCTTTGCCAACACTTGGTATCATTTCTCTTTTTCATTTGAACTGTTCTGATGTGTATGTGTCACTATTTCAATTGTGGTTATTTTGAACATTACAAAATTGGCAAAGAATAACTGATTTTATTAAATCATATTTCATTTGAAGTAATGTGTGTCTACTTTGCAGTATTTTCCCTTATTTACATGATTCATAAGAAGAGTGATTGTGAGATAGTCAACAATATAACAGCTTGGAATGAGATTTTTGATCAGCTATAATTCTAATGTATTTTATCTAAATATTATTTTACTGTATTAGTAACTGTGATCATTAAGAACAGAAACAAAAGGTAAGCAAGTCCTTAGATTAACATGAAACAACATTCCTGCCTTTTGAAAGAAACTTTTCTGGCCTGTAAGTAAATGATGTAAATCAATTAATAGCTTAACTGAAATTAAGAGATGAGTCTCAGTTTTCATTGCCTATATTATATCTGTGTTTCTGCAGGAACAGAAAAACAGTATGACAAACCTACAGTCTGCTAGTTTCTTCTCACCCTGCCAACAACTGTTATATTACTGTTTAGCTGGTTATATGCAACCATTTGTTGAGGAGGATTGTTTTGTTTTGCTTAGTTTTACTTTTTAAGGCAGAGTCTTGCTCTGTTGCCCAGGCTTGAGGTCTATGAGTTTTATACTCATAGTCACATGGTCAATGAGATGTAATCACAGCTCACTGCAGCCTTAATCTCCTGGGCTCACATGATCGCCCTGCCTCTGCTTCCTGAGTAGCTGGGACTACAGGTGCATGCCACCAAACCCAGCTTGTTGAGGAGAGTTTTGATGAAAATCATTCATCCCTTCTTAACTACAACCAGTGAAGCCTTAGAAAATGTAATTAGAGAAAAAAATAACATTTTTGCACCAAGCTAATTGTATCTTTACCTTTTATTAGTTGGTTTCAGGATTGACACTTATTGATGGTTCTATTTTGGAGTGCGCTTTCCCTGGGTTTAACTCCTTGCAGCACACTTTATATACACTGTGTGGCCTTACTTGAGTAACTTATGTTACTTAACTTCTCCAGATCCCAGATTCTCAACCTGTAGAATGGAAGTAATTATAATACAGATATTATATGGTGGGTTAGTCCAGGTCCTCCAAGAGGTAGATGTTGAAAACGAGTTATACACAAGAGGATTTTATTAAGGGAAATCCCTGTGAGAGAAAATGGAGAGGAAGCTGAGTAAGCCTGGAAGAGCTCTCAACTATGAGGCAAGTCTGACCTAGAATGAAGGAAAGAGGAAAGGAAGGTTGAGTGGAAGCATTGGAGCGTAATGTGCAGTCTAAGGAAGGGTACGAAAAGGCTTCAGGAATCCTGAGCCAAGACTGGTCCTCAGAGAAGCCCTGTGTCTCCTAAAGAGGGATGTGCATTAGCCACCTTGTGGCCCTCAGTCATTGACTGAGGGGCAGATGCAGAAACAGATTTTAGAGTGAAGCAGCAAGTGGCCGTAGGCAGTTAGGCTTCCCATACTTTGAGGTCTATGAGTTTATTTATTTATTTATTATTTATTTATTTAAATTATTCTTTAAGCTCTGGGTTACATGTGCAGAACTTGCAGTTTTGTTACATAGGTATACACGTGCCATGGTGGTTTGCTGCACCCATCAACCCGACACCTACATTAGGTATTTCTCCTAATGTTATCCCTCCCCTACCCCCCACCCCCCACCCCCCACAGGCCCCAGTGTGTGATGATCCCCTCCCTGTGTCCATGTGTTCTCATTGTTCAACTCCCAATTATGAGTGAGAACATGCAGACTTTAATTTTCTGATCTTGTGATAGTTTGCTGAAAATGATGGTTTCCAGCTTCATCCATGTCCCTGCAAAGGACATGAACTCATCCTTTTTATGGCTGCATAGTATTGCATGTTGTATATGTGCCACATTTTCTTAGTCCAGTCTATCACTGATGGGCATTTGGGTTGGTTCCAAGTCTTTGCTATTGTGAATAGTGCCACAATAAACATACGTGAGAATGTGTAGAATGATTTATAATCCTTTGGGTATATGCCCAGTAATGGGATTGCTGGGTCAAATGCTATTTCTAGTTCTAGATCCTTGAGGAATTGCCACACTGTCTTCCATACAATGGTTGAACTAATTTACACTCTCACCAGCAGTGTAAAAGCATTCCTATTTTACCACAACCTCTCCAGCATCTGTTGTTCCCTGACTTTTTAAGGATTGTCATTCTAACTGGAGTGAGATGGTATCTCATTGTGGTTTAGATTTGCATTTCTCTAATGAAGTTCTATGAGTTTCTTACTCACGGTCACTAAAAGATGTTTATTATGAATGGAAATCTCCAGATAGAGTAAAGCAATGCCTAAATCATAGTTATGCACTTATCGATTTATTTATTCATATTATTCATTATCATTATGAATATTCAACACATTAATAAAAGAGCCACATATGCAATCTACTTGGGGTATTGGGAGAGTAAAGAATAACATAGCAGTGCTACAGATAATTTAAGAAACGGTTTCTCTCTCTCTCTCTCTCTCTCTCTCTCTCTCTATATATATATATATATACACATATATATATATATATATATATATATATATATATATATGAGACACAGGTATAATTATTTTCCTTCTACTATTTGTTATTGATGTATACTGCCAAATCCCTAACGGAAACTGGAATAGTTAACTCTAAGCTCCCCCCATGCCTACAAAAAGAAGTGGGTTCAAAGTTATTTTTTAAATCGAAAGATTTATTAATATTATTTTTATCATGTCCAATTGATATTATGATTATCAAAAAGTTTAATCACTTATTATTACTTGAAGGACCTAGTTAGGAAATGTTCAATCCACTTTTTTTCTTTTGAGACAGAGTCTCACTCTGTCACCCAGGCTGGAGTGCAGTGACGCGATCTCGGCTCACTGCAAGCTCCGCCTCCTGGGTTCACACCATTCTCCTGTCTCAGCCTCCCGAGTAGCTGGGACTACAGGCGCCTGCCACCACGCCCGGCTAAGTTTTTGTATTTTTAGTAGAGATGGGGTTTCACCATGTTAGCCAGGATGGTCTCGATCTCCTGACCTCGTGACCTGCCCGTCTCGGCCTCCCAAAGTGCTGGGATTACGGGCGTGAGCCACGGCTGCCGGCCTGTTCCACTTCTTAAAACTGGTCACTGGAAGTACATCGTCTTGGGAAGAACTGGATATTTCTTGAAACCCCTTTCATATAGCCATATTCTCAAACATAGAACCTTCTTTTATGTTTTTCAAAGATTTTTTCCATTACTGTAGAAAATTCAGAGGGTGTTTATGGATAGTGCAGTACTCTGCTCAAATATAGGGAATGAAAGTTACATTAAAATATTTTTTTGCTGAAAAGTATTATGATATTTAATGTAAGCAAACAAATTACTCAGATGATAGTGTTTTGTTTTAACTTTTTAAATGTCTTATTTCAATAGCTTTTGGAACACAAGTGGTTTAAGTAACGTGGATAACTTGTATAGTGGTGAAGTCTGAGATTTTATTGCACCTGTCACCTGAGTAGTGTACATTGTACCAAACATGTAGCTTTTTTAATCCCTCACCCGCCTGCCAACTTCCCCCTTACGAATCTCCAGAGCCCATTATACCACTCAGTGGAGAGTCTTCAACATTCACGGTGGAATCTTCAGGATGTGGCCCTCTATCCATTGCTTTCCACCGTTTGTACTCTCTGCTTTGTAAATAGAGGTCCGTTCTCCCTGTCTGCCTTGTTCACGTACCTTTGCCGTTTTCCTTGCTAGGATGACATCGTTTGCCCTGAAGTTCTCATTAACCATACCATAGATGTCCTCTTCTTACCTCAATACATCCAAGGCTACCTCAAGTTATAACTTCTCCTTTAGTTTTTCCCTAGTGTCTGAGTCCAAATGGACTTCTCTATATCCAGAATATCTACTACTTGTCTTATTTTTCCTCACACTTGGCACGTGCAGTTCCTTCCAGCTACTTTCATAATGTTGTATTTTAACGGTTCAGTTGTGTTTATATTTCACTATTCTGTCAGGCAAACAAGGGTATTCGCATGGCTGAAAACTATGGTATTTTTTAAGTGTAATAAAATGTAATGAATAAACATACAAATGAATGAGTTAATTAATATATTATATTCTTGGTTAAGTAATAAGCATTATGAGGACAAAAATTGAGTCTTACACCTTCTTATAATCCTAAAGACCTCGTACAGGACTTGGAATATAGCATGCACTTAAGACATCTTTGTGACTAATGAATTTAAATATTTTTATTAATTCTAAGTTGACATATGATTGTAATTTGGGGAAGGTAGTGAAATTTCAAATGGCTTTCACCACCTGTGAAATGACCCTTTTACATACCACATGATTTACCAGATCTTTGTTTAGGTGAACCTAGGTGAAAGCGGATTGTTTCCTCTACTTAGGAAATACTTTGCGTATTTTAGTTGCTTATAAATGTGATGATTTTAATTTGTACAGTTATAGTTTATGATATTGACTTGTACAGTTATATATATGTTTACATATTATATATTGCATATGGTTATACTATGTATAATTTTATTTTTCTAAAATAAAGAATATTATTACACATTAACAAAATAGATATAACTGTTTTCCTTCTACTATTTGTTATTGGTGTATACTGCCAAATCCCTGATGGATACTGAAATTCTTATCTCTAAGCCCCTCTATGCCTACAAAAAATGGGCTCAAGGTTATTTTAAAAATCAAAGAGTTTATTAATAATATTATTTTTTATCATGTCCAATTGATACTATCATTATTAAAAAGTTTAATCACTTATTTCTTGAAGGACTTAATTAGGAAATATATATAATGTGTGTGTATATATATATTCCATATATATATATACTCTATATATCCTATATATATATTCTCTCTATGTGTATCCTATATATTCTCTATATATATTCTATATATATATATATTCTCTATATATTCTATATATTTATTCTCTATATATTCTATATATATTTTCTATGTCTTCTCTCTATATATTCTCTATGTATTCTCTACATATTCTCTCTATATATTCTATATATAATTCTATATATAGTCTATATATGTATTCTATATAAATACACACACACACATATATAGTAGCCTAATATTTAAAACATAAGATTGGGACTGCCTAAAATAAGCTGACCCAGACCATAGGGGTACAGACATACGGATACTTCAGCAAGAACTGGTAACAAAGTGAGATATATGTTAACTCTTTGTAGCATATTGTTAAGTAGTATTAAAAAACAAGTAATTTTTGGTTGGGTCCATTGAGAGAATAACATTATTTTTAGAATGATCTAATGGCACGATAAACATTCTAGCATTTTACCTGGAAAAACATTATAGCTGTGCCAGTTTCTGTTCCAAGAAAAAAATACATTGGTGTATTCTCTAAAGGAGGAAATTCTGACCTCAACTATGTTCAGATAGCTGTGGCAGATAATACTCTGATCAGGTACTAAGTCATATATCTTTCACATTTCCCTTTGCTAGTTATACTCAGCGTGTGGTTGGAAATGGAATCAAAGCCCAGTCTGGAACTCCTGAAGTCAAAGTCAAAGGAACTGATCCTGTGATAAATCAGATTATTGATAAACTGAAGCATGTTATTCAGGTAAGTCCTGATCCTATATTTTTTGGTATAGCCAATAATAAATAATAAGTGGTTACTTTCTGTTATACTTGATAAATTTGTTAATCCTATCAGATAATCCTACCTAAAATATTGTAGCACATTATTTGCATCAGGACTTTTGGAAAGATTTAGTTTAATGATTTTTGTATGCAGTCAATATGCAGCGGTAATTTAATGTTGGACAATCTGTATATGTGAAAAGCAAGCCTCAGCCTCGGCCTTTCAATGATGAGAATCTCAGGACATGCGTTGTCCTCAGTGAATAACTTTGAACATGGGAATCACTGTGACCATTAAAGAAAACACATGTAAGGCCATGGAAGATGCCAGAGTTATCTTTCAGGTAATTCTCTGAATGTTGCTCTAAGGTTTTTGCAGCATTTCAATACAAGTTAGGTCATAGATGAAGAATATGTGTTTCTAATATTGATTTACAATATCACCTTTCGTATGTTATCTTATAATCTACCTAATGGTTGTTTATGAAATACTTCTGTCTTATCTTCAATAATATTTTTCATCAAGTGAATGTGTATTGCTGTTTTTAATACATGGCAAATGAAGCATGAACATATTTATCAAAATAATATTTCATTGAAATAGTCTATTAATTAGAACCAAACATTATGTTGCATGTTGTAAATATTATCCTCCACTCTGCATCTATTGATGTTTGGGGAAAGGAAGGCTTTTCTTTTTAGTTAATGGTCATTTTATAAAAATTTATATTTGAATATACTTTCATTTTTCCTAAGCAAAACTTTGTATGGGTAGTTGATGCTTATTTCTAGTATCGTGGGTCAGAAACAACACCTAAATAGTACAGAGTTTTTATTGCATACAACATATTTCAGAGTCAGTGGTAGGCTTCTCATAATTGTCCTGCCAAGACGAAGCTTAAATTTATGCAGAGCCAGTTCCTGGGTTTCCATTTTTCACAAGAGTCCCTATATCTCAAGGAGAGGATGTGTAAGAAGGACTTGGGGGTTGGTGTCAAATACCATAGACTTCTCCCTTCTGCGAGGTAATAATGCTTATTCTACCATAGATACCTATAGAGAACAGAGCTGTCACCCTTGCTGTCAAAACCAAAAATAAATTCTACTGGAAAAGTCTAAGAGAGAAGTGGTGTCATGACTACTGATGAGTCAAACCTCCCAGCCTCTGCTGAGCTGGTCCAGTTGGTACCTCATAGTATCGTCCACTGTAGTATAATATGTACAGCTAGATTATTTGAAAATTCAAGTGCATAATTGATAACAAAACCAAAAGAGCTTTAACATTAATCAGCTCCTCTCATTGAAGAGTGAGTACAATCTCACTGTGAGGGCACGGTGAAATCTTAGGGGTTTCTTAAGTGGGGTAAGCATTCCACAGAGGGTGGAGGAAGAAAACCTAGACCTTAAGTATATATGTATTCCATCTCATTCTTTTATATTTCTTTGGTTGTAGTAAGGTATATAAAATATGTAATATACTAGTGCAATAGCACATACATATAATTTATAAATACATAAATATACATATTAACTGGACATCTGTTCAGGTTGTTTTTCTAAGATATATACAAGATGAAAGCAGAACAGAAGCCCTGTTGTGGATAATAAGGATGGAGCTGTTCCATAAGAAGTGCAGTTAGAAGTAAACACATTCACAGAGGAACACGTAGATACCCAAGATAGAAAGGATTATAAAAACCCTTAGGAGGAGAGTTCACATATTTATTACCCATTCAGCAACTCCCCTCCCCATTTCTTGTTTTGTAGGTTTCAAAGCCTTTTCAAGGTGGCAGAGGGAAGTCATCCTGCCTTTCTTTTTTAGTTTCTGTGTGAACTTGAGTCCCATTCTTTCTTCTTTATGGAAGTGTGCAGATCTCCAATTATTCATGCTTAAGTTTCATTCTGGGGTTGCAAGAGAATATCAAATGCAACGCTGCCTTTGAGGTCTATCCTTTTAAGGTCTGCTAGAATTATATGATAGAAATTTAGATTTTTATAGAGGAGAGCAGAAAGTCCTATCTTGCACAGGTGTCACTGAAACATTCACCTTTAATGTGTAAGAGTATGCTCTTTCATAAACTGTTCTCCTGGAGATGAAGAGAAGTGTTTTACTTTGCCTTTTTTTTTTTTTTTTTTGAGATGGAGTTTCGCTCTTGTTGCCCATGCTGGAGTGCAATGGCGCGATCTCGGCTCACTGCAACCTCTGCCTCCTGGATTCAAGCGATTCTCCTGCCTCAGCCTACAGAGCAGCTGGGATTACAGGCGTGTGCCACCACGGCCTGGCTAATTTTTTTTTTTTGTATTTTTAGTAGAGACGGGGTTTCTCCACATTGCTCAGGCTGGTCTCGAGCTCCCGACCTCAGGTGATCCACCTGCCTCGGCCTTCCCCAAAATGCTGGGATTACAGGCGTGAGCCACCATGCCCGGCCTACTTTGCCAAACTTTTGACTACTGATAATGTACGCGTGCCCTGGCAGGGATGGCCATTGTACTGTCAGTATCAAGGAATGGGTAACAGCACCCACCACAATGTCAGCTACGAAAGGATTCAGAAAATAGCCTTCTGTAAGTCAGAATTTATTAATTTAGGAGTAGGGCCATGGAAGATGTCAACATAGGAATAGGTTTCAGATTCTAAACTGTAGATTTAGATGATCACTTCTTAGTGTTTGTATAAAATTTACTTTATTTTTTATTATAATATTAAGTTCACTGTCCACCTTTATACTATGAAAAATGCCATCTCTCTCAATAGGGACATACCTGTATTGAAGTATACGGAAGGAAATCAGCCATAAAAGCAAAAATTGCCTGCATAGACTCACCCAAAAATGCCTTTCTCGGCCTGCCATTAATATGAACCTCATTTCTACCTAGAATTGTCTGCAATTAGAGTCATTAAGGAAGTAGAAAAAGATTTTTACTTGGAAAATGGCACTTTTTAATGTTTTAATAATTAATTCATTCAAAATACTCAACAAATGTTCATTGAGTTTCTAGTACGGTCCTGGTTCTGTACTGGCACTGAGGTTAAAGTTGTGAATAAAGCAGACACAACCCTGCTCTCATGGGCTTTCCATTGTAAGAAAAAGTAAATAAACAAACAAAACCAGTATTGTAGCTGACACCTGTTATAAACAAAACCAAACAGGATGAGGTAAGGAAAGATATTTAAGAAGAATGTCCTGGCGAAGGCCACTCAGGGGGAGATGTTTGGGGTGATGTTGAATAAGGAGAAGAAAAGAGTCATGGGAAAACCTGTGAGAACTGTTTCTGGGGCAGAAGGCAAAGTAGGCGTAAAGGCCCCGTTGCAGGAATAAGTTTGTTTTACTCAGAGAACAGAAGGTCAGTCGGCTAAAACCAAGTGAGCTAAAGGGAAGAGATAAACATACATCATGTTTTGGGAAGTCCAGTAGGCTCTGGTAAAGAGTTTATATTTTCTCCTAAGTAGACTAAGAAGTCATTTAAAAACTGTAAGCAGAGCTAGCTGGGCGCAGTGGCTCATGCCTGTACTCTCCGCACTTTGGGAGGCTGAGGTGGGCAGATCACCTGAAGTCAGGGGTTTGAGACCAGCCTGGCCAACATGGTGAAACCTCGTCTCTACTAAAAATACAAAAATTAGCCGAGCTTGGTGGCACATGCCTGTAATCCCAGCTACTCGGGAGGCTGAGGAAGAAGAATCGCTTGAACCCAGGAGTCAGAGCTTGCAGTGAGCCAAGATCGCGCCACTGCACTCCAGCCTGGGTGACAGAGCAAGACTCTGTCTCAAAATAAATAAATAAATACAAATACATCACAAATTTAATAAATAAATAAAAACTGTAAGCAGAAGCTGATACAATTTAATCTATGTTTTATGAGGATTTCACTATGAAAAATGGTCCCTGCATGAAAGAATGAAAAAAGAAAGTAATACAGACAGAAGACCACATAATTGGAACTAGAATAATAAAAGTGGATAAGCTGAGAAGTGCATAGATTTAGACAAATATTGGAAGCAGGGTTATTGGGATTTGTTAATGGATTGGAAATTTGGGAGACAGAAGAAAGATGATAGCGAGGTTTGGTGGGATGATAGTGTCACTAAGTGAGAAAAGGAACTCTGAGAGAGGAGCAGGCCTGGCGGAGGGTCCCTGGGATTGATTAGAAATCAGTGGTGTTGTTAACTGTGAGATGCTTATTAGATACCCAAGAGGGATGTGCAGAACTCAGGGAGACCACACAACTGAAAGTGTATGTTTGTAAGCACTAGCATGTGGATAGTACTTAAGCTCTGAGATTGTATAAGGCTGTCACCTTTCCTTTACAGTATAAATTCACACCAAAATTATTAGTGGAGACTATAAGACAATGGAATCATAAAAAAAAATTGTACTGCAAAAACCTATGAATGGATAAAACATTTTATTAATTGTATTTGGCACCTTGTATATACTTAGTTGATCTAGGACAGAGAAGATACTTAGTAACATTCATTTTTTCTTACTGTAAGAATAATGACCCAGGAGGCGGAGGCTGCAGTGAGCTGAGATCAGGCCACTGCACTCTAGCTGCAGGAGATAGAGTGAGACTCCGTCTCAAAAAATAAAAGAATAATGAATGCTCATCAGAGGGAATTGAATTTTATTATTCTAGGAAATCTGATGGAAAAAGTGAAAAATAAATATTGATACATTTATAAAACAATGAAAAGACTTATAAGAGAAGCCATCTAGGCTTTTTTCTATACTTAATTATACATATAAATACATCAATACTTTACTTAAAAAAATAAGACCGTAGGGCACGTTTGATTTTATGATCTGAACTGCTCACCTGACCACACAAAACAAATATTTTACCATGGCATTAAATATCCTGCTATCTGGTTGTCAGTGCTGGCATATTTTTCTATCATATGGAAAGATTACAGTTTTACTTCATCCAGTCACCTAAAGTTGGATATTTAGCTTGTGACCAGATTTTCATGATAATAAAGACTAATAGGAATATCAGCAGACATAAAATGTTTTTGGCATCTTTTTTTTTCTTGTAATGCATTCTACATATTGAAACTAATAATTGTATTTTGATACATATTGCCACGTTTTTCTCAAGGAAAATTATAGATAACAGAAAGTGTCAGCTTTCTCTGTGTGTTAAGGTTGTGGGTGGAAGCTTGGCAGTGACTCTCAGACATATTGGTATGGAACACCACTGGACTCTCTAGAGATCAAGGCAGCAGTCCTGTAGAAATGTTAGCCTGAGCTGTGTGTCACCTGGGAGTACTCCAAGGATGACCAAAAGAAATATTTTAGTTAGAAGACAATTTATAAGAAAAGTTTAGAGGCTTCCTAGAGAGGTCATAGCATACACAATTTTATTTCATCCTTTAGGACAAGCCCTATATGTATGTTCTGCACACATCCCCTCCCGCACCCTCCACAAAAAAAAAAAAAAAAAGCTGAGATCTGATGTAAATAGATAACTGGATTATAGCTTGGTCCATAAGGAATATCTCAGAAACTTCAATATTCCTTCACCCCCTCTGCAAATCCTTCTGAATTGAGAATGGGAACCTTGGCAACAGAGGGGAGTCATGAACCTCCCTTTTCCATCTGTGACTCTGACATCTTCCTCTGGGTCAGCCATTGTGCAAACTCTCACTTAATTTCTGGCAGTTTCCTGCATTCCAGACCTGTTTGTGAAATAGGCAATATTTGTCCCTTTGAAAATCACCTGTGATAAATGTGGTATAGCCCATGGCCAGTGAAGATTTTCCTATGGGGAGACATATTCCTAAGTGTTAACATTAACGTTTCCAGATGTTTGAGTCAGACTCAATTGCCCTTTAATATTATAGATTGAAAACAACATTTGGTTGATCTTAGTATATCTGATTGAGGAAATATGAGACCCTTTTTAATTTAGATTTGCTCACCTAGCAAACTTACTTTGAAATTTCTTGGTCATATTATGTTTGCTTACGGCAAAGTTATCAGCAAAAAAGTCACAGTTATGCAGCAATTTATCTTTAAACACTAAATGACATCTATCATTTTTCAAAGAAAATAATGTCAGCAGTTAAAATCCTAACTGCTTGAGCACTGTTAGTTGACAATTATATTGCCCCATTGCTTAGAAATTAATTGACCTACTTTCAATAAGAAACATAAAAAGTAATATCACAGCAATTTTCTGGATTTATTTTATTGCAAAACCAATAAATGTTACAGTGTCGTTAAAAGTAATAGATTTAAAAAACATTTTATTTTCTTAAACCTAACAATTCAAATAACATAAAATAATATTACGTTTCTATTAAGCATTCATTTTTATAGAGACCAAAACTTCTTTACAAAATGTCTTCATGTATAATATAAATTAGATGTGAGAAAAGCAATAATCATAATCATTGCCTAAATCCACAAAATAAGTAGATATTCTATAATATGTATTTCAGTAATCACAATGTAGTGGATTCAGGCAGAGATGAGAGACACTCTGATTTTAGTAGAAAAAGACTGTGCTAAATTACCTCTTTGCCTTTTTTCACTCTGTTCCTAGGATACCAATATAATAAATAGTACCTTTAGAACTGTGATACACTGAGAAAAGTTCTAATTTAAATCTCAATAGATGATTACACAGGTAGTGTTTACACACACACACACACACACACACACACACACAATGACAGGAGTTTTTAAAGATATTAGTATCTCGGAATTTTTGTATTCTGAAAACTGTCCAAGCTTTTATCATTAAATCACTTGTTATGAAACACACTTTAGAAACACCCTTTCCTATTTTTAATAGCCTATGATAGTCATACAGAATGAGTTAATCATAATTGATTGGTCAATTGCTAATTCCGAATTCTTTGACCATAGCACGTCAGCTGATTCTATGAACTTCTACAGACTCTTTCCCTTGGTCGGGGAATTGCCACAACACTCTGACTCCTTTCCCCACAACTCCATTACATGACATTGTCACCTCCCCAGGCTTATGATACTAATATTCCAGAGGGACGAACAGTTCTTGATTTTGAATAGAAATGCAGTACTGACCAAAACTGATTTAGTTTTGGTTCAGAAGGAAGCGCTGGATATGCCCTCAATAACTTTCCATGGTCATCTAATTCAGCAATTAGTTTGTCTGAGTAAATTCAATGGAAGGCTGCTTTCTCGAATGGGTAGTGTAATGCACTGACTTCCCTATTAGACATTTCATTTAAAAACATCAATTGTCTGCATAAAACAACCATTTCCATCAGTGTACATTCAACTGGAAAGGAAAGCTTGAGGACTTTTTTTTGAAAGTAGTGGGATTGGGGTTGGCCATTGGTAATTTCTTTTTGATTAAAGCGTATGTAATTGTTTTGTGTTGGATACAAATTTATTTATGTGGATGCCTCTGATCTTATGTTATCATTTCCCATTAAGACCTGAGCTGTTTATCTGCTGGGTTTTCTGGTCATAAAATGTTGAAAGGACGTTAAAATGTAGAACTTTTATATTTTTTATTTAGGTGACTAGGATAAATTCTGGTAATTTATAGGCTAAAACTTAAATGTATTTCTGCTTAAAATATTTTGAAATATGGTTTATTTCACAAATGAGGTTCCAAACTATAACCAGCTCTCACTAAATTCATATTTATGTGTTTATGTATTTATTTATTTATTTATTTTTGAGACAGAATCTCGCTCTGTCGCCCAGGCTGGAGTGCAGTGGCGTGATCTCGGCTCACTGCAAGCTCCGCCTCCCGGGTTCACGCCATTCTCCTGCCGCAGCCTCCCGAGTAGCTGGGATTACAAGCGCCCACCACCACACCCAGCTAATTTTTTGTATTTTTAGTAGAGATGGGGTTTCGCCATGTTAACCAGGATGGTTTCGATCTCCTGACCTCGTGATCCACCCGCCTCGGCCTCCCAAAGTGCTGGGATTACAGGCTTGAGCCACGGCACCCGGCCAAAAGATCATTTTTAAATTATGCATCTGGGAATATATTATCAAACCAGGCCTGAAACTTATTAAAAAGACGGTAAAATCTAATTTAACTTCATTTAATACTCCTTTCCTCTTAGTCTTATCAAAGCAAATGAGCTTGGCTTTTAATTATGAAAATGTAATTTTAATTTATAAGACATATAACAAAGCAAGATAGCTGCTAAATTCACTTTATCCTAGTAACTTCCTATTGTATACATTCATTTTTAATGTAATAAGAAATCCTTCCAAAATTTTTAAAAGAATCACATTACCCAAGAAGAGGCTCAACATTTCTAGAAAATAAACATGTTCTTAAGACACTTAACAATTCTTGAAATGAAGACCTAACTCTTCAGGGTTTTAAAATATTTGATGTGCACTCTTTACATATATAGTTTAAATTTAATAATTACCCTTCTCAAAAAATAAGTGAAACATACCACAAACATATCAAAGCAAGTTATTCATACTTCTCATTTAAGTAACTGTATTGTCATAGCAAAATTATTTTGTATCATCAAAAAGCACAAAAGCCTTATTAGAATACTAATTTCAACATCTGTTTCACAGATTTGCTCATAATAGATGTTTTTCATGCTTCTGCACTAATTCATTGAAGGACAATGTTTTACCGATTCTTGAAAAACTATCATTATCTGCCCCACAGTGGTGGCTCATGCCTGTAATCCTAACACTTTGGGTGGCCAAGGCTGCCGTTTTGCTTGAGCGCAGGAGTTCAAGACCAGCCTGGGCAACATGGTGAAAACTCATCTCTACCAAAAAAAAAAAAAAAAAAGTAAAAAGTTAGCCGGGCAAGGTGGCGGGCACCTGTAGTCCTAGCAACTCAGGAGGCTGAGGTAGGAGGATCACCTGGGTCTGGGAGGTTAAGGTTGTGGTGAGCCATGATTATGCCACTGCATTCCAGTGTGGGTGACACAGTGAGACCTTGTATCAAAAATAATAATAATATAAAATAGAAAATAAAAATATCATTATCTGACATTTTAAAAAGTATATTTCCTAACCTATAAATATACTTTGTAGATTAACAAGAGAAAAATTTCAAGATATTGTAAATTTAAAACAAATCTTTATGTATAATATCATTGTAATGTCTTTGACCAGTATCAATCTATCATGTGAGATAAAAAATATTAAACATTCATTTATTGAATAAATGAATGAAAATCATAATTACCTCGATCACTATATTTAAAATTTAAATGAAGCAGGAAAGTAAATCTTCCTAATTATCATATACTTAGCTGTTTAAAATCACTCTAATGACAAGTAATATGCTTTCACTCTTGAATTATACTTTTAAAATGCCTGTATTGTTTCATTCACTCATGCTTCCATTAGTTCAGTGAACAAATATTGATTACTTACCCACTATGTGCCAGGTATTATGATAGATTCAGGGAGTACAAAAATGATTAAATGAGGGGATCAGTTGGAGTGACTGTTTTCTAGAAACAATGCCTATTTCAGTTATGAACTAGTCTGTTTTGAAGAAAATGGTGAGGGAAAGCTAAAAATAATATTTTCACTTTATTCAACAAATCTTATTGAGGTCTTATTATGAATCAGGGGCTCTCCTAGGTACGGGCATACAAAATTGATTAAGACCATACTTGCGTGCAGAAAACAAACAGAAAAGCATCTCTATAATAAAAAGGAAAAAGAGGAATCCCCTTTGTAGGTTTCATAGTTTATACTGATATTTCTGATGTCGTCTCAGAGAATTAGTCACAATTATAGGAACTCAGAAGGCATTCCGTGGAGATGAAATAGAGACTAAACTAGCAGAGATTACTTAGTGAAATATTGTGATACCATTTATTTCAATTAGAAAATAGTTATAATTCATTTTAGAAGATATTATGGCTTACACTTAGTAGATGTGATGACTGAATAACAGGATTGTTGAACGATGGCACCTTGGTAGCCATTAGCCATTGCCACCATGATTCTGCATTAAAAAATCTATGCAAAACGCCCGGGCATGGTGGCTCACGCCTGTAATCCCAGCACTTTGGGAGGCCGAGGCGGGCGGATCACGAGGTTGGGAGATTGAGACCATCCTGGCTAACACGGTGAGACCCCGTAACTACTAAAAATACAAAAAATTAGCTGGGCATGCTGGCACGCGCCTGTAGTCCCAGCTACTCGGGAGGCTGAGGCAGGAGAATCGCTTGAACCTGGCAGGCGGAGGTTGCAGTAAGCTGAGATCGCGCCACTGCACTCCGGCCTGGGAGACAGAGTGAGACTCCGTCTCAAAAAAAAAAAAAGAAAAACTTTGGAGTATATTAATAAACATTGTGTTTTTTTAAAAAAAAATTTAAATCTTTAATTTCCGTTTTCACGATTTTTCTTCTTGCTTCCAAAAGGAAAGGAGTGCGTAGCTCTGTTGCCTTTACATCGTCCACGGCCCCTGGGTTGGGGCGGGGTCCCCCGGGCCGCCCGGGGGTCCACATGCAGTCCCTGGGGGGGCCGGCGCGGGGTGAGGTCCGGGGGCTGCCTTATTGCTGAGGTCCGGCCGGTTGGGGCCCTGGCGGCCGCTAGGCGCTCTGGCTGCGCAGCTCCTGGGAGATGAAGCGGGCAGGCGCTCCAGGTACTGGCTGTAGAGCTGGATGTCTTTGTGCCCGGCGCCCTCCACCCACAGCGGCTCCACGGCGTTGGGGCAGCGCTGGGAGAGCGCCAGCCCGTGCGAGAAGTCCATCACCTCGTCTTTCGTGTCCTGGATGATGAGCACGGGCGGCGTGATCTTGGACACCTTCTGGATTCTGCGGGAGGGGCGTGGGGCGGGTGAGACCTCGCCCGGCCCGGGCCCCGCCCCGCTCCGCCCCCGCCCCCGTCCCCGCCCCAGCCTGCTCACTTGGGGAAGGCATCGAAGCAGTAGGTCTTGGTGTCCGGAAGGCGACGCTCAGGTCCAAGGTGAGCGGCGAGTGCAGCACCACCGTGGCGGACTCGTAGCGCGAGGCCAGGTCCACGGTGGGCACCGTGCCGATGCTCTGCCGGTACAGGATGATGCCGTCCGGGCTGATGCGGTACCTGGCGGCACCTGAGCAGGGTCAGCCTAGGCCTCCAACGCGCGCGCACCCCTCCTGCCAGCGGGCGTCCCCGGGCCCAGCTCCGGATGCGACTCTCCAGTCTCCCCGCTCAGCCAAGTCAGTTGGTCAGGCCCAGGCTCCACACCAGTCTCAAGGGCCACCCCCAAGCCCCCCAACACCGCAGCGGTGGGCGAAGCCGGCGGCCTGGTCCTGTTCCCTGCCACTATGGTTCACTGGCGTTTCCTAGCCAGGATCTGCTGGATCCTGGCTAGGGAGTCCCCCTCAGGCTAGGGTAGGGGAAGCCCTGGCACCTCTCCTCCTCTTGGTCACCCCTAGGCGCACACTGGGAACTGTGTGGCCTCCCACATCCTGAATGCTTCACGCCTTCCTGCCCAGGTTAGAAAGCTCTTCCTGGTGCACTGGCCGGGACAGGGTACACTCTTCCTCCCTGCAGCCCTTGCCTACCCCCTTGGCCATGAGGAATTCAGGCAGCTGTGTCCCCAGATGTCTCCACCCAATTTTGGACTCTCAGAGTCCCATGCCCAATGAGCTGCCAGCCCAACCCAGGTCAACATCGAGGGTGGTGGCTGCGGGGGCAGCATCTCCTCCCACCAGTGCCTTCCCTTGGGAGTGGACAAGTCCTCCGCCACCTCAGCACCACCAGCTCCCACCCAGGGCCACCCCCACTCCCAGGTCACTGGTGTGCGGCCCCTGGCCCAGCTGACCCAGCACCAGTCCCAAGGCCTCCTCATGCCCAGTCCCAACCACGCGGGACCCACCTGCCACCCTGTCGATGCCGAGACCCCAGAACTCTCCTCCCACAAGCTCCAGGCTCTGATGCCAGGCAGATGCCCTCCTGCAAGGCAGGAGCATGGGCAGGTGTGCGTCCCGTCTGGCTGGCATTCGGACTCCACCAGCAGGGCTGTCTCCCTCCCTGGCCTGGAATCCCAGCCTCCTGGCAGCACTCCACAGCTCACTGCTCACCCATGCCCCAAAGGATGCTGCCTGGCTTGTGCCTGTGGCTGCAGCTCTGCCTCAGCCTCCCTGGCCTGCTCCCTGGCAGCCAAGGCCAGTAGTGTGCTGAGCCAGCCCAGCCCTGTCACCTGCTCCAGGCAGGAGCCCCCAGCTGCCACCTAGATGTCACCACTCAGACAATCAAACAAGACACATCCTCCATAGAGGCCCTGAGCGCTATCTGGCCTCCCCCTCACGGCTCTGGGCTGAGGATCCTGCAGGACAAAGCGACAGCAGGACAGACGGCAGAGTAGACAGAGCTCAGAGCTGGCCATGGGGGGTGTGACTCTGCCAGTGCCCCGGGCAGTAGAGACAGGAGGGGGTCCAGGAAGCTGCATGAAGTGGTGCTTGGTTTCGGCGCCCCACACTGCCGGGAGGCCCCCAGAGCCAGGGTGGTGCCAGGGGACCCAGCTCCCACGCCCACAGCAGGGACTGCCTGGGATATCTCCAAGGCAACGAGGACCCCACCTCCCAGGGCCTCTGACTTCTCAGAGCTGCGCCTGGCCCCTGCAGGAGCGGGTCAGACCACTGGGCTGGGCAGGGCAGGGCCAGGACGAGACAGCCCCAGCGGGTGGTGAGCAGGAAAGGCCCCCAGAGGCCCACGCGGGTCTTCTAGTCCAGAGCAGCACTGGCCCGGGTGGTGCTCAAACACCAGTGAAGGGCCCAGGCAAGCGCAGGGCTGGGGACCTGGATGATTAGGAGGGCTGGATCTGGAATCGAAGCTGGCCGAGACCTCAGGTGTGTGCTGGGGGTCTGCACCTGACCCTGCAGGCCCTGCCCCGGGATGGCTGAGCTCCACAGCCACGGGGCCTCATGGGCCAGGCCTTGGGACCTCGATGCAGCAGCCTCGCCTCACCTGGCCCCAAGTGCGGCCTCAGCCCGTGGGCTCCCAGCCACACATGCACAGACCCCCTGACACCACCCACCCCCTCCCGCCAGGTGGTGTCCACGCCCCTGTGACAAGCTCAGCCCCTTCCTGTCCTCAGGCCAGGGGATCCCAGGGAGCCTGGCTCCACAGGCCAGGGTGTGGGGGGACCTCCTGGCCACACCTCAGCCATGTGGAGGCAGCACCCGCATGCCTGAGCTCACCTGTCCGGCTCTCTGGCAGCATGCGTCCACTGTGGCTCCTCTCCTGCAGGGCCGCCCACCTTCCTCCCAGGGAAGCCCGCCCCTCCCCCCGGCCCCTGGCCCCCGGCCTGGTCCCCTCTCGGGTGTGCCCAGGCTGAGCTGCGCCCGGGGTCGCCCTCACCTGGTGCGCAGGGCCTGCCAGGCGGCGTTGATGTCGGCGTAGAGGTTCGTCTCGGAGGGCCTGCCCGAGCTGGCACCGTAGCCAGAGTAGTGGTAGGAGAAAATGTTGCAGTGGAGGCGGGAACACAGGCCAATGTAGAAGCTGCTCATCTGGCCCAGGTCCACCGCGTTGCCTTCCTTGTTCATGCACCTCTGGTCAGACGCAGTTCAGCTGATCTAGGCTGGGCTTGGCTAGCATTGGCTTGAAGCTGCAGCTGGTGTCCAGATCTGTTCTACGTATTTGTGATTCTCCTCAGCCCTCCCGGGTACTTGAAGCATGTTATTGTTATGGCAAAAGTCAGGAGTGCAACCTGCCTGTGCAAAAACATGCCAGGCTTCTGTTGCCTGAAATCCTCTAAGATACCCCTTTGGCTTAAGCAAAATCACACAGCAAGGATCAAAGTCAAGGAGTGGGGAATTATATCTGTCCCTTAGAGATGGAGATAGGAGAGAGTGTGAACAAATGCAGGAAAATGATCTCATCTACCAGAGTGTCCTTAAATATTTTAACATAATAAATTCAGTATTGTTTTTGTTTGATTGAATGAAGCTTTGCATGGACACAGTACAGTACAAAAGTACTATTTGAACTCTTTCTCCACATTCATAAAATTGCTAGTTTCTACCATGATTATATTTTTATGATCCATTTTTGTGTACAGATCTGAAAACTTTATACTAGAATTTATTAGCTGAGGAAAGGAACATCCACTGACATCATCATATACAAATATTTCTCAACATTTTAATGCTTGTGGTATTGTTAATGTTTCTGTGGAAAAAAAATCACAGAAGTGATTTCTAAGTCAGTTATTGATTTATTCTAATGAATTATAAAAATCAGACTAAATTACTAATAGAGAAATTACATTTGAAATACTAGTCTGAGCTACAGATGAGATGGATTTTTGTGCTCATCATTTGTACTCTAGCTATGTTTGTTGAGATTGGGTTATTAAAACATAATTATAACATTATCAGCAGAAAAGCCTGTTGTGCTATAATTAAATCATCTAAACAATCATTTTTGTGGTCTTAATATCCTGGATTTCTCAATTCATTGTAGTAGATAAGATTTCTCTTTAAATACTACTTACTATCAGTAGCTTGCTTTTCTGTGAATGCTAGAAAATTTAGAATTCTGCATTAACATTTAACAAAATATATGCTATCCTAATATTGATGCATTATATTTATCTATACAACATGCAACAAGAGAGAAATACTGGATGAATCAGAATATTTGCAGCCTATGGCAATTATCTGTAGCAACATTTTTTTTGTCTTCAGAAAAATATAGATGATTTTGGAAATGGATTAGTTCTAGTTTCAATCTAGGAAGAACTACTTATGGAAGTTTTGTGTACAGGATACTGATGTTTTCAAATATAATGCATTATTATTTTAGTTTAGTTTCTTTTACCACATACTTAGAAATTGTTCAAGTGAACAGGCTATTAAAACTAATGGTATAGATAAATGGTATAGATAGGCCTTGTAAACATCCCACTTTTCCCAAGCCATGAATTTTAACACCTGATTAAGGAGATGAAAATGGAGCCATTGGGAATGTGAATTCTTTGCTAATAATTATTTTTCTTCCTTTAAAAAGATTCTTCAAAAGGCAAGAATATGGAAGTATTTCAGGAGATACTCTTGAGGTATCTAAAATACATACTCTTCCTATCAAAATCAGTAAATAGATTGATGTAAGTAAGATAAAGTCAGGGCAACTGGTTTTGCATGTGAGTGTACACACAGACACATATCCATGTATTCTCCATCTGTTCTCAGTTACTGAATTATTAGACCCAACTGACCACTTGACTGTGTTTAACCTGATAAACAGACTCTTAACAAGAACAATATTTTAAAAGCTGGATTGTTCCTCCTACTTCTCAGCATGCATCAGCCACTCTCTTTCCCCATCCTATCTCCTGCCAAATGGTCTCTAAATATCTGTTCCACTTGGAGACACTATTGGATGTTGTTGTAAATGACTTTAATGAATATTCACTCTACCTGCTTTCATATTAATTCAGTTTTCCTAGGATGGTCTCTATGGGATCAAGCAAAAGGACTTAGTGGAATATCTCTATCTGACTCCATAAAGTAAAGAATGTGGTGAGTTTAACAGAGTGCCCCTTCCTTTACTAAATGTGAATGATGTTTCAGTATAGGAGGCCAGAGTGAAAAGTCCTAACGTATGTTTGTTTGGGCAGCCAACAATTGGTCACATTGTACATTTCATGTTACAAAGGAGCCTCATGGTAGTATAAATGAGGGTCGGGAAAAGACACTTAACTGCTCAGGGCTTTAAAATGGAGCCAGAGCAAGAATTGTAGAAGTTGACAATATCAGGAAGGAAACCTCTGTAAGCAGGCACGCAGGGGAACTCCAGAAATCTCTTCTTTGCCCCTACAACTCTGGACTTTCAGAAATACACACCCCATCCTCCTGTATTAATACAAAATTCATGTTCACAACAACATCAAAAATCAATTTTAAAATAGTAAACCTAAGGTAGACGGAAAGACATTATAGCCTCAGCATGCCTGAGATGTGAGGAGCAAATCAGAAAGATGTTGAGTGTGAAGAGAAAGGGACATCGTGATAACCAATCATTTAAAATTTTTACTCCAGAGAAATGGCAATATTTCACAGATTGTTTCTCATCACCAATCTCACAAGTATAAGTATTTTCTGAAAATTTTCCTCTCAATTTTTTTCCTTGACAGTGAAGTCCAGAATAGGTTGGTTTAGATCTTGCTCTTTTCAGCCTCAATACTCCATAATCACCTTGGCTTTTTTGATTATGACTGGATGGCATGTACTATTATTTTAATATTAAAGATTTAGTAAATAATTTTAAATGTTATCCTTAAATAACTGTGGGCTTTATTCATTTACTGTACATATTTTGAAAACATTCATAAGAACTTAAGGATTTTAATTCAAATGGTCTCTAAAGTAGAAAATGCACTCACAGATTATGCGTATGTCTTTTAAGAAACAGAAACGTGCCATTTGTTTTTAAATTGAGTAGACTTTGTATCCTTTAGAATTTGGGCAGAGTTTTCTTGCTATATTGTAGAGAACCTATCAACCATATCTTAATTTTCTTCTTCTTGAGGTTTTCAAAATTAACATTGGCATTGGTCCACTAATTCCTTGTTTTCTATTTTTGGATGAGTGTGCATAATTACCTCCATCTTAATTTTCAACATAAATGTTTAGCAGAATCTTTCATGTTTCATTGCCATGTAAGCAGATGTGGTTTTTATTCTTTTTCCTTTTCATTGAACAGTTACTTCATTTGAAATTTTTCACTTGATTTAACTTTTTTTTTTTGGTGGTAGATACATCTGTTGCCACCTGTGTCTGGTTGGCATTTTAATGTGTTGCCTCAAAGCTGTAACCACAATAGTGGCACATTTTCCTGCTGTTCCTTTATTCTTTGTTTCATGTGTATCTGTTTTCAAGAAATTGCATTGGTATACTATCATAGCTTTTTTTGTCTCTCAGATTTTCTATTGTAATTGTTTATATTTATGCATTTGGAAATATTTCATGATTGTTACATAAAACAGCAGAGCTCTTTTAGAAAGTTTTCATGGTTTCCCAAATGTACAATCATATAGATTATTTAGTAGTTATTACATAATGATCTTTGGAGCAATAAATGCTGTTATATAAGAACAATTCCCAAATGTAATTTGAAAGTTATAAGCTAGGCTTTGACGGCCTAGAATTAATGTACCTTTATAATTCTAATCTGCATGCAAATTTAAGAAGACCACGGATTGAGGACTGGGTGCATAATTTTCAGGGCCCAGTAAAAAGTGAAAATGTAGAACCCTTTGATAAAAAATTACAAAGAATTTCAAGATGACCATAATAGGCCATGCACAAGGCCTTTCTAAATGGGTAGAGTGATCATGAAGCCATGGGCATTGTTTTGTTTTGTTTAATCTTACTGTTTGGTTGTAAAGCAGATCTTTAAATCAAGAGAAAAAAGAATGCCAAAGAACATCTCAATCAAAATGTTTTAAACATTATAGAAGATTAGATCCATATAAATGAAAGGGATAAAGAAAAAGCACATATCCAACCTCAAATATAAAGCATGGAATTCTTATGTGAACTCCATTATAGCACTTGATATTTCAGCTCTATTTTCATTTTTGAACAACTCTAGATATATCTATATATTTTAGTCTAAAATTTAATTTTTATAAGTTCTAAGTTCTTCCCCAAATTCTACCTTAGATAAACAATTCAGAGATACCTGTGTTTCCTATTCTATTAGGTGGAACCATATGAAATTGTCAGTATTCAGCCTTTTCTGTCCTACAAAAAAATGACAGCTTTGTGTTTCCACCTAACACATGGCAGCCCAATAAATATGTGACAGTCAGGACCATAGAGCTACCACACTAAACAATACTAAATGCATACACATACCCTTTCCAAAACCCTGGCAGGTCTTCTTTTCCCCAAAAGAATCATTCTTTGACTCTTCACCCATTATTCATGTGAGAAATTTTCCAGGCCCGTCAACATGTCAGTTGAGTGACTGTAACAATTAGATCTATCGATTCTCCTCTCACAATTTGACATTCTTTATTGAAAAGCATGATCTAAATGTTGACTAATAGTCTGCAGAGTGAAACATGTTTACTAGTTCCCATGACCTAAAACAGTGTAAAACCATGATTCAAAAATTTCTTTTCTTAAAAACTTCTAAACAATATGTCTGCCGGGATAAACTGGTGCAATTTCTATGTGGAACCTAAAGAATTTCAATGACACATTTTCATCCTTATTGCTGTTAAATAATCCCTTCAATAGTGCCCCATCTTCTGTACTCCTTCATACGATTTTCTATCTTATTATTTTCCATCATTCTTTCTGTTACAACTATAATAGTTTCTTTGGAGAAACTATAGATTTTCCCACTTCAGAGGCATTTCTGCATTGAGCTCTCATAAACCTCTCTAACATGGTGGGAAATAGACTCAATAACATTTGTGTATGAATTCAGTTGTGAATTACTTAAGGCTCATCTATAACATCAAAAAGCAACTTGGTAAAAACAATTCTATTGAAGATTATATGATCTAAGTATATATAACTTTAGGATGGCTTCGACTGAGACAAAAATAGTATCGATACAGTGTGGAGCAATGAATTTCTAAAATTTTTATCTGCTTAACATTTTTCAACAGCACAATTTATACAGAAGCCCAACATGAGACATTCTTGTTCACATGGAATTTCTCTGCCCGCTTGAGCCCTGTAGAAATACCACAGTGTTGGTAAACAGCAACAGCAACAAGAAGATACTAAGCTTGAATTCTCAGTGGCTCAACCACACCAAAGTTTGTGGGTTGCTCCCATAAAGTTCAATGTCAGTCAGAATAAACTCCTCTATCATTAACCTATGACACACATTGCACGTAACCTTCAAAGTACTGGAAGTGGAAAAGGAGAGAACCTGGGAAGGAGGCAGGGGCTTTTTACTGCCTCAGCCCCAGAGTGATTCATGGCACTTCACCTCAGAGTCTCTTAGATCTTTCCACGTGATCCCAACATAACTGGATGTCTCTGAAATATCTGGGAGGGCATGAAGATTCATTACATGTCTTAGTATTCATTACATGTCTGTTTACAGACTCCATTTTGCTTTCTAAGATGCTCCCTGACTCTTCTCAGAAGCTTTACATAACATGCTATATAAAACACTGATCTAATCAAAATATCACCCTATACCCTATAAATATGTACAATGATGTGTCAATTTAAAAATTAAAGCAAAAAATCCACTGATCTAAAGGGATGATTTCCTCATGCTTCAGGTAATTCTTCATGGAATATTAGTCTCCAATACCAAACTTTTCTTAAGAATTTGGCTGCAAAGAATCCAATAATGTATTTTCAGAAAGAGATTGGAATGCCACAATCTTGTGCATCAACAAAAGAGTGTGTCCCTTTTTGACATTTGGGTCTCTGCGTGACTTCTGACAGAAAGGACAGGCTCAGAGGACACATGGGCATGTCCAAAATTTAATTTCTAAAAGGCTTCTCGATCTGCCCTAATGAAGACATGAGTCTAGAAAGTTTCTGACCTCCAGAGCACAGACAGTGCTTCTTCGGAGAAATTATAGATTTTCCCACTTCAGAGGCATTTCTGCATTGAGCTCTCATAAACCTAACATGGTGGGCAAGTTGGTATTTCAGTCCTTCACATTTAGCTCTGAGTTTAGTACTTGATGGATTTTAAATTAAGTTTCTTTGACATGAAATGAAATCTTCAGCTGCCTGTTAGTTCCAAAGCAGGCCCTCAAGCTCAACACATTAAAAAATTAGTCGTTTCCTCAGAATCTTGTTCTTCCTTCAGAGTTTCCAATTTTTGTTACAGATACCACCTGTCAGACAGTCATTTGGGCTTAACATTTTAAAGTCTGTTCTGGGTCTTCCACATTCATTATTCTCTACAGTCAATCACATTCCAAGGATTGTTGCCTCCAATGCATGCCTTTTTCTCAGTTTTATTTTCTCCCATCAGAGTCATGCACAGATTAGCTCTCAAGTGAGCTATTATAATGGCCTCCTAGCATCTAAACTCTCTTTTTCCAATTGATAGTTCTGCCAGAGTTGTCTTCTTAAAGCAGAGGTTAGACCGCATTTCTCTAAGTAAATTCCAACGACACCAAAATAGTGATTCTTAATAAGTATTACAAGTAGGGAAATACAGATGGGAGAGTTTCCTTGGTAAATAAGTTCATAAAATCTAGGTTAAACAATGTTAAATGGGGTTTGCTTTTTGCTGTTGCTTTGTTAATGTGCATTTGAAATTTCTAAAGTGGCATTACATATCCATAATTTCCCTTATCTGTTTGACAAAGGAATCTGGTTTGTTTAGAAGCATTTTTTCAGAACTTCTATAGGTCAACCTTTCAGAAATTCCTCATTATCAACAGTCAAATACAGATGTATTTTCTTTGGCTCTCGCAACAGGCTTAGAGGAATTTCTAGTCTGTTCTTGTGACGTTTCATTATATGCATCTTTTGCTCAGGCCTGTTAAACCTACTCAACGTGTGTATCTTCTACTCCATGTCTTTATTCTTACTGTTGTCTTAACATGAAATCCTTGCAACCCAATTCATAGTTTTTGTACTTTGGAAAAATCCAGATTATGTATCATCAATACATATTTTTTCTCTATTGAGATTTTCCTGTTTTTATGTATCACAGCCAGAAGTAATCACTGCATAGAGTATTTCTGCAGAAAGATGGAAGAGTTCTATTTTAACACAATATTTACTATACACCCAGCAAAGGTCTAGGTATTTATAGATACTATTTTATATATTCATCCCATCAATGCTATGAAGAAATATTAATAAACCCATTATATATGCTAAAAGGTAGCGACACATATATGCCACATGTGCAGGTTTTCTCAGGTATTATTAGCTAGGGAAGCTGTGTTGTAACAGTCTTCAAAAACTTCCTTCTATTGTTTACATGCTATTCCACATCATTTTGTTTTCATTTCTTTTGTAGTATCTAATGTATTCTACTAAAAAAAAAAGTACAGAAGTTGGAAAACTCTTGTGAAAAAACATATATTACATATATACTATTCTTCATGATGCTCAAAATTTTCATCATTATTAACATTTTGTATATATGTGTGTGTGTGTGTGTGTATGTATGCGTGTTAGATATATAATTTAAAAGAAAACAATAAGTTGGTGGCTTATGGCATATTGTTCCTTAAGTCCTGCATTTGAAACACACTGAGTGAATCAGCACATTTGATCATCTTTTAACTACAGTAGATGATTATACATTAAAAATGCATTAACCATCCAAATACATCTTTTTTATTTATTTATTTATTTATTTATTTATTTTTATTTATTTTGAGACGGAGTCTTGTTCTGTTTGTTGCCCAGGCTGGAGTGCAGTGGCGTGATCTTGGCTCATTGCAAGCTCCGCCGTGACCTTGGACATATCCCTAATATTTTCAAGCCTCAGTTTCTCGTCTTTAAAATTAGAATAAAGATACCAAACTCCTGGGGTTTTGTGAGAGTAAAATGAGACGATGTTTGTAAGAGACTCAGCGCAGTGTCAGTATCTACCATGTGCTATGTACTCTGCGTTTTCTTTTTTTCTTTTTTTTTTTTGAGACGAAGTCTCGCTCTGTCACCCAGGCTGGAGTGCAGTGGCGCTATCTCCGCTCACTGTAAGCTCCGCTTCCCGGGTTCAAGCCATTCTCCTGCTTCAGCCTCCTGAGTAGCTGGGACTACAGGCACCGTCCACCACGCCCGGCTAATTTTTTTTTTTTTTTTTTTTTTTTTTTTGTATTTTTAGTAGGGACGGGGTTTCGCCGCGTTAGCCAGGATGGTCTCGATCTCCTGACCTCATGATCCGCCCGTCTCGGCCTCCCAAAGTGCTAGGATTACAGGCGTGTGCCACCGCGCCCGGCCCTGCGTTTTCTACTGTGGATGCTACTGAATGTTTTTAGTATTTGCTGTATGTCAAGAGCTCTTCTAATTAAACTCTATGCGTAATGACTCACTTAAAGGTTACTATTATTATCCCTATTGTAAGAAATGGACATTGGGGCACAAAGAGGCTTAGAAACTTGCTCAAGATCACATACCTGGCTGAGCGCGGTGGCTCACACCTGTAATCCCAGGACTTTGGGAGGCCGAGGCAGGCGGATCATGAGGTCAGGAGATCGACACCATCCTGGCTAACACGGTGAAACCCCGTCTCTGTCTGTCTGTCTTTCTCTCATCTCACTCTGTCACCCAGGCTGGAATGCAGTGGCACAATCTCAGCTCACTGTAATGTCTGCCTCCTGGGTTCAAGCGATTCTTCTGCCTCAGCCTCCGGAGTAGCTGGGAGTAGAGGCATGTGCCACCATGCCTGGCTAATTTTTGTATTTTTAGTAGAGATGGGGTTTCACCATGTTGGCCCAGCTGGTCTCAATCCCCTGACCTCTGGTGATCTGCCAGCGTTGGCCTCCCAAATTGCTAGGATTGCCGGTGTGAGCCACCACACCTGGCCTTTATTTCTTTATTTTCTATTGTTTGTTTGCAGTGATAGGATCCCCAATTCAGAAATCAAGTAAAGGAAGTATGCCTCCAAGAGGTATTGGAGTAGATAAACTAGATATTACAAAGCCTACAGATTCAGTCTATTAATTTTTAAAAATAAATTATTAATTTATTTATAAACAGTGTGTGTGTGTGTGTGTGTATGTGTGTGTGTGTGTGTGTGTGTGATGGAGTCTCGCTCTGTCGCCCAGGCTTGAGGGCAGTGGTGCAGTGGCCCGATCTTGGTTCACTGCAACCTCCCCCTACCGGGTTCAAGTGATTCCCCTGCCTCAGCTTCCTAAGTAGCTGGGATTACAGGCACCCGACACCAGGCCCGGTTAATTTTGTATGTTTAGTGGAGAGGGTTTCACCATATTAGCCAGGATGGTCTCGATCGCCTGACCTCATGATTCGTCCACCTCAGCCTCCCAAAGTGCTGGGATTATAGGTGTGAGCCACCGTGCCCGGCCTATTTAAACAAGTTTTTAAAATAAATTATTTTATTTTAACTTATCATATTCCTTTATTCAGGGAGATAAGTTACTGAGATAACTGGTAGTAGGCAAAGAGAAGAAACAGGGTGAAGTCAGGTTTGTTGGTGGAGGAAAAATGATACTAAAGACTGCCCAACAAATATTCAGAATCCAGAAATGTTCATATTTCTCCATGGTTCAATTTCTCATGGGTCACTTTTCATTACAAGGATTCTGGAGAGCAAATAAGACAGGATTCTCTCAGGTATCAACCCAGTCTTTTTTTTTTTTTTTTTTTTTGAGACAGAGTCTCGCTCTGTGGCCCAGGCTGGAGTGCAGTGGCGCCATCTTGGCTTACTGCAACCTCTGCCTCCCGGGTTCAAGAGATTGTCCTGCTTCAGCCTCCCGAGTAGCTGGGATTACAGGCCCACGCCACCATGCCTGGCTAATTTTTGTATTTTTGGTAAAGACAGCGTTTCACCATATTGGTCAGGCTGGTCTCGAACTCCTGACCTCAGGTGATCCACCCGCCTCGGCCTCCCAGAGTGCTGGGATTACAGACGTGAGCTACCGTGCCCGGGCCAACCCATAGTCTTTCAGTCTTCTCTCAGCCAAGGCATCCAGTGAAAATACAATTTATTTTTCAGATTCCTCTGGAGAATTAAAAAGTCTCTTTTGCGGCTGGACACGGTGGCTCACACCTGTAATCTCAGCACTTTGGGAGGCTGAGGTGGGCAGATCACAAGGTCAGGAGATCGAGACCATCCTGGCCATAGCCAACACGGTGAAATCCTGTCTCTACTAAAAATACAAAAATTAGCTGGGTATGGTGGCACACACCTGTAGTCCCAGCTATGTGGGAGGCTGAGGCAGAAGAATTGCTTGAACCCAGGAGGCGGAGGTTGCAATAAGCCAAGATTGAGCCACTGCACTTGCTCTGGTGACAGAGCAAGACTCCGTCTCAAAAAAAAAAAAAAAAAAGTCTCTTGCATCAAATTGCCATAGTCTCTGCTCTTGGTCCTCTTTTCCATGTACTCATTCTTCAAGGATTTATTTTCTCATTGCCTGATCAAGATCATTGCAATGACCAAAAAATTTTCGGATGCTGTGATTTTTGTAATATTCCTTTAAAAAGTTAATCATGATGTTGCGTTCTTCAGTGTGCAAGTGTGGAGATGTCAGGATGCCTCTTTAAGACAAGATGATGGGTCACAGCAGTGCCATACCACTCACAGCCACACCAGGAGAGCTGAAGGGGCAGTCACCAACGAAGATGCCCGACCCAGAAGTTGGCTGCCAGGGAGCCAAAAGCCAGGTCACTCCACAGGTGGCCAATGCCTGGGGGAGCCCTCCACCGCCCAAGCTTATTATTATTATTATTATTTTGAGACGGAGTCTGGCTCTGTCTCCCAGGCTGGAGTGCAGTAGCACGATCTTGGTTCACTGCAACCTCCACCTCGTGGGTTCAAGCAATTCTCCTGCCTCAGCTTCCCGAGTAGCTGGGACCACAGGCACGTGCCACCTCACCTGGCTAATTTTATTTTTTGAACAGACAGGGTATTGTTATGTTGTCCAGGCTGGTCTTGAACTCCTAGGCTCAAACGATCCTCCCACTTCAGCCTCCCAAAGTGCTGGGACTACAGGTGTGAGCCACACCTGGCCAGGTTCTACTTTTTAATATTTAAAATATCTGAAATAGGCCGGGCACGGCGGCTCACACCTGTAATCCCAGAACTTTGGTAGGCTGAGGCGGGCGGATCACCAGAGGTCAGCAGTTTGTGATGAAACTCCGTTCCTACTGAAAATACAAAAATTAGCCGGGTGGGTGGCAGATGCCTGTAATCCCAGCTACTCGGAAAGCTGAGGCACCTAAACCCGGGAGGTGGAGGTTGCAGTGAGCTGATATCATGCCACTGCAGTCCAGCCTCCGCGACGCAATGAGACTGTCTCAAAAAAAAAAAAAAAAAAAAAGATGGTGTCAGTGATTTCTGCTACATCAGCTCTGGAGGCACTCCGTACCTGATTGCTCCACTTTTAGTGGTGCTAAATTCAAATAATTCAGCTGGTGAGAAACTGACTCCCGTGGGAGTGCGGGCGTGCGTGCGTGCCGCGGAAATCCCGCCTTCCGGCGCCGGCGGTTGGCCCTGGCTGCAGTGGGTGAGCTCCAAGTAGGAAGATAAACGGGATTGCGGGAAGCGGGAGAGTCAGGAGGAGCAGGGAAGGGCTCCTCTTCCCCATTGGCTGCGCCCGCAGAGCCGCCTTGCGATTGGCGGTAAGCGCGGGTCGGTGGAGGGGGCGGCAGTCCCGCGCGGGCACGCCCCTCGGGTAGCGAGAGGCGTCGGGATCGCGGGCGCCGGCTGAGCCAGCGGCTGCTGGGAGGCTGTGTGCGCACGCCTGCGGGGCGAGGAGGCCGGGCCCTGCGCCTCAGGTCCTGGCCTGGGGCACCGGGGCGTCCGGCGTCGGAGGCGGTGCGGGGTTGGCGGGAGGCACAAGGGGTGGGGGGGCGGGGGGGGGGTTGCTGCGCGGACCGCCCGCGGCGCAGCCCCCTGCCTCTCTCTATCTCTAAGTGGTGGTGGCTGTGGGTTTTTCTGCAGGTGAGCCTTTTGAGTAATTTGTTTCATGCAGGCGCCCTGCTGTTGGGTAAAGCGGCAGATTCACGCTGCTGTCATTTGTCGTTCAAACGATGGGCTTCCTGGCAGGGCGCGGTGGCTCAAGCCTGTAATCCCAGCACTTTGGGAGGCCGAGGCGGGAGGATCATGAAGTCAGGAGATCGAGATCATCCTGGCTAACATGGTGAAACCCCGTCTCTACTGAAAATACAAAAAAAAAAATTAGTCGGGCTGGTGGCGGGCGCTGGTACTCCAGGCTACTCGGGAGGCTGAGGCAGGAGAATGGCATGAACCCGGGAGGCGGAGCTTGCAGTGAACTGAGATCCCGCCACTGCACTCCAGCCTGGGCGACAGAGGGAGACTCCATCTCAAACAAAACAAAACAAAAAATGATGGGCTTCCTGTCATGTGTGTGTGTACCTTTTGGATTTGAGGGCAGGGGTATGACATTGTGATTTGGCCTCCTGTGACAGTCCATTCTCAAGGTCTCGCCAGCGTGGTGCAGAAACCCGGCATACCTTGCCTATCTAGGAAGGAGGCTTTCCCTTCCCCACCTCCCTCTCCCTCCATCTCTTCCCTCTATCTCTCTTTCCTCTTCATTCCCTTCCCCGAGCTCTTCTCTCCCATCTTTCTGTTCTTTTTTTTCTGCATTAAACTTTTCGGGAGTGTCTTTGTAAAATATTAAAAAGCGTTAGGTCTTCAACATGTATGTTTACTTGCAGGCCTGAGAACTGGGAGGAAGCTGGAGAAAAGATGCCCTCTGAATATTTGTGTTTGGCTGCCCAGGCTCGCCTTGACTCCAAATGGTTGAAAACAGATATACAGGTGGGGTTTGACATGTCTCTTTCTTGGTGTATTTCTGCTTCCATGTTTAAATTTCTCGTGTAAGTCTTTTTTTTTTTAGGGTATGTAAGGGGAAGTCAGTTGTTTCTTGCTATAGTAGAGGAGCAGGTTTGTTTCCTGTAACTTAAAATGTAACAGTCTTTATGGCTGTTTTTGTAGATCGTGCACGGCTGCCTTTTAATTAGTTTCTTGCAAGTGCACGAAACTTGAGATCTATGAATAGGCAAAATTTTTTTCCTATTTTTTTATTACTGGTTAAGAAATCTGCCACACTCCTAACCATATGATGGTGACTGTTATTTGTTACTGATAGTTTTTGAGCTGTTTAGTTAACTGTGCAGGGGAAAGTTGGAGAAGTAAGTTGCAGTAATTATGGCCAATAGAAACGCACTCATTTTATGAGGTCTTGTGTTTGTGTTTTTGGAGAGACAAGAGTTAGTTCAGTCGAGGTGTTTGTTTTGTATTTGTATGCAATACAAGGTCTAAGGACAATTGTGTTGAAACTGAGGTCATGATGTTGGAATCTTAAGGGCTGAAGGTTCCAAATAAATGGTATATATAGAATTCTCTCTGACTCGAAATTGTCCCTTTCTGGACCTCCGGATGCTGAGGCTAAGAATGTCCATATGATAGGGCCTTCCATGACAGGAGTCAGCAATCTTTTTTTTTTTTTTTCTTTCACGTATCTGTAATTCATTCTGTATATTTTAAAAAGTTTTAAGCTCTCTTCCTAGCCCTAGTATTTGTTAATAAATTAAAACATTTCCCAAAGTGTTTTTTTGTGAAACAATAATTCTAAAAGATGCTCTAAGAAAAGCTAAGCACATGGAAAAATCCAAAGTATATGTTTTATTTATTACATTTGATGAATTTGTTGTTTGCTTCTTTTTCCTCTCAAGAGGGAGCCTTGCTGTGTTGCTCAGGCTGGAGTGCAGTGGCATGATCTTGGCTCACTGCAACCTCCGCCTCCCGGGTTCAAGCAGTTCTCTGCCTTAGCCTCCTGAGTAGCTAGGATTACATGCACCCTCCACCACGCCCAGCTAATTTTTGTATTTTTAGTAGAGACGGAGTTTCGCCATATTGGCCAGGCTGGTCTTGAACTCCTGACCTCATGATCCACCTGCCACGGCCTCCCAAAGTGTTAGGATTATAGGCGTGAGCCTCCGCACCCGGCCCACGTTTGATGGATATTTTTGTCCTTTGTTCTTTTAAAAATTGTGGTTAGAAAGCAGAGCATAATTGTTCTTTATGTAGATCCCAACTGATTGGGGTTTTTAGGGAGATTTTTTGGCATTCAGTAAATGTTTTTATTTTCCATTATTAAGACTATGAATATTTTATTTTATTTTCTGAGACAGGGTCTT
This sequence comes from Homo sapiens, assembly GCF_000001405.40. Lineage (NCBI taxonomy): Eukaryota > Metazoa > Chordata > Mammalia > Primates > Hominidae > Homo > Homo sapiens. Next base: position 32,743,807 of record NC_000016.10, read on the forward strand.
GCTCTGTTGCCCAGGCTGGAGTACTGTGGCATTATCTTGGCTCACTGCAACCTTTGCCTCCTGGGTTCAAGCAATTCTCCTGCCTCAGCCTCTCAAGCTGCTGGGATTACAGGTGGCTGCCACCATGCTGGGCCAATTTTTGTATTTTTAGTAGAGTTGGAGTTTCACCATGTTGGCCAAGCTTGTCTGAAACTCCTGACCTCAAGTGATCCGCCCGCCTCAGCCTCCCAGCGTGCTGGGATTGTAGGTGTGAGCCACTGCCCTGGCCCATTTTCACTTTTCATTAGCTGCTATTTTCCCCCATTTATTTCCTACCTTTCTGTGTATGATTTCTGAATGAAATGTATTTCATGTCTTAACCTTCTGAATTGTTTGTTCTCTCATTTTCCATGTTGTTAAGGAAAATAAGAGGCTAAGTGAGATGTATTAAATTTGCATATAGTTTCTCAGATCAGGATAAAGGCTCATCTGTTGCAGAACGGGACTCTGCTCTTGCTTCACCCAGGATGCGTTTCCTAGTTCCTTCCTAGAGTGGGGCCACGCCCTGCTCCAGCCTTCCAGACCCAGCTCCCTGCTCTGACATGATTCCACTGGACTGTATTCCAACTGTCCTACCTGGACCTAGATATTTTCTTTGTTTTTTTGTTTGTTTGTTTGTTTTTTGTTTTTGAGATGACGTTTTACTTGGCGGTCCAGGCTGGAGTGCAGTGGCGATCTTGGCTCACTGCAACCTCCGCCTTCCAGGTTTAAGCAATTCTCCTGCCTCAGGCTCCCAAGTAGCTGGGATTACAGGTGCATGCCACCACACCTGGCTAATTTTTGCATTTTTAGTAGAGACGGTGTTTCACCATGTTGGCCAGGCTGGTCTCGAAATCCTGACCTTGTGATCTGCTCGCCTCGGCCTCCCAAAATGCTGGGATTATAGGTGTGAGCCACCGCACCCAGCCAACTTTTTTTTTATTAAAAAACTTACATGAAATTTATTTTATTGTGGTATCTAGTTCAGTAAATTTTGACCCTATAGATTCATTTAACCCCCGCCATCATCAGGATGGAGAAGTTTCATCACCCCAAAAGCTCCCTTAAGGTGCTGCTTTTTATCACATATCCCCTGGCCTCATACCCTGGCAACCACTGATCTGTTCTCCATCAGTATAGGGTATTCTTTTTGAGAATGTCATGTGAGTGGAACCATATTTTAAGTAACGTTTTGAAACCATCTTCATTTACTCCTAGTTATATGTTTGAGATATATTGTTGTTCTGTGTATTAATAGTTCTTTTTATTGATGAATGGTGTTTCATCATTTGGATGTACCACATTGTGTTTATCCATTCTGCTATTGTAGGACCTTGTGGTTGTTTCCGTTTTTCTTTCACAATTGTAATCCTGCTGTGAGCATTTCTGTACAGATTTTGTGTGAATATAGTTTCCATTTCCCTAGGATAAAGACCTAGTAGTGTGAAAATTGGGTCATGTGCTGAACTGTTTTCCGAAGTGGCTGTTTTAGTTTGCATTCCTGCTGGTAATCTGTCACGTTTCTGTTGCTCTGTGTCTTTGTTAGCACTTGGTGTTATCAGTGTTTTTTAGTTGAGCCATTCTAACACGTCTAGTGGGATCTCATTGTGGTTTAAATTTGCATTTCCATAATGGCTAACAATGCTGAATATCATGTTCTTCTTTGCCACTCTTGTATCCTTTGTGAAGTTTCTGTTCAGATCTTTTGCACAGAAAAAGCTGTATCATGGAACCAGTAAAATAACCAAGGAGAGGTTGATTAAAGTTCTGTTTATAATCCTAAAAGATTCCTGCCTTAGGGATATGGGATGGCTGAACATAAGACACCAACACTGGACAGATGAAATAGCAGTTTATTAGTCACGCATGCTCACAGCCCTGGGGGTGGGGGACACCGCATGTCACACGGGGGCTGCACTTGGGAACAGAGTGAACCACGAGGGGCTGTGGGAGGCACATTTTGTAGTAAGAAGAGGGTGAAATGACCTTGCTTCCGTGGGAAGATGTGATTGGCTTGTTGGAATAACTCTGGACCAGCAGGGATGAGCAGGCTGGGGTCGGGTCTCCGCGATAAGGAGGGTTGTTTGGCTCTGGGATCTTATCCGTGGGAGCAGAGCTTGGAGGAGACCTTGTGGTTAGGCTATTTGAGGCCTTCTTGATTTTACTGACGTCAAGGCAGCACATAATATTTAGTCTTAATTTCAGGCCACACAAGACATTCCTCTGTATCTACTTTCTGTGGCACTTTTCAAAAGGTTTTGTCCTTAGTGTTTAGCAGTTGATTATGATGTGCCTCATCATGGCTTCCTTTGGATTTATCTTGTTTGGGCTTTGCACAGATTCTTCAATCTGCCTAGGTTTCTGTCATTTGCTGAACCTAGGAAGTTTTCAGCTATTAGTTCTTTAGATTTTTTTTCCAGCATTGTACCTTTTCTCTCCTGTTATTAACCTGTGGGGTCTGTGCTAATTCTAGGTAGTTAGTTTCAGAATTGAATTGCATTGTGGGACACATAGCTGGGTGTCGCAAAGAACTGGAGAATTGCTTGGTGCAAAAGTCCATACATTTGGCGTCAGAAGTGTTGTAAACAGAGGAACTGTTTCCTTAGGGATTTTTAGATACTCATTATTTATAATCTGGATGGGATATCATGTCCTTCACCGATTGAGGTACATTTTTCTAATTATGTTGTTTAGACGTTTAGTCACAGCCTTCTGTGATGGACCGTGTTTACACTTCAAGGTTAAGGTTAGTTCTCTCTTCTCTTCGCTTACTATGTCAGGAGTTTTATGACAGTTGTTTTTGACTGAAACGTTACATTGTCAGTGGCCTAAAGTCATTTTTCCCAGCTTTTCCTTTGTGTCCCAGTGCTCTTGAATTATGCTATCAGTGACAGCGCCCCTGCATAGCAGTGCTTGCCAGTTGGCAGTGGAGTAGGGCCTTGGAAAGGGTTAAAAGATTTTTGAATCATACTCCTTTTCTACACCCTCCCTTTTCCCATGGGTACGCAAGCATTGGGACTCAATGGATGGAAGCAATTCGTGTGAAATTGAAGTAGGTAAATATCAAATACTAAGTTTCTCAGTTGTGAAATCTACTAGGAAGTTAATGAAATATCATTTTGGAAGACATGCTTTAAATAATTTGATATATTGGTTTCTTTTCTTTTCTTTTCTTTTCTTTTTTTTTTTCAGATGGAGTCTTGCTCTGTTGCCCAGGCTAGAGTGCAGTGGTGCCATCTCGGCTTACCGCAAGCTCCGCCTCCCGGGTTCACGCCATTGTCCTGCCTCAGCGTCCCGAGTACCTGGAACTATAGGTGTCCACCATCATACCTGGCCAATTTTTTGTATTTTCAGTAGAGACGGGGTTTCACTGTGTCAGCCAAGATGGTCTCCATCTTCTGACCTCGTGATCCACCGGCCTTGGCCTCTTAGAGTGCTGGGATTACAGGCATAAGCCACCACTCCCGGCCGATATATTGGTTTGTTTATGAAAATTATACTGGATCTGTTACAGGTATGATTGATATATTTTATTTTTGAGTTGTCAAACATTCAGTTAATGATGTGTGTTGTAACTTTTCAGGGAGGGACATTTGCAGAGACTGACTAATGGTATGGCATTCTGAAAAGCGGTTACAGATTAAAAAAATTTTAATTCTGCAGATGATAGTGTCAAACCAAGTGGAACAAAGAAAGAAGATCTGGATGACAAAGAGAAAAAAGATGAAACTCCTGCACCTGTATATAGGGCCAAGTCAATTCTGGAGAGCTGGGTATGGGAGTAAGCAACCAGGTAATCTTTGATCAGAGATAGAAATTAGTATAGACATTTTGCCTCCAGATCCTCAGGTGGTTTTAGAAATTGGTTCTCTAATTCTGTAGGAGAAGGTTGATACTGGTATAGGCTTACACGTCATTGAAACTGGAAAAGGTAGCTAGATATTCTTCTACTCATGTTTTGGATAATGAGATATTTTATGCTTCACACACTTGGAGTATGTCATCTACTGTAATACGGTATCTGAATGAATACTTTAAATAAAATACATTTCTGTAAGTTAATTGTATACTTTAAAAATCTCTGAAAAATTTGAGTAGCAAGTCTCAGAAACTTGGTTCTAAATATTAAGAATATATCCTTCCTTGGGAGGGAGCATGTAGTAAACATGTTAGTGTGATTGTAAGCATACTGTCTTTCTGGAGGTCGCTGTGTTCCTGCATCCACTGTTTTCATTTCAGGGATGTTCACAGAACGCCAGGCACCAAAAGGCCAGAAGCATGCCCCTGCAGGACCAGCACTTGGCTCTGGCCATCCTGCTGGAGCTGGCTGTGCAGAGAGGCACGCTGAGGTGAGGGCTTGTGCAGAATGGGAACGCTTTGGGGAAGCGCCTCTGTATCCAAATACCTGTTGCATTGTGTGCATTTCACTGAATCGTGTTTGACTGCAGCAGAGAGCACCATGTCCCAGAGCTCGCTCTCTCTTTACCTTTTCTTCACTTCCTTTTTTATGCTCAGTTTTCTAGCCTGGGAACTGTTCTTTTTTTTTTTTTTCTTTCAGTTTTCCTCATTTAATTATTTTTATTCCATGAATTTAAGATCCTAGAACTTCCATGTGAATGTGCTCTTTGAGCTTCTTAACTGGTCTTTCCTATCAGCAGAAGGCGATGACTTGTGCTAAAATCTTAGTGTCAATTCAGTGATTTAATTACCACGGCTTTACTTTCATTTCCTTTCATATCCCAAGTATTGCTTCACTTCTATCTAGCTGTTTGCTTTTATTTTTGATCAACCATGAAAAAAAAAGTTAATCTGTTTTTACTAGGAATAAATGTGTTTTCTCCTTTAGCCAAATGTTGTCTGCCATCCTGTTGTTGCTTCAGCTGTGGGACAGCAGGGCACAGGAAACTGACAATGAGCGTTCTGCCCAGGGCACCAGCACCTTGCTTTTGCCCTTGCTGCAAACGTTCCAGAGCATCATTTGTGGTAAGGATACGCCCCCCTCCGAGGGCAACATGCACGTGAGTGTCATGATGGAACGTTGTGTTTAGGTGGTACTCAAGTCTAGTTATTTTTTACGCAAGACCAGTGTGTGTGTCCACGGCAGTGTTTTTCTCTGGCGTGTGTGTATTTGGTGGTAACAGCAGCGAGTCAGATGAGACAGGTGTGGGAGGCCACTTGTTTGTGGAGAAGACTTGGATCAGTGAGCACCGACTTCCTTGTCAGCACAGAACCAAGCTTGAAACACGCACTTTTAAATCAATACTAGAAAAGAACAACGAAAATAGTGGCTTTCTTTGTTGGCCCTTCCTATGTACTGGGCTCTGTGCAGGGCATGTCATCTGAGCTGTCACTCTGTTTAGTACCAGCTCCCCCCTTAACAGGTGTGGACGCCGAGCTGGGGGAGGAGCAGGCATGTGGGGCCCTGGGTGTAAACCTCCAGGAGTGCTGGTCTTTACAGGTCAAGTACAAGTTGAATTTTGCATCTTTTTGGGAAAGTCTTAGGCATTTCAATATCATGCTTTGGTTTAATTTTTCTATTATTTGTTAGTCTTTAAACTAATGATAATAGGGCTCTTCTGCCTTTAGAAGAATTAGAACTATGATTTAATTTGCAAATGAAAGTAGGTGTTCTCCAGAGTGGGCAATGTTTAGATTAAAATAAAGGTTTTGGTTTTAGATTTCAAGGCCAGCTTGAGATGCTGTTCTGGGTTCCCACAGAGGTGGTTCTGCCTTTCTCCAGGGGTCCTAGGCCTGTAGGGTGGTTTGGTCATGTTAGTAATCTGTGTGGATTCAACTTACCTGTGGTGTCATAAATGTATACATGCACAGTCAATGTTGTGTACATGTGTACAGCACATTTAGACATTTATACAGTCAGTTTGTATGCTACATAAATATATAGATGTATAGTATAACTGTATCATCGACATTGTCATTTGATGGGTCAAATGAGTCAATACCAAAATATAAAGAGTGGGTAAAGGCTAACTGTATTACTTTAATTTTTCCCACCATTTCTGAATGTTTGTTTACCTTTCCTTTCTAGCTTTTGTCTGGCCCTCTGAGCCCCAGTGAGTTTCCTGAGGTACCTCACCCTCCACAAGACAACGAGCTTGCCATTGATCTGCAACAAACGGCGGTTGTTGTCATGGCCCATTTAGAAGATCTGGCTACACCCTGTAGATGCCTCTGCCGTGTAGCTGTCCGACGTCTCATAAGGTGTGTGTGCAAGAACCGTGTTCTCCATGGGTTTTGTAGCTAGTACCACTTGTAGGTTCTCATCCTGGGCCCGTGTGGAGACTTGCTTTTTCTGGTATTGGTAGGGGGAGCTGGCCTGTGGTTTTTAAACGTGTTTGCAGTTGAAGGTGTTATCCGTGTTGAGAGTGAATGATGAGCAAGCTGAGGCGCACAGGCCTGGGGACCCAACCTGGGGGCCCAGGTTCCAGGTTCAGGTGGCACAGCCCCAGAGAGCTCCCCTTTACCCACAGCCCCAGGCCCTCCCACCTTCTACAGAGGGTTCCACAGCCTTCTTTATACTCTGAACGTGGGCTGTCTTAGTATGTAATGCTGGTTATAGTAGTGACAGTATAATTATATATTATATCTGTTATGTAATAGTAATGGTAATAGTAGTGATTTGCATGTGTGGAGCACCTGTAGGGTGCAGGCCCACTGAGGACCTCATACACGCTGTTGTATCTCATTATGTCAATGAGAAAACTGCCTTTGGGAATGTTAGTGAACTTTGCCAGTGTATAACAGTAATCCTAGTTTTGAATCCAGATTTTTCTAACATTTTATTTCTAGTATGAAGAGTGTTTATTTTGTTTTACAGTCGTTAAAAAAAAAAGAGGAATACAGTCACATGGTTCAAAAATCAAACCTAGGCAGAGACACACTGTCACTTCCCCTGCCCACCCCTTCCACCCATTTTCCTACCTGCTCTCTCTGGCTTTTCAGTCTCCTCTGTAACCTCCTTGTTCTCTGGAATGAGTATGCTAGTGGTAGCATGTTGCATTACTTGTGTTGCTTGTTTTTTTTTTTACTAGCCATATATACTGGAGTACTTTATCAGAGTGTCGCTCTTTGTTTTTATAAAGCAGCTTAGTCTTCAGTGTGTAGATATGTCTTTTATGTATCATTCTTCAGTGAGTCTCTTATTGGTGGACACTTGGGCTTATTGCCACAGTGTTGCTACACAAATAGTGCTGAGGGTCGGTTGTGGTGGCTCATGCCTGTAATCCCAGCACTTTGGGAGGCCAGGGTAGGTGGATCACCTGAGGTTTGGAGTTTGAGATGATCAGCCTGGCCAACTTGGAGAAACCCCGTCTCTACTAAAAAATACAAAAGTTAGTGGGGCATGGTGGCACATGCCTGTAATCCCAGCTACTCGGGAGGCTGAGGCAGGAGAATCGCTTGAACCTGGGAGGCAGATGTTGCAGTGAGCCGAGATTGCGCCACTGCACCTTAGCCTGGGCAACAAGAGTGAAACTGTCTCAAAAAACAACAACAACAATAACAAAAAACACAAATAGTGCTGCAAGGCCTGACCTGGAACATGTGTCCTCCATGTGTGCACGCGTGTGTGCCTGTGCACATGCACAGGTGGGGATGCACCTAGTGTGGGCTGGTTGTCACCAGATCGCTCCTGTACATCTTGATTTCTCTCACCACCAATAGGGATGCTGGTCTCCCAGCCTTGTGTGTGGGCTTTTGGGATTTTGCCTGCTAAAGCACAAAATGGTGACCCTGATATAGTTTGAGCATTTTAAAATATATTAGTATTTAAGGGCCATTTATACTACTTTTTAATGGGTTCTGTTGAAATGCAATGGAAATGGAAAAATAGCCTGTTCAGTTGCTTCATCATACCTGTTAAATGCGGTAATACGGCGTGGTAGGAGATGGGGTTTCACCATGTTAGCCAGGATGGTCTCGATCTCCTGACTTCGTGATCTGCCTGCCTCGGCCTCCAAAAGTGCTGGGATTACAGGCATGAGCCACTGTGCCCGGCCAATTGGATTATTTTAAAGCATAACTCTGTCTTTAAAACATTTTAAGGCATTTTACCTCTTAATGATAAGGATTTAAGAAAAACCCTACAATATCATTATCCTGTCTATAAGATTAACAGTGATTCCTTAATCTAACATGTAGTCCATGTTACATTTTCCTGGACTATCTCAAAAATGCCTTTTTTAGGTGGTAATTTTGAATTAGGACCTGAATATGTTCTGTGTATTGGCATTGGTTGACATATGCTTCTAGTCTCTTTCCCCAAACAACATGGCTCCAGGCCCTCCTCTCCCTGTCTCTGATCATACCATTTTCTTTTTCAAAGAAGCAAGTTGGTTATTTTGGAGAACTTCACATTTTCTGAACTTGGTTGATTGCATTCTCTTATTCTAGACCAACATATTCTTCTGTTAGTTACATTAATCTGCTGGTTAGATCTAGAGGTTTGGTTGGATTTGAATTCAGTCTCGTTGGGGTGGTGTTATGTCTGGAGTCATGCTGCATGCTTTCTGTTGGCTCAGGAGGCCTGTAATGCTCAGTGGCTCCCCGCTTTAGTTCTGTGAAGCTAGACCAGGGAATTCATGTGTTGCGTGTCCTCTATAAAATCCCCTACCAACCTTGCCCTCTGCTGTCTGGTTAGCAGGAGGTACAATTTGTACAGGAAGGACATAATCTAAGCTTGACTTCTTGAACTGCCACCTCCCTTTAACTATTTTTCATAATATTGAGTTGGTATCCTAGCACTTGCATAGGTGACCACCACTCAGGTTTTCTTTTTTTTTGAGTATTTTTATGAACTAATAGACTTCTATTGATTTGGTGTTTCTTTTCTTTTTTAGCTTTTTCCCCCTAATATACACATTTAAAGGCGTAAATGCCCTCAAGCATGCATTTAGTTGTATGTCACCAATTTTGATCTGCAATATTTTGATTATTAATTGAACTCATTTTCTAATTTTCATAGTCATTTTTTCTTAGAATTTTGGGTTACTTATAAGTGTATTTTGTAATTTTCAAATATGTGGATGAATATTTTCATTTTCTGTATATACAGAGTCATTTTTATTTTATTTTGAATGAACTTTTGAAAACCTATTTCTAATTTAACTGCATTGTAGTCAGCACACATGCTGTGTAACTTTATTTCTTTGAAATCTGTTGAGATTTGTTCTATGGCCTGGCATGGCCTGATTTGATATTCATGCTGCCTAGATTTTTTTTAAAGCATTCTATATTTAATAGAATTTGTATGTGTGGTATTAGTTTCAGAGCTAGGTATGTATTTCTCCCATTGTGATTGTGGATTTGTTTATTTCTGCTTGTAGTTCTTTCACACAGTTTGTTCTTTTCATTTTACCTGTTGATTGATCAATGGACTGATTCTGGTTTCTGTATACAGAGAGTCATTTTTTTACAGGTCAGAACTGTAGAAATAATGAGGAAGTGACACTTATATGCAAAGCTGATTTGGAGAACCATAATAAAGATGGAGGCTTCTGGATTGTGATTGATGAGAAAGTGTATGATATAAAGGACTTCCAGACACAGTCGTTAACAGGAAATAGTATTCTTGGTAAGATTACCCTTCTTATTTCCTGGTTAAAAGTTACAGCCTGTATCATTTTAAGCAGAGTATTTGGCTTATAAATGATTTCTTTAGTTTTGTGCCAGCCCCCGCATATTTTAATGTATCTGTGGCTTTGGTGTCTGTCTTATCAACAAATTCAGCACATTTGAAGAATTTCCTTTCATTATGCATTTTTTGTTTTAATACTTGGAACTCATTTCAAGTTCTGAGTTGGCCCAGGCAACCCTGGGAGACAGTGGGAGGTCATTATACTCTGGTAACCCTCACTTTTGAGTTAAGCGCCTAACTTATTTCCTACTCACTGTTTCTCCTATAGCTCTTCAGGCAAGCTGAATTGAACTCCTGTTGCTTTTTCCCTTTTTCTTTCAGCTCAGTTTGCAGGGGAAAACCCAGTGGTAGCTTTGGAAGCTGCTTTCGAGTTTGAAGTCACCCGGGAATCCATGCACGCATTTTGTGTTGGCCAATATTTGGAGGTGAGGCTGTATGCCTTGAGTGATGCAGAGGATGGCAGGGGACACCCTCTGTGTGTTTGTGATAGGAATATTTGGATCTAGAAGTACTGATATCTGGGTCTTTTGGGGGGCATTAGGGATAATATAAAGATCCTTTAGAAGTTTTGTCATAAATGAATTTACATTTATTCGTGTTAGGATCTGTGATGTACTGGTCTTGAAAGATTGTTTTTTAAATGATCAATTTGTGAGAAATATAGACAGTGTTCCACAAGAAAAGAGGTTAAACTTTGGTCTTATGTAGAAATTTGGAATGGCTTATTATATTGAGGTATGTATTTTTTGGGAAGAACTATGTAGAAGTGTAATTCTTTACAATAGAAATATGTCCTTCCTATGTATTCACGAACACATAGAATTTATATACTGGGATTAGCTTTCCAGCTATCCACAAGTAATAAAATGTATTAAATGCCATTAGGGCAGGGCTTAAAGCATTTTATGAAGGGGAGAATTAACTTTGCTGTAAATATCTTCTGTGACTGGAAAAGTTGAACTCTTGCTTTTTTCAGAGTTTGATTTTTGTTAGAATAAATTTCATTTCCTCTACCTGTGTGGTCACAGTCCACTAATACTTGTCATCGAATACTTGTCATAGTTTTGTTGCCCAGTGGGTTCTTTATGCATGTAACAATTCATTATACTTTCTGAAGCATGGTGTACAGTCACTTTGGAAACTGATTCCTAAGGAATATTCTAGCCAAATCATGTATCTGTGCTTTAGTTTTTCTGCGTGTACGGTTGCTGCCAGCTTTATAGGGCATGTGGGTTTATGTGGTATCTGCTGTTACTTGGGCACAGCAGCATCAACTCATTACAGGATGGAGGGGCAGAACACCCAGGGCACCCCTGGGCTCACATGGCGGTACAGCTGCAGGACAGAGCTGTCCTTTTGGTTTTATGTTTTTAATTAATTCTGTTTCCTCAGATTGATGATGAAGTTTATTTTTCCAGCCTGACCAAGAAGTTGTCACCATACCAGATCCGGGAAGTCTCTCTTCACCTCTGATAGACACAGAGAGGAATCTGGGCCTGCTTCTCGGATTACACACTTCCTATTTAGCAATGAGCACACCGCTGTCTCCTGTCGAGATTGAATGTGCCAGTAAGAAAATCTTTGCTTTTTGCTGATTAGCAGATTATTTTTTTTGAACTGTAAGTGCCATTAAGAGTGGGAGAGGGCCAGGCACAGTGGTTCATGCCTGTAATCCCAGCACTTTGGGAGGTTGAGGCATGTGGATTGCTTGAGGTCAAGAGTTTGAGACCAGCCTGGGCAACACGGCAAAACCCCATCTCTACAAAAAACACAAAAATTAGCCAGGCATGGTGGCATGTACTTGTAGTCCCAGATACTCAGGAGCCTGAGGTAGGAGGATCGCTTAAGCCTGGGAGGTTGAGGTTGCAGTGAGTCATGATCATACCACGGCACTCCAGCCGGGGTGACAGAGCAAGACTCTCTCTTTAAAAAAGTAGGAGATGGCCAGGCGGTGGCTCATGCCTGTAATCCCAGCACTTTGGGAGGCTGAGGCGGGTGGATCACCTGAGGTCAGGAGTTCGAGACCAGCCTGGCCAATGTGGTGAAACCCCATGTCTACTAAAAATGCAAAAATTAGCTGGGCGTGGTGACGGGTGCTTGTAATCCCGGTTACTCGGGAGGCTGAGGTAGGAGAATTGCTTGAACCCAGGAGACAGAGGTTGCAGTGAGCCAAGATCGCACCACTGCGCTCCAGTCTGGGTGACAAGAGCGAGACTCCGTCTCAAAAAAAAAGAGGAGGATTCAACACAGTTGATGATGCTACAAAAAATAATAATAAGGATAGTGAGACTCAATCAGGTAGAAACAGCTGTGAGTGGCTGTCATTTGCCCTCATGGTCTGTTGCTGCAGAGGAAGCTAAAAAGTGTGCAGGAGTGTCTACCCGTCTACCCTGTGGTGGTCTCACGTATTGCAGCCTCTGCCTGATGGGCCCAGCATGGCTTTTGTCTCCCTGCATGCCCAGAAATTGCACAGAATGTGGATCAGCTGTTCTCTCAGGGAACAGCGTTCTATTTGAGGACTGCGTTTTTACCAGACCAGGCTCAAGTCAGTTATATTTCAGGATGGCAGCCTTTGTAACCACCTAAAATAATAAGCTTTTTCCTGTCTCCTAAGATGGGTTTACATTTTCCTTCATGTAGTCGTGCATTTCCCATCTGTCTATCTGTCCGTCCGTGTGAGCAGCTTCTGTTGAGCAGTTGCCTGGTGCCGTTACCATGCGAGGTGTTCAGGATGCAGTGATGGATAGGACACGCCTCTGCTTTCAGTTGCTGCTTGTTGATGAGCCAGCATTCTAAGCAGGTCACGTTACAAGGTGGTGAATGGTGAAATGGAGACGTTCATACGTGGTTCTGGGAGAAGAAAGGCTTCACACCGGCAGCAGTCCTGAAATTGCATGAGGGAGCATTCTGGGCAGAAAACACAGGAGTGTCAAGGGCAATGCTGAGAGGAGCAGGGCTTTCCTGCTGCTTGCGAGAGTGGTTGTGGGAGAGGCTTGCGGGAAAGGAGGATCTTGGTGTCCACACAGCCCCCCGTTGGGTGGACCTTTGTGCAGTGCTGGGTGCTGGACTGCCTGTGGTGCCCTCTGAGGTGTCTGCTTCCCTCCCTCCTCCTCAAGGCTCATTGCTTGCCAGAAGATGGGCTTTGTTTAAATTGACAAGGAGGGCAGGGCTGGCGAGCTCCAGAGCAGAGGGTGCCATGAGCCCTGGCAGGTGGGTCCGAGCCACAGGAGGATCAGAGGCTTATCTTGGAGCAGTAAGGAGGGGCTGTCCTGTGCTTAAAGAAAGGGGGCCAGAGAGAGTTGGCATTGGATTAGTGTTTCAGAAGAACGAATGTGGTGGGTTGGGGAATGCTCCTGAGTGCTCTAAAAATCTAAATGTCCAGTAAAAGAACAGTAAGTGCATCCCCGCTTTGATTGCTTGGATTTGGAGCAGTATTTGATAACACAGATCGTTAATAGAGATCTGTAGTGGTGCACATCCTAATTTTGTGTGTATGTGCCGCTCCCTCAAGTGACCATAAGCAGTTGTAATTAACATTTGCACTGGCTGATCCCATGCCTTGCACCATGCACAGGTCTCCTTTCCAGTCCATCGGCCCTCCCGTCTCCAAGGATCTATCCTTCATTAAAGATTGTGTGTTTGTTAAATATTTTCTCCTTTTCATTCCTTTATAAGTGCTCTAGGAATACATAGCCTACCCTGAGGATGTAATTCTTTGTAGAAACCCTTCAGATATGCTGTTCCCTGCCTGGATACTCAGCGTCTGGGTCTTATTCCTCATCTTAGCTCAGTTGTTGCTTCCACAAGTCCCTTACTGACCCTCAGAATAGCGGTGGTCTGTCCTCCGGTCTCCCTGGTACCCCCATAGTCATCCGTTGCACAGTTTTGGACTTGAAATCCTGTGATTAGTTGTGTCAGCGGTGCCCTTTGCTGCCTTCCTTGTTAGAGTGTGCAACTCAGTCTTCACACGGTATCTGTGGAACCAGGCAGCTGCAGGCAGAGCACAGGTATCCAGAGAATTTTGGACTGGAACTACAATCCTGAGTTCTGATGCCGTGCCTGAGGTGTGTGGAATCACCAGAAAGTGTATTCACGTAGATAGAGGAATTACAAGTCAACCTGTGTAAACATGTTAGGTGGAGCTCTTTCATATGAATGATGCTGAATTTTACCTTCTAAATTGAGTGTTCAGTTGAGCATCTTTTTTTTTTTTTAGTATTTATTTTGAGTTGTGCACTTGAGTTTCTCTTTCATGTTTGCGTGTGCATTTTCTAGAATGGCTTCAGTCATCCATCTTCTCTGGAGGCTGCAGACCAGCCAGATCCACTACAGCTACAACGAGGAGAAAGATGAGGACCACTGCAGCTCCCAGTGGGCACACCTGCCAGCAAATCACCACTGCTCCCACAGATGGGCCCTGGGGGACCATTCTCAGGCATTTCTGTAAGTCATTGCAGACAATAACATTCAGGATCACAACGTGAAGGTGAGCTAGGCCTGTCCCCACTGTCACCTCAGTGCTCTGTTTATCTGAGGACTTTGACATAGGAATACTTAGGTGCTCTTTGGTTAACATAGCACAGACTTTGTTTCATGTATTATTTGGAGGGTTTTGAGGTGAGAACCTGATTGTGTTAACATGCTAGCAAGGCTTCGGAAGCATTACTGATTGCAAGTGCATCAGAAGCTGTGGCATGTTTAAGATTTGTGAAGACTCACTGGCCGGCCCTGAAGTTACCTCCAGCTGTTTCTGTTGCAGGGCTTTTTGTGTCAAATAGAAAGGTACTGTAGGCAGTGCCATTTGACCACACCGATCATGTTTCCCCCCGAGCACCCCGTGGAAGAGGTCGGTCGCTTGCTGTTATGTTGCTTCTTAAAACATGAAGATTTAGGTAAGGAGCTCAATATCTGTGTACTTTAGCTAGACTGCAGATTCCTCGACTAACCTGTGGTACATATTCATTCCTTCCCTGTCCTTCTTTTAAATGTCTTTTTGCAGGTCATGTGGCATTATCTTTAGTTCATGCAGGTGCACTTGATATTGAGCAAATAAAGCACAGAACGTTGCCTAAGTCAGTGGTGGATGTTTGTAGAGTTGTCTACCAAGCAAAATGTTCGCTCATTAAGGTGATATATTTTAATTCTTTTTATTCTGTGCTTTGCAGACAGTTGCAGAAATATTTGTTGTTAAAGTTGTCTTTTCCTGGTTAACTTTGCAGACTCATCAAGAACAGGGCCGTTCTTACAAGGAGGTCTGCACTCCTGTCATCGAACGTTTGAGATTCCTCTCTAATGAATTGAGACCTGCTGTTGGTAATGACCTCTCTATAATCTCTGAGTTTAAATTGTTAAGTTCTTTGCCCCGTTGGAGGAGGATAGCTCAGAAGATAATTCGGGAACGGAGGAAAAAGAGAAGTAAGAATGTAAAAGGACAGAAGATACTATTAAAGCATGTGCTTCACCCTGCCTCGCTGGACCTGTGATTTCAGAGTGAAGTTTCTCTACTGTTGATTCCATGTGACATTTCTACCTGCTGCCATCATTTTTATGTATAGTTATGATTAAATACGGAAATCTCTCCTATTTTTTCAACCGATCAGACAATGAGGCAGTTTAGGAATTGAGTGTGGTATGATTTGATTACTAGTAAATTGATGTTGAAAATGTAAATAATCTTTGCTAAATTGATGGGAACAAGGACGTATTTTTATTTTATTAGTTATCCTGGTAATGAGATATAATGGGAACATTTAAACTTATTGCCATTCTTCTAAAGAAATGTTTTTTGTTTGGAAATATTGAGTATTCTGATACATGGAGAATTATAAAGGGAAGCTGAAAGAGTTACTGACATTTTCCTGGAAGTAGCTGTGTAAGAGTACAGAAAATTGTAGCACCATAAAGTTTTACGGGAGCACAGCCACACCTGTTGCTTTATCTGTGGTTACTTTTTGTGCTACAGCAGCAGAGTTGAGTATTTCCAACAGACTGCGTGGCCTGAAAGACTCAAATGTTCACTCTCTGGCACTTGAGGAAGAGCTTGCTGGCTGCTGGGCTTCCCCTGCTTCGGGGCTTCTCCCCTTGTCACACTCTCACTTTGTCATTTTGTTCTGCCATGGTGATCATTTCACTCTTGTTGTTTGAGCCTTGCAATTTATAATGTTGTTCAGATGTTTATTTGAATGAAATATTTGTCTTTCATGTAAATCTAAGTATTTCCTAATTTAAAATTAATATTTAAGTGTATGATTTTTTATAGTGAATGATGTTTTAAAACACAGTTCCTAAGAAGCCAGAATCTACGGCTGATGAAGAAAAAATTGGAAACGAAGAGAGTGATTTAGAAGAAGCCTGCATTTTGCCTCATAGTCCAATAAATGTGGACAAGAGACCCATTGCAATTAAATCACCCAAGGTGCAGTGTTTTCTGTGATTCTGAGGTTAGCTGAATAGAATCATAGCATGTAGCAAAGGAATCCACAGTCTTGTACCTCTGTACCTGAGCATCCGGAGGGAGGGACGGGCGGTTGTTAGAAATACGGCCCCAGTGATGGTTCATGAACTTGACTTATGATGTCCTGGTCAGAGCTGTAGCTGGAGAAGGGTTTCCTTTTATTTTTGGTACTAGATTGTATCATTAATTATTCACCATTCATTCCTTAAATATATTCTTTGTTCCAGAAACAGTGCTGGGCCCTGTGGCTATTAATATGAACCACAACTTAACTTCGTATGCCAAGCTAGCCTGTTCCAACATATATTAGTATAGAGATAAGTTCACTTATATTTATAGCATAGTTTTAAAACCATGTATTAATTACTAAATTTAACATATTTTAACCAATTTAAACCTATGAGCATTATTTATATTTTACTTGAATAACTTTTAGAGCACAGTTTAATATTAAATAGGGTAGACTAATGATGAAAATTGTTTTCCTTTGTTAGGACAAATGGCAGCCACTGTTGAGTACTGTTACAGGGGTTCACAGATACAAGTGGTTGAAGCAGAATGTTCAGGATCTTTATCCGCAGTCTCCACTCCTCAGTACAATTGCTGAATTTGCCCTTAAAGAAGAGCCAGTGGATGTGGAAAAAATGAGATAGTGCCTACTAAAACAGATAACATTTGATGAGAAATGCTTCTCTGCAGTGGGTAATATACATAACACTTAACTGTATATGCATTGATATTTTGCAGTTCGAGAGAGCAGAGGTTCGCCTGGAAGGGATAGATACAATTTTGAAATTGTATCTGGCGAGCAAGAATTTCTTACTTCCATCTGTGCAGTAAGCGATGTTTTGTGGATGGCAAAGACTTATTCCTGAAGGAATCGATATAGGGTAAAACGTTAGCATATTTTTTTCTTAACTAAGGAAGCTGTGGCAACAGAATGTTGTTCTGTAACAGTTAGAAGTCTGGCAGTGTCCCGAGTCAAATTCTTTATCTTTATTTGAAAGGGAACCTCTTACTGATTGTTTAAAGGATGTTGATTTGATCCCACCTTTTAATCGGATGCTGCTGGAAGTCACCTTTGGCAAGCTGTATGCTTGGACTGTTCAGAACATTCTAAATGTTCTGATGGATGCCAGTGCCAAATTTAAAGAGCTTGGTGAGTCAACAATTGCATCAATGTTATTTTATAGTTTGCCTTTAATTATGTGTTGTGGAAACTTGCAAATGCCAATTTTTGCTTTTGAGAAGACTGTAATAAGTTTGTACTTTGTACTTGTATAATCTATGCTGCTGTCAGCTTTCTCAGATTTTAAACAAAACTTTAAAATTTAGCAGGAGATACAATGTTGAAGTACTCTAGTATAACATTTTTACATTTTGACATTTATATGTGTATCACCACATATCCTAAGTGTCTGTGTCTTATATTAATATTTATTTCCTGGATAGTCTGAGCATCTACAGAGAGTTGATTGGATTGGTTTTGTGGAGGAAAAGTGAGACATAACTTTTATATTTGAAATGGAAGGAATGGAATAGGGCACCAGTGTATTCAGAGAGCAACATGCTAAGTCCTGTAGACAGATGGAACGACCTGTGCATAGAATACAGGGGTTAGGCCCATCGTGCAGCATGACAGAGCTGCCCACTCTGTGGAAACCACTGAAAAATAGTCAGATGTTTAGAGTAATTGCCCGTGCTTTCTGTGTTACTTTTATTCTTGTATCCACGCACAAGAAATGTCAGTGGGTGTCAATGCTTATTAGTCAGATGTTTAAAGTAATAGCCCGTGCTTTCTGCGTTATGTTTATTCTTGTATCCATCACAAGAAATGTAAGTGGGTGTCAATGCTTATTAGGTATCCAGCCGGTTCCCCTGCAGACCATCACCAGTGAGAACCCATTGGGACCGAGCCTGGGGAGCATCCCGCAAGCCCGCTTCCTCCTGATGATGCTCAGCATGCTCACCCTGCAGCACAGCGCAAACAACCTCGACCTCCTGCTCAATTCCGGCACGCTGGCCCTCACTCAGACGGCACTGCGCCTGATTGGTAGGTCTGCACTGGCTTGAGAGCCTTTGGGAAAACGTCAAGATTTTGCTTTGATTTCTTTTTTTTTTTTAAGCTTTTTGTAAATTATGGTAAGACACAAATAGCAGAAAGTGTAGCATTTTAACGTCGCAATTCAGCAGTATTAAATACATTCACAATTTTCTAGAGTCATCACCACTGTCTGGTTGTAGAACTTTTTCATCACTATAAATGCACCCCATTTAGCCATCAGTCCTGACTCACCTGCTCTCCAGCCCCTGGTAGTCACAAATCTGCTTTCTCTGTCTATGGATTTGCATATCCTGGATATTTCATATAAATGGAATCATACCATTTGTGGCCTTTGTGTCTGGGTTATTTCATTTGGTATATATCAGTACTTTATTTTTATGGCTGAAAAAGATTTCCATTGTATGAATATATAACATTTTGTTTATTCATTTATCTGTTGATGGACATTTGGGTTGGTTTTGCCTTTTGACTTTTGTGAATAGTGTTGCTAGCAACATTTATATACAAATACTTGTTTGAACACTTGTTTCTAGTTCTTTTGATTATACACCTAGGACTGGAATTACAGGGTCATATGGTACAACTATGTGTAACTTACTAAGAGACTACCAAACTTTTCCACAGTGCCATATCATTTTTACATTCCCACCACCAGGGGGCAGGATTCCAGGGTCCAAGTTTCTCTACTTCCCTGCCAACACTATTTTTTGTGGTTTTCTTTTTTTTTTTGGATTAAGGCCATCCTAGTGGGTGTGAAGTGCTATCTCATTGTGATTTTGATTTGCATTTCACTAATGATGAATGACATTGAGCTTCTTTACATGTTTGTGCTTGTTGGCCATTTGTATATCTTCTTCGGAGAAGTGTCTATTCAAGTCCCTTTCTCTTTATTTTTTATTTTATTTTTTTGAGACGGAATCTCACTCTGTCACTCAGGCTGGAGCGCAGTGGCACAATCTCGGCTCACTGCAACCTCCACCTCCCGGGTTCAAGCGCTTCTCGTGCCTCAGCCTCCCGAGTAGCTGGGATTACAGTCACACACCACCACACCTGGCTAATTTTTGTATTTTTAGTAGAGATGGGGCTTCGCCATGTTGGCCAGGCTGGTCTGGAACTCGTGACCTCAGGTGATCTGCCTGCCTTGGCCTCTCAAAGTGCTGGGATAACAGGCATGAGCCACTGCGCCCAGCCCCTTTCTCCTTTTTAAATAGGGTTATTTGTCGTCATCTTGTTGTTGTACCGGTAAATGCACTATGTAAGTGTACCAAACATTTAAAGAAGAATTAACACCAGTCCTCAGACTCTTTAAAAATTTCATGTATACTAGACCTTCACAGATCTGTAGACCTTTATCAGATATATCATTTGTGGGTATTTTCTCCTGTTCTCTGGATTGTATTTCCTTTCATAGAGAAGTTTTTTATTTTGATGAAGTTTAGTTTATCTGTTTCTCTTTTGTCGTCTATGCTTTTGATATCATACCCAAAAAGCCATTTCCAAATACAAGACTGATGAAGATTATCCTCATCTCATGTTTTCTTCCGTAAGTTTTATAGTTTTAGCTCTTATAGTTAGATCTTTGGTCCATTTTTAGGTAATTTCTTTTACACAGTGTGTGGTAAGAGTCCAGCCTTTTCCTTTTGATTATCTGATTGTTTCAATACCACTTGTTGAGGACTATTCTTTCCCTGAAGTTCTCGGTACCCTTGGCAAAGATCAGTTGGCTGTAGATATTTAGGTTTATTTCTGGACTCTCAATTACATTATTACATTCTATATGTTGATAATTATGCAGGTACCACACTGTTTTGAACATTGTAGTTTTGTACTGTTTTAAAATTGAGAAGTGTGTCTTCTTTCTCAAGATTATTTTGGCTGCTTTGGTTCCGTTGAATTTTCATATGAACTTCAAGGCTGGCTTTTCCATATCTGCAAAAAAGACCATTGGGATTTTTGCTAGGGATTGAATCTGTAGATTGTTCTGGGGAATAGTGCCATCTTAACAATGTTAACATCCATTCTCTGAATGTGGAATGTCTTTCCATTTATTTCCGTCCTCTTTAATTTCTTTCAGCAATATTTTATTGTTTTACAGTTATCAGGGTAATAATGGCCTCATAGAATGAACTAGGTAGTGTTCCCATATATTCTATTTTTAGAAGAGTTTGAGGATTGGTGTCAATTCTGCTTTAAATGTTTGGTAGAGTTAACCAGCTAAGCTTTTCTTTGTTGAAAGATTTTTTTTTTTTTTTTTTGAGGCGGAGTATCACTCTGTTGCCCAGGCTGGACTGCAGTGGCACGATCTCGGCTCACTACAAGCTCCGCCTCGTAGGTTCACGCCTTTCTCCTGCCTCAGCCTCCCGAGTAGCTGGGACTACAGGCGCCTGCCACCACGCCTGGCTAATTTTTTGTATTTTTAGTAGAGACAGGGTTTCACCATGTTGGCCAGGATGGTCTCGATCTCCTGACCTCGTGATCCACCCGCCTTGGCCTCCCAAAGTGCTGGGATTACAGGCGTGAGCCACCGCTCCCGGCCTGAAAGATTTTTAATTACCGATTCAATCTCTTTACTTGTTATGGGTCTATTCAGATTTTCTATTTCTTCTTGAGTCAGGTTGGGTAATTTATATTTCTAGGAATGTGTCCATTTTATCTAGGCTATTTTATTTGTTGGCATACAGTTGTTCACAGTGTTCTTTTATAATCTTTTTTATTTTTATGTTGCTAGTACTGTCTCCACTTACATTTCTGATGTTAGTTATTTGCATCTTTTCTCTTTTTTTCTTTTTTTTTTTTTTTGAGACGGAGTCTCACTCTGTTGCCAGGCCGGAGTGCAGTGGCACAGTCTCGGCTTACTGCAACCTCCGCCTCGCAGGTTCAAGTGATTCTCCTGCCTCAGCCTCCCAAGTAGCTGGAACTACAGGCGCCCGCCACCATGCCCGGCTAATTTTTTTGTATTTTTAGTGGAGATAGGGTTTCACCATGTTGACCAGGATGGTCTCGATCTCTTGACCTCGTGATCCGCCCACCTCAGCTTCCCAAAGTGCTGGGATTGCAGGCGTGAGCCACCTTGCCTGGCCTCTTTTTTTCTTAATTTGCGGAAAGTTTATCAGATTTTTTGTTCTTGCCAGAAACCAAACTTTTGGTTTTGTAGATTATTTTTCCATTCCCTATTTAATTTATGGCTGCTCTAATCTCTGTCGTTTCCTTCCTTCTGCTTTGTATTTTTTTGTTTTTGTTTTTTTTTTTGTCTTTGTTTTGAGACAGGGTCTTACTTTGTCCCTCAGGCCGAAGTACAGTGGCGCAGTCATGGCTCACTGCAGCCTCAACCTCCTTGGCTCAAGTTATCCACCTGCCTCAACCTCCCAAAGTGCTGGGATTACAGGTGTGAGGCACCACACCTGGCCTAACTTTGGTTTTTATTG
The DNA here is from genome assembly GCF_000001405.40 of Homo sapiens. Lineage (NCBI taxonomy): Eukaryota > Metazoa > Chordata > Mammalia > Primates > Hominidae > Homo > Homo sapiens. The sequence goes on from NC_000016.10 coordinate 32,765,421, forward strand.
TGTTCTTATTTTTTTAGTTCTTCCAGATGTAGAGTTATTGATTTGAGATCATCTTCTGTGAATGCAGACTTCTATAGTATAATTGCCCGTCTTAGCCCTGCTTTTGGCGCAGCACAGAAGTTTTGGTATGTTGTGTTTTCATTCATCTCATAGTATTTTCTAATCTCCCTTGTGATTTCTTCTTTGACCCACTGATTGTTTACCGTGTGTTGTTTAATTTTCATATACTTGTGAATTTTCCACTTTTCCTTTTGTTATTAATTTCTCATCATTTCATTTTGGTTGGAGAAGGTAATTTGTATGATTTTAGTCTGTTTAAATTTGAGACTTTGTGGCCTAACATATGGTCTGGTCAGTCTAAGAGAGTGTTCTGTGGTATACTTGAGAATAATGTTTATTCTGCTCTTTTTGGTGAAATGTTCTGTATATGTCTATTAGATCTGATTGGTTTATGGTGGTGTTCTTTGGCTAAAACTGAGATGCTGCAGGGCCCGTTGTCAAAGTCACAGTGAAAAAGCAAGGTTTTCCCAAGCTCTTTTAATCACATCAGTCTTAGAGTTCAAATTAATCCATTCAAAAATACGTATCAGGCCAGGCTGTAATCCTAGCACTTTGGGAGGCTGAGGCGGGTGGATTGCTTGAGCTCAGGAGTTTGAGACCAACTTGGGCAACATAGCAAAACCCTGTCTCTATAAAAAATATGAAAATTAGCTTGGCATAGTGGTGTGTGCCTGTGGTCCCAGCTACCTGGGAGGCTGAGGTGGGAGGATTGCTTGAGCCAGGGAGGCAGAGGTTGCAGTGAGCGGAGATCAAGCCACTGCACTCCAGCCTGGGCGACAGAGTGAAATCCTGTCTTGGGGGTGGGGGGAATCTTTCTGTCTGTCTGTCTGTCAGTTTGTCTCTCTCTCTCTCTCTCTATATATATATATGTATATAATTATTTTTTAATTTATATATTATATTTATATGTTGTATTATGTTAAATATATATTTTAATATGTGTATTACAGCTGAAAAGAATCATCTAGTAAGAGTTATATCTGATTTCTTGAGGCCTCATTAGCAACCAAAAGTTACATTTAAAAATTACAGAAGCATATCTCCATCGAGAAATGGCCTTTTTATGTTGTCTGCTTTTTCCCCAGAGGTTCCAATAAGTAAAAATCACAGCACAAATCATTAAGTATGGGGACTTGTTCTGTTGATAGTATTCATGTGTTTAAATTTCATCTGGCCCACTGGCTGCAAAAAGCAAGGAAGTTGTGTCTCATGAATATCCGTCTATATTTGCAGCTTGCCCTGATCAGGGTATCCTTCTTATCATTTAAGAAATTATAAGCATATAATATTTTATACCAGCTTAATGTGTACATCCACATGTAACAGCCACAAAACATAAAGCTATGTAAAATAAAAAATTTCCCCCAGTTTTGGTTGCAAATTTATTCAAGCCCTTAGCAATAAATTCAGTCTTTACAGAGTTAACAGTATAGCTGCCCAGGGGATCCTGGGAGATCCACCTGGAATGCAACTCCTGTCCCTTCCTTGGGGCCCCTTCCTGGGAGCCCTAAAGTAGCGGCTAGGCTAAAGGAAAGGCTGTTTCCCCCGCTAGTTTATCTAAAGTTTTGCTCCAGCCCTGGGGATTGAATATCCTTTTTTGTTCTCTTGGAAGAGAGAGAAACACAAACTTTTTACATTTTTTGGCTCACCCAAGCCCACCTTTGGGACCGTTTGGATCTTTTTCCCTCCCACCTGGAGGAGAAAACTAAAATCAAGGGAGTTACCAGAACCGCACTCCTACCCGCTCTCAGTTTAGCAAGTGAGAAAAGGGGGGTTAAAAATCTAGCCTACTCTCCTAGGGTTAGCTCTCCTATTTTCAAATCCATTGGTAAGTTTTACTTCTCTCAGGTGACAGCAGCTCAGCTTCTGTTTCATGCTATGGATGACTCTGTAGCCACCCAGGGCACCAATTGTCAGGGGTCTCCAGGTTTGATGGTTGGCCAGGAGGACTCACAAGACTCAGCATGTAGTTGTACTCAGGGCTATAGTTTATTACAGTGAAGGGACACAGAGCAAAATCATGAAAAAGGACGTGTGTAAAGTCCAGAGGAAAGCAGGTACAAGCTTCCACAGGATCCACACAGGACGAGCATAACTGCCCCGGCACCGAGCCATGTCAAGTGCTGTCTGCCGGGAAGCTGGGTAGAGACTCCAGGCCCAGGGTTTCCATCAGGGCTGACCACATGGGCACCCCGTGCCTGGTGCATACCAAGTTCCAGAACAAGGAAAGCAGGTTTCAGCACAGACCATGTTGTTTGTACAGTCAATTCAGGCACAGCGAACCACAACTACCACCTAGGGAATTGGGGAGCCCTCCTGAAATCCAGACTCCAGCCGAGGGCTAGCCTGCAGCAATCCTGTCTGAGGTTGTATCTCGGGCCAGCTGTTAGCTGTCTTCTGCACAGAACCATGATTAAAGTTTGTCAGTTTCCCACTGTTAGATATTTAGGTAGTTATCTTTGTTTTTCTATTAATAAAAAATGTGATGATTATCTTTCTAACTCAGTTATTTTGCTTTTTACAGGGGAGTAATTCCTAGAAGTAGAGAAAGTAGCTTTACTGAGCATTTTAATATCTTTTATATCTTCCTAGGATATTTATGTATTTTGTCCTTCCGTTTATCTTCTTTTTATCGTATATCAGTAAAATATTCATAGTATTATATTGATAAACATATAGTATGGATTCTTCAAAACATTATGATCTTCATTAGTATTTTTTAAATGTTTTGTGTGTATTAAAGGGACATTGTAGCTACTTGTTGGCTCAGCTATTGTTTTTGATGCTCTGTCAGGCCCCAGTTGTGACAATGTTGAGGAAGATATGAATGCTTCTGCTCAAGGTGCTTCTGCCACAGTTTTGGAAGCAACAAGGAAGGAAACGGCTCCTGTGCATCTCCCTGTTTCAGGGCCAGAACTGGCTGCCACGATGAAGATTGGAACGAGGGTCATGAGAGGTGTGGACTGGAAATGGGGCGATCAGGTACTCAGAGATTTGATGTGAACACATTAGCCACACATTAGTTATCTTCTGCACAGGTCTGTACGATATTGGTGGGTGGAAATTGGAATAATCCAGGATGTGTCGGTTGATAGATGACACAGGTGTTGGTTCCCGAGCTGCTGAAGGGAGTGAACACAAATAGGGAATCATAAGTAGGGCATCTGAGCAGAATCAAGTCTGGAAAGAGAGGCAGCTCTTTTCAGGAAACTCACTGGCATGAGGCTCAGTTTGATGGGTCACTGGAACAAGAGTGAGAGTGAGCAAGAGAGTAAATCTCATTCTGAAAGTTGGTGTAGTGAAGGCTCTGAGGCAGGAAGCCCAGATTCTGCCCCTGTGAGCTGATGGCCACGTGCTGCGAAGTGCCCTGAACCCAGTAGTTAGGGATATACTTCATGGGCCTGTGGCCATGTCTCCATTTTCCCTCATCGCAGGTGTCTTCTAAATCGCTGCCAGGTGCCCCCAGGTGGAAGTCACTTACCACAGCCCTAGCTAAGTTAGGGCAGCGTTCACCTTCCCATGGTCTGTCTAGCTTTTCTCAGCCACGCTAGTAAGCCCCGGCTTTGTCACAGTCATCTTAGAAATAGCAGTGTCTGGAGACAGCAGCATCCATCCTAGAAACAGCTTTCTCCTACAGAAGTGAGAGACAGAGCTTCCCCCTGGGGCCCGGAGGAAACTGAAGAAAAGGGAATGTGCAGGTGCTGGTACTTGTTTCAGGTTTCTGCTCTTGCAAGGCCGGTGAGGGATTGAGGGGTCAGGACTTGCTGCAAAGCCCTGTCTGTGCATTAACTCAGAGGATCCTCATTGAGATGAGATTTCCCCTACTTCCTTGGTAAAGCAGCATGAGCACGTTATTTTATGCCATTTAATTTAAAATGATGCAAGCACACATTTTGTAGGAGAGGTGAAATCTGTGTCTGGGGACAGCCCCTGACAGACAGGGTGGCATATGGCGACATCTGTGTGGCAGGTCTGGTGTGAGCCATGGAAGGACCAGGACAGAGCACGCACCCTCCTAACTGAGGTCTGGTGGGAGCCATGGAAGGACCAGGGCAGGGCACGCACCCTCCTAACTGAGGTCTGCTGGGAGCCATGGAAGGACCAGGGCAGGGCACGCACCCGCCTAACTGAGGTCTGCTGGGAGCCATGGAAGGACCAGGGCAAGGCACGCACCCTCCTAACTGATCTCTACTTGGGCTTTGTCAGGATGGGCCTCCTCCAGGCCTAGGCCAAGTGATTGGTGAGCTGGGAGAGGACGGGTGGATAAGAGTCCAGTGGGGCACGGGCAGCACCAACTCCTACAGGATGGGGAAAGAAGGAAAATACGACCTCAAGCTGGCAGAGCTGCCGGCCGCTGCACAGCCCTCAGCAGAGGATTTGGACACAGAGGACGACTCTGGTGGGTGACTCAGGAAGGCCTTTAGTCCAAGACAGCCCACAAACTGTCCAGGTGCTGGCTGCCACCACTGCCATCTGGGCCTTAGAATGGGATGTCAGGACGCACCTGCAGCTGGCACTCTGTCCTCGGAACCTGCCATTTAAATAAGCTCCCAGGCACCTCCGATGCAGGTGCATGGAGTGGCTGTGGGATCCGGCGATCTGTCTGGAACTGACTTTCTGCATTTTCCTCTCACGTGTGCACCTGCCCCTCTTTGAGAATGTGGTGGCCAGGTCGGGGCAGCTGCACCACCAGTGAGTCTCATGTGGTTGGTGCTGAGCCTGCATCTGAGCGAGTGAGCCGAGGCCTGGTGGAATTGCCCTGCGGTCTCGGTCCATTGCCTCCTCCTCCAGTGAGAGCCCCCGCCTGAGCACACCCAACCTGCCACCTGTCTTTACCTTTCCTCTGCGGTCCCTGACTCTGAACTCTTCAAGTAATGTGGAGTTAGTCAGCACTTTATTGCTTCTAGGGAAGCAGAGGTGAGAATTTAGGGGTGGACCAAGAAAGCTAGATCCTATCTGTGGAGATCCAGGTTGTGGGAGGAGGTTTCATGACATTTCTTAGCTGTTCCTAAAAGACATGCGAAGCTTCACATGGCTGGGCTTGGTAAGACCATCCAAGAGGCTGGGGCTGCCAATATAATTTGTTATTTTGATTATTTTTTTTAGAAGCTGAACAAACTGAAAGGAACATTCACCCCACTACAATGATGTTTACCAGCACTATTAACTTACTGCAGACTCTTTGTCTGCCTGCCAGAGTTCATGCTGAGATCATGCAGAGCGAAGCCACCAAGACTTTATGCGGACTGCTGCAAATATTAGTGGAAAGCGGAACGACGGACAAGACACGCATGGAATGAGAGATTGAGGGCCCAGGGAGTCAGCGCTGGGGGCCGCACGCTTGTCGTGTCCGGGTGTGCATGTGGGTGGGTGTGGATGTGTGTGGATTCATTTCCTGTGGCTGCTGTAACAAAGTACTACAAACTTGGGGGCTTACGCAGTAGAAATTCTCATGATTCTGGTGGTTGGAAGACTGAGATCAAGGGTGGTTCCTTCTGGGGCTGTGAGGGAGAAGCTGCTTCAGGGCTCTGCCCCAGCTTCTGGAGTTTGCTGGCCTCTTTAGCGTTCCTCGGCTTGTAGAGGGGTCACCCTGATCTCTGCCATCATCTTCACATGGCATTCTCCCTGTGTGTGAGTCACCTCCAAATCTCCCCTTTTCATAAGGACATCATTCAACCTCATCAAACTGATTACATCTGCAGCGGCCCTATTTCCAAACAAGGTCACCTGCCGAGGTATGGTAGGGGTTAGGGCTTCAACATACAAATTTTGCAATTCTGAATTCAACCCATAACACTGGCTTCAAACAACAAATTTGTTCTCTCAGAGTTCTGGAGACCAGAAGTCCCAAATCCAGGTGCGGGCAGGGCCATGCTCCCTCCACAGGCTCTAGGGGAAGGTCCTTCCTTACCTTATCCAGCTTCTGGGAGCTCCAGGCTTCCCTGGTGTGGGGACGCATTGTGCCAGTCTCAGAGGCCTGCATCTTCACATGGCCCCTGCCCCTGTGTTCTGCATGTCTTTTTCTGTCTCTGAAAGGACTCTTTCATTGAGCTTCTTTGACTCTAATCCAACATGATGTCACCTAAATTCTTACCTTAAGGACGTCTACAGAGACCTCATTAAATAAGATCATATTCTGAGTTCCGAATGTATGTGAAGTTGGGGGACAGGCACAGTTTAATCCATAAAGTGTTTGTGTGTGTGGAGAGTAAGTATGAGAAATGTGAGCTGAGGGAGTGGGGTGAGTGTGCATGCGACTGAGAGTGAGCACATGTGAGTGTGGGTGGGTATGTGGGTGTGCTCCAGTGTGTGTGAGAACATGCATGTATTAGTGGTGTGCTGGAGCATCTGCACATATTGGTGAGAGTGTGTTAGCGGTTGATGGGCAAGTGGCTGAGCGTTTGTGTTGCAAGTGTGACAGTGTGTTTGTAGCATGTGGTTGTGTGGGTGTATGTATGCATGCATTTATGTGAGTGGTGTGTATGTCCGTGACAGCATGTGAGTGGGCAGGTGACTACAGTCAGGTGAAGTGGGAGTGAAAGCGTCAGTGCATTGAGCCAGTGTGTGTGTGAGGGTGAGCACGAGGGAGGCATGAGTGTGAGTGTGAGGGGATTACTGGGTGTGCCAATGAGATGAAGTGTAAGTCAGTGAGGCTTGATGAGTGTGAGGAAGTATGGGTGGCAGCACAAGTGTAAGTGTGCGATTGTGAGCATTTGTGTAAATGTGTATGAGTGCCTTGAATCAGTGTGAGCACGAGTGACGTTATTGTGAAGGCGTGTGAGCGAATGTGAGCATTTTGCTTGTGTCAGTGGGAGGTAACAGTGTAGGTGTGAGTGTAAAGTGAGAAAGTGGGTGTAGGTGTGAGTGTAAAGTGAGAAAGTGGGTAAAGGTGTGAGTGGGTGAGGAATCGGTTGTGACTAGTGTTGAGTGTGAGTGCATATGTGAGTTTTTGTATGCAGTGGGAGGGGTAAGTGTATGTGAGAGTGCATAGGAGTGTGTGTCAGATTGCATCTTAGGTTGTGTGTGCATACGTGTGACTGGGATTGTGTGTGTGTTAGTGATTGCGACGGTGTGAGTGCACCTGTGTGAGGGTGGGTGTGTGAGTGCCCATGAGTGTGTCTGAATAACTTAGTATGGGTGTGGGTGTGAGGATGCATGTGAGGGTGTGAGAGTGTGTGTGTGTGAGCGCATGTGAGTATGCTGAAGGAAGGCAGGTGTCCTCAAAAGCTTGGATAGCTGAGGGCGGGGGAGGTGGGCGGGGGGGAGGTGGGAGGCGAGAGCAGGTCCTGTGGGGCTGTGGGCGGGGTCCCTTAGGGGGGCCCAGCCTCCAAGCCTCAGCCTCCATTCAGGGAGTAATGGAGTCCTGGAGCCAGGCGGAGCAGAGGTGGGCCCACTGGTGCCAGAATCCAATGGTGTAAACCTAGTGAAAAACTCATTTTGTTAATGCAGATGTATTAAACTTGGATTGGAAACTGTCTCTACTAAAAATGCAAAAAAAGTATTTAAGTGGTGCAGATTAAATATAAGCAAGATTGTGGAGATATTTAAAACACAAAATTAAAAATGCAGTTGCAAATTACTGCTATTTGAATTATAGATCATTTTCTTATTGCCTAGAAACAATACATAGCTAAAATTCCCTAACTACTTTTACTACACATACTTAGAAGGTTTTAAAAATACCTGTAGTCTCAGCTATTCAGCAGGGCAAGGCAGGAGAATCACTTGAAGGAGTTTTAGACCAGCCTGGGCAACGTAGTGAGGGCAGGGCCCATCTCTTAAAAAAAAAAAAAAAAAAATGCGGAAATGTTTCTTGAACTACCTTAAAAGCCTTCTTGCACTTCTCACTTTGAATTAGTTTGAATTAATTTACAAACTGCAATATATTTTAAAGGAGCTTATTGTAGAAAATAAAATAAGTTGATAAAAAAATAAGGATTTATCTTTAGGGATTTGTCTTTAGGGACTTGTTACCAAGCATGTCTATTTTCCCTTCCGCAGCTTCTCCAAACAGGCTGGTGTACAGGGAGCAACACCGGAGCTGGTGCATGCTGGGGTTTGTGCGGAGCATCGCTCTCACGCCGCAGGTGTGCAGCGCCCTCAGCTCCCCGCAGTGGATCACGCTGCTCATGAAGGTCATGAAAGGGCACACACCCTTCACTGCCGCCTCGCTGCAGAGGCAGGTAACGTGCTGCCAGGCAAAACCAGTTCCCTGAGAGAGGCATCCATGTACTGAAGTTCCCTGCCCTTAGAGTCGGGCCTTTATTCAGTAAGGAGTGCAGAAAGGGTCTAGAAGTAACAGGGTAGATTTTCTGGAGGCAAGGGGCAGTGGTCCTTGATAATTGGTAAGTTGCTAACCTTTAGTTTACCTGCTTTTAAGTGGTAAATCCTGCAACTACTTGCTCATCTGCTTCACAGAATTTGTAGCATAATTGTCTTAAGAATTAAACTAAAAATAATTCTTTTTTAATTAAACACATGCATCTGTAATGTTGCTTTTTTCTAAAGTCCCTGACAATCCTAATCACTAATCAACTTGAGTGTAATTACCTGGCTGTAAAATAACGAATCTCAAAATTTTCACATGATTATTTGCATTATGAGAACAGAAAATAAAGAGAGGCTGGGCGCAGTGGCTCATGCCTGTAATCCCAGCACTTTGGGAGGCCGAGGCAGGTGGATCATGAGGTCAGGAGTTTGAAACCAGCCTGGCCAACATAGTGAAATCCTGTCTCTACTAAAAATCCAAGAAAAATGAGCCGGGCTTGGTGGTGGGTGCCTGTAATCCCAGCTACTCAGGAAGCTAAGGCAAGGAGAATCGCTTGAACCTGGGAGGTGGAGGTTGTAGTGAGCCGAGACCGTGCCACTGCACTCCAGCCCGGGTGACAGTGTGAGACTCTGTCTCAAAAAAAAAAAAAAAAAAAAAAGAAAGAAAGAAAAGAGAAAGTAACAGTCTGTAGTTTCTTAATCAGATTTTTAATGCTTGTCATTTTAAATTTTCTTTTATCAGATCTTAGCTGTGCATTTGTTGCAAGCAGTCCTTCCGTCATGGGACAAGACCAAAAGGGCGAGGGACATGAAATGCCCGGTGGAGAAGCTGTTTGACTTCTTGGGGAGCTTGCTCAGTACCTGCTCCTCTGACGTGCCATTACTCAGAGGTGGGTGGCCGTCTCCCTTCCCCATGCCCTGGTGAAGAGCGGCACAGTGCCATCACTCAGAGGTGGGTGGCTGTCTCCCTTCCTTGTGCCCTGGTGAATTGTGGCACAGTGCCATCACTCAGAGGTCGGTGGCCGTCTCCCTTCCCTGTGTCCTGGTGAAGAGCAGTGCAGCAGCTTCTCCCCTTGTTTCCTCCTCAGAGTCCATGCCGAGGTGGCGCAGGGTGCGCCCGCAGGCCTTGCTGACTGCCACCCATAGCAGCACACTGGTGGAGGTGGTGGTGGCACTGCTGTGCACGCTGCACTCCCTGACTCAGTGGAATGGGCTCATCAACAAGTACATCAACTCCCAGCTCCGCTCCATCACCCACAGCTTTGTGGGAAGGCCTTCTGAAGGGGTGAGTTTGTGTTCTCAGAATTAATTTAGTTGAACAGTAAACTTGTAGGGATTGGGCAGCTCCGTGAGTGTCCCTGGTCGAGCTCACTGTTTGGTCTGCACTAGGCCCAGTTAGAGGACTACTTCCCCGACTCCGAGAACCCTGAAGTGGGGGGCCTCATGGCGGTCCTGGCTGTGATTGGAGGCATCGATGGTCGCCTGTGCCTGGGCGGCCAAATTGTGCACGATGAGTTTGGAGAAGACACCGTGACTGGCATCACCCCGAAGGGCAAAATCACCGTGCAGTTCTCTGACATGCGGACGTGTCACATTTGCCCATTGAATCAGCTGAAACCAGTAGGTGAACTTGTGCTCAGTTACTGTATGATAAGGGAAATTGGCTTTACACTAGGACCCAGCACCAACATTAGCACTTGAAAGAACTTGATTCTGGTACTTCAAGTTTGCCTTCTAGGAAGCTGTGTGAGCTTGCGCTTCTGTGGTGAGCAGGGCCTGTCTCACAGGGCACCTAAAGCAGTGGTTCCTGTGTTTTTCAGCCTCAGAGACATGAAGAGGGCTTTAGCAACCTAGAAGGTACCGTGCGTCTATGAGGTAGTTCTAATTATTTTAAAATGTGAATTTATGAAGTTTACTTTTTATTGAACAACTCAAGTATTAAAAAAACTTTTTTTTTAAGTTTTTTTTTTTCTTTTATTATTATACTTTAAGTTTTAGGGTAAATGTGCACATTGTGCAGGTTAGTTACATATGTATACATGTGCCATGCTGGTGCGCTGCACCCACTAACTTGTCATCTAGCATTAGGTATATCTCCCAGTGCTATCCCTCCCCACTCCCCCCACCCCACAACAGTCCCCAGAGTGTGATGTACCCCTTCCTGTGTCCATGTGATCTCATTGTTCAATTCCCACCTATGAGTGAGAATATGCGGCGTTTGGTTTTTTGTTCTTGCGATAGTTTACTGAGAATGATGATTTCCAATTTCATCCATGTCCCTACAAAGGACATGAACTCATCGTTTTTTATGGCTGCATAGTATTCCATGGTGTATATGTGCCACATTTTCTTAATCCAGTCTATCATTGTTGGACATTTGGGTTGGTTCCAAGTCTTTGCTATTGTGAATAATGCCGCAATAAACATACGTGTGCATGTGTCTTTATAGCAGCATGATTTATAGTCCTTTGGGTATATACCCAGTAATGGGATGGCTGGGTCAAATGGTATTTCTAGTTCTAGATCCCTGAGGAATCGCCACACTGACTTCCACAATGGTTGAACTAGTTTACAGTCCCACCAACAGTGTAAAAGTGTTGCTATTTCTCCACATCCTCTCCAGCACCTGTTGTTTCCTGACTTTTTAATGATTGCCATTCTAACTGGTGTGAGATGGTATCTCATTGTGGTTTTGATTTGCATTTCTGTGATGGCCAGTGATGGTGAGCATTTTTTCATGTGTGTTTTGGCTGCATAAATGTCTTCTTTTGAGAAGTGTCTGTTCATGTCCTTTGCCCACTTTTTGATGGGGTTGTTTGTTTTTTTCTTGTACATTTGTTTGAGTTCATTGTAGATTCTGGATATTAGCCCTTTGTCAGATGAGTAGGTTGTGAAAATTTTCTCCCATTTTGTAGGTTGCCTGTTCACTCTGATGGTAGTTTCTTTTGCTGTGCAGAAGCTCTTTAGTTTAATTAGATCCCATTTGTCAATTTTGTCTTTTGTTGCCATTGCTTTTGGTGTTTTAGACATGAAGTCCTTGCCCATGCCTATGTCCTGAATGGTAATGCCTAGGTTTTCTTCTAGGGTTTTTATGGTTTTAGGTCTAACATTTAAGTCTTTAATCCATCTTGAATTGATTTCTGTATAAGGTGTAAGGAAGGGATCCAGTTTCAGCTTTCTACATATGGCTAGCCAATTTTCCCACCACCATCTATTAAATAGGGAATCCTTTCCCCATTGCTTGTTTTTCTCAGGTTTGTCAAAGATCAGATAGTTGTAGATATGCAGCGTTATTTCTGAGGGCTCTGTTCTGTTCCATTGATCTATATCTCTGTTTTGGTACCAGTACCATGCTGTTTTGGTTACTGTAGCCTTGTAGTATAGTTTGAAGTCAGGTAGTGTGATGCCTCCAGCTTTGTTCTTTTGGCTTAGGATTGACTTGGTGATGCGGGCTCTTTTTTGGTTCCATATGAACTTTAAAGTAGTTTTTTCCAATTCTGTGAAGAAAGGCATTGGTAGCTTGATGGGGATGGCATTGAATCTGTAAATTACCTTGGGCAGTATGGCCATTTTCACGATACTGATTCTTCCTACCCATGAGCAGGGAATGTTCTTCCATTTGTTTGCATCCTCTTTTATTTCCTTGAGCAGTGGTTTGTAGTTCTCCTTGAAGAGGTCCTTCACATCCCTTGTAAGTTGGATTCCTAGGTATTTTATTCTCTTAGAAGCGATTGTGAGTGGGAGTTCACTCATGATTTGGCTCTCTGTTTGTCTGTTGTTGGTGTATAAGAATGCTTGTGATTTTTGTACATTGATTTTGTATCCTGAGACTTTGCTGAAGTTGCTTACCAGCTTAAGGAGATTTTGGGCTGAGACAATGGGGTTTTCTAGATATACAATCATGTCATCTGCAAAGAGGGACAATTTGACTTCCTCTTTTCCTAATTGATTACCCTTTATTTCCTTCTCCTGCCTAATTGCCCTGGCCAGAACTTCCAACACTTTGTTGAATAGGAGTGGTGAGAGAGGGCATCCCTGTCTTGTGCCAGTTTTCAAAGGGAATGCTTCCAGTTTTTGCCCATTCAGTGTGATATTGGCTGTGGGTTTGTCATAGATAGCTCTTATTATTTTGAAATACGTCCCATCAATACCTAATTTATTGAGAGTTTTTAGCATGAAGGGTTGTTGAATTTTGTCAAAGGCCTTTTCTGCATCTATTGAGATAATCATGTGGTTTTTGTCTTTGGCTCTGTTTATATGCTGGATTACATTTATTGATTTGTGTAGCGATTGCACCACTGCACTCCAGCCTAGGCAACAAAGGAAGACCCCATCTCAAAAAATATATATAATAAAAATAAAAATCAACTCTCATTGATTTCTATGTAAATATGCACAGGTGATGTCCATATAGACATAAAAAATAATATTTCTGACAGTGGGTCCATATGATCTTCAAAATGTAAAATGCCTGTCTGTGTAATTGACTGGTTAGACTCATTAATGAATATAGATTCAATTCTACTTTCTTGTTGTAGATAAATTATATAATCTAGCTTTTCATTTCACTTTTTTACTGATAACAACAGGAAGAATGACAAGATCTGTATTTTGGAAAATTACTCTGGTAGGAGTAAAGATGAAACAATGATAGAATTGCACGGACAACTAGAAAAAAGTATGGTCTTCTGATATTCTATCACATCACATACTAAAGGCCTCATAAAACTCAGATATTTTATCTAAAAATGTTATTTTCATCATAGGAATGATAAAAGCATGAGAGTACAGTTGTATTAAAATGTGCTTGTATCACAAGCACAGGTGCTAAAAAGGAGGGGAAAACATCCTTACTGATATTTTCAATGTATGTTTTACTTTTCATCAACATGAACCTCAACTTGATATGATGCAGATTGAAGGAAATCACCCATAATTCCATATGAAAAAGGCCTGTGATATTTTATGGGAAAATAAATAGAGAAAATGCTAACGGAAACTCTGTTAAGCATGAAGCTTTATGGAGCAAACACAAATCCAGTGGTGAAAGATACACACTCGAGTTCTGTTTGTTGTCTTGGAACAATACGGTTTAGAGGTGACTGGCGGGTGAGGAGAACATATGCGAGTTCACCAAAGAGAAAAGCTGAATGAGGCAATGCCTCTTCCTGACCATATCTCTTACTCAGATAACTATAGAATTTATTGTCCAGTAAAGGGTATATTAAAAAATCATATTAAAAGTCATGCAGTGAAGTTGTCCAGGGAAATCAAGACTTAACAGTCTCACTCTGACAATAATGAACAGGGGGATTCCCTCAAGATAGACTAGGACATGACCCCACACTGGCAGGTAGTAGTACGAGAAAAGAACGCATGGAAAATCTTTACCTTATGCTTGAGGTAGGGACCAGGCTAAAGTGAAAGCCAGACCTAAAATTCTATCTAAAATAAATCCACAATTGAAGAAAATATGTGGTGTACAGGCATAGAATGTCTTTACTGGATCATTAAAATAGTAAGATAAATTGAACTTTTTACATTGTTTTCTTTTCCTCCAGTTAGGGCTTGAGGTTTGTCTCTGGAGAGTGACTGTCAATTGGAGCCCTGCCTTTCTGGGGTTCTGGTCAGGGGGTTGTGGATGCTTAACATGTGCCTTTCACAGGACACTTCCTTACCCCAGCAGTGGCCAGGTGTGCATCCCACGGCCAGGCCTCCCTCTCACAGAACATCTGTTGAGACTAGGAGATGCCTAGTGACTGTTGCCTGACTTGTGTCCTGTGTATTTCTGACAAGAGGCACTCTCAGAGACCCTGGCCAGGAGGAGAGTTAGGTTCCAGTGTAGGTCAGCTCAGACACATGGAGGCCACAGAACCAAACATGGGAAATCACAGAAGTAGGTTTATTACTCACAGATCCAGAGAGAAGAGGGTAGCTGAGAAGAGGGTTTAGCTGTGTCCCCAGCCAAATCTCATCTTGATTTCCCACATGTTGTGGGAGGGAACAGGTGGGAGGTAATTGAATCACGGGGGCAGGTCTTTCCCATGCTGTTCTTCTGATAGTGAATAAGTCTCACAAGATCTGATGGTTTTATAAAGGGGTGTTTCCCTGCACAATCTCTCTTGTCTTGTCTGCTGCCATGTGAGATGTGCCTTTCAGCTTGCGGCATGATTGTGAGGCCTACCCAGCCATGTGGAATCGTGCATCTATTAAACCTCTTTCTTCTGGAAATTACCCAGTCTTGGGCATGTCTTTACCGGCAGTGTGAAAATGGACTGATACAGTAGCACACCTCATAGGGCTGAACAAAATGGGGAAGATGAGTGGGGAGCAGGAGACAGAAAAGGGGTCTGTGGGACTCCAGCCATTATTTGGTCCAGAACATTACCCAAATAAGTTTTCCACGGGGTACTAGTCAGTGGGGTGAGTGCCAGCAGGCACATTTCTTGACTCCCGCTGCAACCGAGCTGGTTACTGTGGCATGTGGGTGCTGTCCATGTGTGCTGTGAAGTCTGTGGGGTGAGTCAGGTAGGTTGTATCCAACGATTCCATAGCTGGTAGTCACCACGAGGAGACAACTGTGTAGGGTCAATATCTGGGCCAACCACACTGAGGAACTGTGAAGGTTAGAACTGGAAATTGTCAAGAGAATCCGAACCCAGCTACCATATGAGAGAGTTCAACTTATGTTCAATGTGAATGCCATGGCAATATTAAAAGGTAAGAATTCGATCCATATGTGCTTGAGGTAAAGAGGAGAAACCTAGAATTTACGTAAACAGTGAGAAGATTGGATGCGTTTTCCGTCTCATATTTTAATACTAGCAGCTTATTATATATGTCAATCCATCAGGCATTCAGAAATACATGCTTATGAAAATTTTTTGCACCATCAGACAAAAGACAAGTGTAGAAGACATTTGTAACCCTATAAACACTAGTAAATTAAAAACAGAAGGACCTTTATGTCCTAACATATCTGTGTTGTGAAAGGCTGCCCTGTGAAATACGGGATTTCTTAAACATATTTTAAAAATCATAGGTGTCAATATTTTTTAGAAATCCATTTAAATTTTCTCTTGTTATTTTACAATGCCTATTTATTTATATAGTGGCTCTGCTGATTTTGATGTATATCCTAAAGTTTATATTTTCTTTAAAAGATGTTTTATACAACTTTATGTAAAATGTTTCAGTATCTTCACATTCTCTCCCTGTCCTTTTGTTTTGCTCTTATATGGTGGTCTTGAGTCTTTTCTCTGGCTTTTCAAACCTAGTAAGACTAAGACACTAAAGTAACTTTGCCCGAGGTTTGGTAATGCCTTCTAAAGCACATCCTAAGCTCTCGTGCATACAGGGGCTTCCTTTGAGCTCTGTGCTTTTGAGATCCCATACACCTAAATTCCAGTACTCCAAATCAGTACTGCTCAGTTTTAGTGACTAAGTTTAAAAATGTATTTTAATAGCAAGTTAGTTTAGTGCCCTCTTGCTTCTTTCTCGACTGCTTGTATACATGTATATTCCTTTAAATGAATCTTGGAATTTATTTAGAAATATTAAATTATACTAATGAAACTGTATATTGTTGTGAATTCATAAGTGAATTTGGAAAGAATTTGTCTTTATGATACTAAATCCTTTTTATTCAAGAATCATATGTGTCTTTATATTTATTCCAGTCTACATTTATATCACTGAGTAAATATATAGAAATGTGGATACATACAGCTGTAGTTACAGATACAAATATAGATATAACCTGTTAAATCTATATCTATCCCATATAACATATATACATGTAATATGTGTGTGTTTATATATATATGTTTATGTCATTAAAGAGCTCCCTTAATATTTTTCTTTTATTTCCCTTATAATTTGAGGTTGAGCTTGAATTTTCCTTGTATAAACAAGCAAATATTTATACTAGTTTTAATACTGATGTTTAGACATTGTATCTTATTTTAGCGCTGAAGATTTTCACAATTATTATAAATATTATCTAATACTAATAATGTACCTGTTAAAAATATTTAAAATTTTACCTTTGAATTATTTTATTGTTGAATTAAAATTCCTTTAATATGATAGTAAATTCTATTTTATGCTTTCTCTATGCATATGCAAATTAATCTATCCACTTCTCTATCTCTATGTAGTAACATATGAAAATCAGGCCTCTCTTCTTCTAATGGACATACACGTTTGCATATAGAATATCAGACTCTTTGTAGCATTTAAAATCTTTAAAGACATGAATATTGCCTTTTAACAAATATATTTTAGCAAGTACTGAGAATCGCCTATTTATTTTTAATTTGGGCTAATCAATATGATTATTAATATTACTGGCTTACCAAATTTGGAAACACACTTTCATCCCAAATGTGGATATTTGGTTTTTTTTTTTGCCAATTTCTTGTCTTACTGTTTCAAATATTGTTGGATATTATTTGTATTTTATTTGGCATTTTAGTATCAACATTTGTAATTGAGGTACTCTACATATTTTTTCATCAATATCTGGTGGGTTTCATAGTTACTGCTATATTGGATTTGTAGTAGACATTGACAAAAATTATTCCTGTATGTTTTACAGCTGTATGAAGGAAACTAATATATTTTACCCCTAAATATATTTCCTTGATATATTTCAAAATGGCTATTGAGAAGGGCTGCAAATGCAATGTTAGCTGCAAAGCTGTCTTGGGGAGATTTGCATCGGTAGAGAATCTGCCATGATGCAGCCAGGTTTTCTCTGAGGTCTGCCCCCTTGTCTGGATCTAGGAAAGTTTAACTGAGAGGCTGAGGTCTCTAAAGGTCTGAAAGAAACATTTTCTGTCTATTCTCTCTGAGGACTACTCCCAGTGAGGTTCCACCAATGTAATAAGTCCACTGTTGCTAGCCAGGGTCGTTTTCTCACATAACCTTTTTCTTTCTTTTCCCTGTGATCCAAGACCCCATTTTTCTGTAAACTTCATGTGGTAGATAAGCTTCTGCTCGCATCGTGTGACTGGGTCTTCGTTCTAAGGGTTCCAGTGTACACACATTGCAGAAACCTGTATGCCTTTTCTACTATTTATCTGCCTCCTATTCGTGATTTTCAGGGAAACTTCAGAAGGCAAAAGCGACATTCTCTTTAGCCCATTCTCAGACAAATTCCCCCAACATTTAACTGATTCCTAATAGCTTAAAATCACATTGAAAAAATCCATGTATTTATATCCTTTTCTTCCCTCAATGATTTCTGGTCAGCTTGGGTTTTGTTTTTCATTCCATTTACCTCATCCTCGAAAAGATGTATCTTACGTCTATTTATTCTCATTTATGGACATTGAGAAAAGAAAATAACTTTCATGTGAGAAATGCAAGTCCTTTTATATAATCAGGCCCAGAGAGTTATTCAAATGAGACAGCAGTTCTGTCCTGCTCCTCTTTGAGCTGTGTGTTCATCTAGGCTGCTTGCTGTTGCCACAGTAGCTATAAATTAACCAATAACGCCACACCAGACACTATAATCCACACCCCAAAATAGTGTAACAGTGTATAGCCAGTCACTAATAAATGTTATTTCCATAAGCCAATGAGAATTTGTGACAAACCTCTTTGCATCATCCCACTTCTGGACCCTTTTTTGCCTTTAAGAAACTGCTTGTTGCAAAGCTCCAAAGGGAGTTCATATCCAAGGATACTTGGGTCTGTTTCTTCCAGGCAGCTGTCCTCATTGTGGCTCAAGTAAACTCTTTGAATTATGTTTTGTGCTTCAGCCCCTTCCACTTAGATTAACAACATGGATTTGTGTCACCATGTACAGCAATTAAAATGTTTACACTTTTCCCCTCGAGGGCACTGATGTGTTTTCCTGCGCACTTGGAATAGCTACGTAGTGTTTCCTGTCTAGATTATGGTTTCTCAATCTTGGTGCTACTTACCTTTAGGACCAGAGGATTCTTTGTTGTGGGAGGCTGCCCTAGCAATGTTAGGTGTTTCGTTTGACCTCTAAATTTCACACCTCCACCAGTCTTGACATCCCCACAATAACCCTAGACATTGACAAATGTCTCCTGGGGAAAACTCTCTACCAGTTGACAGGCAAAGTTCTGGAAATATTGGAATTGTCAATTGAGATTTTATGTTATCCAAAACAAATATTTTTCTTTGTTTTTAAACATCTACTTCCATCTACTTATCTACTTATTTTTACTTTTATTTATAACTTAATTCCATCAAGGAGAGAGAGTGCATTTTCTGTTATGCTAAATTTTTGAAGAATGTATTGATTTTTTATGACCTGATATATGGATGATATGTAGATATTACATGTTTGTATTATCAAATTTCATGGTGATAATAAAATAAATACTTATAATATTTATATTGTCACTGTATATTAGTTATTTTTTTTCTTCACTACAGGAGGTTTTCAACCTATAGGCTATTTTTCAATTCTAGGTTATCCAGTAGATTTTGAAATGTTATGATTAAATATCTACTTCTCAAGCATTCATCTTTGCAAATGAAACAATCCCAAGCTCTTATAATACACATCTTATAAAGGGCAGATTAGTCAATATATGGTTCAGAAATAATTATGTAATATTTATAAGAAAATTAAAAATTTAGATCTTTAACTCACATAATAATCCAAATTAAAATGTGATTTCATTACATAATTTAAAATGACACCAGAATACTAGTAAAAATTATATTAAAAAGTTTATGTAATCTTTTTTAGCTGTAGGACTTTATTAGCATAAATTCAAATACAGGAACCAAAGTAGGATTGAGACCTGTAGTCAAAGGTTAAAATGTACACATTATAGGGGCATGATTAAACTAATTTAAAGCATAATAACATGGAGAAATGTTGCAAAACATACATTTTACTGAATTAATTGTTAGTATCTAATCATTTTGTGAGAACCAAATTAAAAAGTAGCTACACATGCACACACCCACACAGAAGTGCAATATTGTCAAATAAACGATGTTCAGCTACACTAGAAATCACAACTGTGTTTTCTCCACAGAAAAGATTAAAAATCGCAATAATTTTTATTGTACATATGGAGGTAAAGATACTCAAAATATTACCCTAAAATACATTATTTTTTTGAGACGGAGTTTTGTTTTTATTGCCCAGGCTAGAGTGCAATGGCACAATCTTGGCTCACTGCAACCTCAGCCTCCCAGGGTCAAGTAATTCTCCTAGCTCAGCCTCCCAAGTAGCTGAGATTACAGGCATGCACCACCACACTCGGCTAATTTTTTGTATTTAGTAGAGACGGGGTTTCACCATGTAGGTCAGGCTGGTCTGCAACTCCTGACTTCTGGCGATCTACCCACTTCAGCCTCCCAAAGTGCTGGGATTACAGGCGTGCGACTGGCCAGCTTTTTGACATATTTCAAGATGGCTACTTGGAAGACTGGAGATAGCTTCTTCTACAAGAATAGCTGAAAAGCTGTGTTTGTTGGGGAGATTTGCATTTGTAGAGAAAATCTGCATTGATATATACAGGCTTTCCCTGAGATACTCCCTTGTCTGGGTTTTGGAATGATTAACTGAGCCTGGCACGTTTACATTTCTAAAAACCATTTCCTATCTATACTTCCCAAGAGGAGGGCTGCTCCCTGTGAGGTTTCATCCATGTAACAAGACCACCTCTGCTGCCAGGCTCCTCTTTCTTCCTTGTCGTCACCTGTCTTCCGCAAAGCCTGATTTACCAACCTACAGCTCTGTGTTTTCTGTAACCTCAAGACAGCATAGGCGTGTTGACTACCTTGCCTTTCCTGGAGTTTTTATATAAAGAATATATATTTGTATATCTCTTTATAATATACAAATATTTGTATAGATATATTTATATATATTATGTAAACTCCAAGTGCATACTTGTGCACATATCTGTAAACCTTTTTTTCCTGTTAATTTGTACATTATCAGTTTGTTTTATAGACTCAAATAATTAAAGCTTCAAGGGAAGAATTTAAACTTTCCTATAGAGAAAAGACAAATATACAGGTGACAAATAATATTTAGAGTGTAAGACGCTTTTTAAAGGTATATTTGCAATTTGTGTCACAACATTTAAATATACATTTGTTATTTTAACTATAAAATTTCAAATAATTTAAGCCAAATTCATAGTATATGCAGAAAATTTAGCAATATATCTATGTAGCACCTTACTGTGCATTACTGTAACCAGCCGTCTAATATAAAGAATTAATTAAGGTAGCAGCTACTTTTCAAATAGCGCATTTTTTTTCACAGACCTATTAAATAAGACAAATAACATTTAAACTTTATTTTTAAATTTGCAGGATAGCAGTTTTCAGCAGATGGTTTCTTTTAGCAAATTCCATCTTCACATTGTGCTATGCTTTTATGAGTTCCAGCTGTTAACGGATCATATTTTACTGCTGAAACCATCATGTGTGATATAATTGCTCATTATGTGCCTTAAAACACAAGCAATATAATTATTTTCAACTTGGAGCAAATTAAAATCTTATCAGCAATTTAAAATCTCTAGAGTCGTCTTCTTCTGGTTAATTATTTTAAACTTGTATTTTTCTCTTTATGTTTTTAGTGAGTTCTCTTATCAAGGAGAAGAACTCAAGGTGATTATTCTTTTTTTCTCTTCCATGCACCTCACAGGTGTGTTAATAATTTCATTTCTCAGAAAATGTTCTTTCATATCTATCTTACATGATGAGAGACCTTTTAACATCTTCCATTCGGATGTGATACCAGTAATGGAAAATATTCCAGCTTCATGAATATGGTGATACAAATAGTTATCCGTCTAACCTCTTTCAGTGCCAAATGTTTACTATACTCAGTGAGTTACTCAGTCGACTGGTAATTTCTTCTGAAATCACTAATGAGAGGATCAGAAGTCTGGCTGTTGTCTGTACCTCATATGACTCCCAGTGCAGACAATTGTTTCTATGGAGCACAGACAGTTGAAAGGATTGACTTCCTGCCTAGAATAGTTTCTGCTGTGCTTCTTATCCTTCTTGTGGAGATTTCAGATTATCTGAATTGCTTTTCTATCTTAAGAAAAAACGCAACAATTCTCCCACCTGAGAGGCATGTAAACTGTAGTAAGTTAGCAGAACCAATCCGTAAAGTTTTTACATTGTTTGTTGCAAAATGCAGCGCTGGTGTCTCCATCACTAACCTTTTCTATCCCTCATTGCTCTTTCTTTGACTGCAATAGGATACCTGTAGGCAAATCTGTATTCCCGAGACAGAGTGCCCTTTTGGTGAGCTATAAGCACACTCAATGGTAGGCTGAAATACTAGTTTTTATCTATGGTGAAGTGGAATCATATCAGTGATTTTCTTAAAAAGGAAATTTAACTCTTGCTATGGTTTGAATGCTTGCCCCTTCCAAACTCATGTTAAAATTTGATCCCCAATGTTGCAGGTGGGGCTCACTGGGAGGTGTTTGGTCATGGGGTTGGACCTTCATGAATGGATAATACCCTCCCTTAGAAATCTAAAGCTATCCTCTCTCCTCGGTGCCCTCAGGAATGAGTGTACCATTCTTTATTCACCTATAATTACCCCACCCATCCTTTTTGAGATATTGATTACATGTATGTTACACTGATGCATATTGTCTGACGTATCAGTGAGTTTCTGGTTTTCTTATTTTAGTTTACCATTTGTCCTTTAGTTTGTAATGCTTCTAATTTGTTCTATAAATTTTCTGATGTTAGGGTAAAATCCATTACTTATTCTATGTCATGGAATTTTTATTTCAAATATTTATTTTTCATCTATATATGTCACATTTTTCATTTTATAACTTCTATTTTTCTCCTATGTTTAATTTTCATTTAAGTACCTTGACATATATATGTATTTATCTATATGTATTTATAAAATATATTTACTTTAAGAACCTTGAAATTTCCTTCTTTTTTGTCATTTATAAATGACTTATTTTTATCCTGTTAATATATATCTTAATTATATATATCTTACGGCTTCTTTGCATGTCAGAGTTTTTTTTGGGTATTTTGATGTTATGCTATTGAATATCTAGATTTGATTGGCTACCTTTGAACAATGTTGTGGCAGGCAGTTCAGTAACTTCAGGATGAGTATTTGTCTGTTGTTGTTTTAAATCTTCTCTTTAAGCTTTGTTGAGTTAGTCTAGAGCCATCTGTAATTTGGAGCTAAATGAGCACTGTCACTAGGGCATGAACCTCCAGTGGTCTTTACTGAATATCCTGGAGGTACAGAGGGGATTCCCTTCTCTGATTAGAATTAGGAATGTAAAGGGAAAAGAGAAAAATAGAAAGCTATGCATAAACACGTGCATTAAAATGAATTTTATGTGGGCTTTTTCATGAAAATGTTCCTAAGGTATTTTATTTTTTTATTGTGGTAAAATACACATAACATAAAATGTACTCGGTTAACCATTTTAAGTGTACAGTTCAGTGGTACTAAATATAGTCATAACATTGTGCAGCCGTCCCTACCATCCATCTCCATAATTCGTTTCATCTTGTAAAACTGAAACTCTATACCCATTAAACAATACTTCCCCATTTCTTCCTCCCCCCAGCTTCTGGCAACAATCATTGTACCATCCCTATAATGCTAATCAAGCATAGTGGCTGTGTTTCTTGCTTCCTCTAGTCCGCAGGTAGCATACAAATGTAATAAACTACTTATTCATGTCACATCAATTTATTTTCTGCCTTATACCAAGCTTGTGGGATTCTCTTCAATACAACATTTTTATACTTACACCTATGCAATACCCATTAGCATCGCCTTCCTAAATCAGGGGAAATTGAGCCTCTGTAAGGTGGAGTAACTCCCTAAGATATAAAACTCAGCATTGAAGTCTGTATACTTCAATATCCTGCCCTCTTCTCATGTGTCTTTACTGCCTTTTATGTATGTGTTAGATGTTCAACAAATTCTCTTTCTTAAACTGAATTTAAGCCGTGGAGCAGTGTTTTGTTGAACAATAACTATGATATAGGACACTCTTCCTCCTTTTCATGTATGATCCTGTTCATGAAAAAGAGAAATTCTTTCATTGTGCTAGAAGCTTAAAATAATGAAAATGCCACTTTCTACATTAAACAGAAACTGAAGGGAATCAAGGTGAATTGCATGAGACATAGAAAACAAGTGGGAAAGAAATCTAGTATAATTTGCCCTTTGTGTACCTTTATTATTTAGCGTTTGAGTAAATGATTCCCCCAAATATCTTCCCATCTTAATTCATGTCTATAACGTAGACATTTATGTCTCACCTTGTCAAGAAGGGCCAACTCTAACATAAACATTTCCCAAAAATGCTTCCTGCTAAAACGTAAGCTCAGTCTGGCTAGAAATGCAGCTCACTTCCTAAAGATTAATTGGTAGCTAATTTTGCATGCTGTTCTCTGAACTTGAGTGAAACCTGTCCATCAGGCATACAGGGAATGACAGGAAAGGTGACAACAGAAGATGAATGTTATGTCACTAACCTTCAAAGATGACCTGCCTTTTCTTTCAAATTCTTGATATCTTAAGACTTCATTAATTCATGTCTCTTTTCCCTTGGTTCAACATTTTGCTATACCAAAACTCATGTGAAACAATGACCTAATGTAATAAAAATGGCATTTTTCTTTCATGTAGTTGCAAGCTAACTGGCATTTTTACAATCCACATATTTCCTTTGTCAATTTTTCATTCTGTATTGGAAGTAATTGATAGGTATTTCTGAAGGGATGAAGGTGTTTCTGTGTTCATTGTGATCCAAACTACTTTTAGACCTAGGGGGCGTTTGTAAAACAATTTGTGCCCGCTGACCAAGGATCACTGTGGCAGAAAGCAGCAAACTTGCATAAGATGTCACTGCTTCATAGGTTGGCTTTGAAAACTACGGGCTTACTCTATACTCTTATGTATAAAAGACATTGATAGATGTAGTATAAGATTACAATCATATTTTCCTTTTGGCAGTCACATTATAAAGCATGATGTATTGCAATTAATCTCAATTAGCTGATCACAATTAAAATTAATAATGTTTATTATTGCTGATAAAAATCATGTCTCTCCTGTTCTCAAATGTGCAAGTAATTCTTTTAATTTTAATACAAATTTGCATATTATTATTAATTGATTTGATCTCATTGGATTTGGTTCATGGATCCAATTTATTAAAATATTGATAATGGGATAATGATTTGTCTCCCCATTTCATGTACACTAAAAACAACATTTCTTTTTTTTTGTTTTGTTTTTTTTTTTTTTGAAACGGAGTCTTGCTCTGTCGCCCAGGCTGGAGTGCAGTGGCGCGATCTCGGCTCACTGCAAGCTCCGCCTCCCGGGTTCACGCCATTCTCCTGCCTCAGCCTCCCGAGTAGCTGGGACTACAGGCGCCCGCTACCACGCCCGGCTAATTTTTTGTATTTTTAGTAGAGACGGGGTTTCACCTTGTTAGCCAGGATGGTCTCGATCTCCTGACCTCGTGATCCACCCGCCTCGGCCTCCCAAAGTGCTGGGATTACAGGCGTGAGCCACCGCGCCCGGCCAAAACAACATTTCTTACAATGATCTGCAAGCCCATCATCATCTGCCACATGTTAACTGCCAAAATTCTTTTATATCTTCACCCTTGATCTTACCAGTGGTCCTGGCCACCTCACTGTCCTCTGGACATGCCAACATGCTGCTGCCTTATGGTCAAGACTCTAGTTAATTTCTTGGCTTGGAAAGATAGCCCTCCATATATCCATTGATCAGCTCATTCAACTTCCTCAAGTCTTTACTGAAACTTCACATTCTCGATGAGGCCTATTCAGTATTTCAAACTGCCTCCCAGCTGCAGCATTCCAAAACCCCTTACTCTTCTGTGTATTTTTGAAAGGATTTATTGAGATATAATTTACATAGTGTAGAGTGCACTCATTAATGTCTACAAGTCAGTGGCTTTTAGTATATGCACAGATAAGTGGAGCCATCATCACAATGAATTTTAGAGCATTTTCATCACTTCAAAAAGAAACCCCACCTTCCCTAGCTGTTAACCTCCTATGCACCCATCCCCTACTCAATTCTAAGCAACCACAAATCTGTTTTCTGTCTCTATAGATTTTCCTAGTCTGTTTTCATCTAAATAGAATCATACAATAGGTGGCCTTTTGTGCCTGGCTTCTTTCAGTTGGCATAATGCTATCAAGGTTCATGTACGTATTGGTACTTTCTTTCTTTTTATAACTGTATAACATTCAATTTCTTGGATATAACATTTTGTTTATCCAATAATATTTTTATTGACATTTGAGTTGTGTTCAGCCTTCGGCTATTTTAAATACTGCTGCTAAAAATACTTGTGTACAATTTGTGTTTGAACACCTCTTTCCAATAATCTGGGTGTATACCTAGGAATAAATTTCTGGGTCATATGACAATTCTATGTTTCATATATTTAGAAGCCATCAAATTATTTTCCAAGGTGGCCAGTTCTACCCATAGAGTATCTAACTGTGGTTTTGATTTGTAGTTGCCTGATGAGTGATGCTATTGAGTATATTTTTATGGGATTATTGACCGTTCGTGTATCTTCTTGGGAAACACATCTATTCCTATCATTTATCAGTTTTGAGTTGGGATATTTGTGACGGAGTTAAAACAATTTTTCTATATTCAAGATACATATATATATACAGACATATAGATACGTGTTTTTCAAATATCTTCTCACAATTTTTGAGCTGCCTTTTGACTTGCTTGTTTGTCCTTTGAAACACCAATGTCTTTAATTTTTAAGAAATTTTAAATATCTAATTTTTATTTTGTTGCTCATGTTTTTGGGGTTACAGCTATTTCTTTGCTAGATCCAAAATCATGAAGACTTTCCCATATGCTTTATTCTACCTCTTGCATGTGTGTCTTTAATTCATTTGAGTTAATATTTTTGTATGCTTTGGGGTAAGGGTTCGAATTTATTATTTTGCAAGTGGTGATCCATGTGTACGTTGTTGACCCAGTTTGTTCAAAGACTGTCTCTTCCTCATTGAATTGCACATGGTACCACTGTAAGAATCCATTGACTGTAGACACATAGTTTTATATATGGACTCTCAATTCTCTTCCATCAATCTATATATTTTTCCTTCATCAGTATTGTGTTGTCTTGATTACTGATACTTTGCAGTAAGGTTTGGAGCATGGGGGTGTGAATTATCCTAACATGTTTTCTTTTCTCAAGATTATTTTGGCTATTTTGAGTCCCTTACAATTCCATGTGTATTTTAGAATCAGCTTGTCAGTTTCTAGACAGAAGTCTGTTGGGATACTTGCAGGGATTTCATCAAATCTGTAGTTCAAATTGTAAAGTACTACAATATTAAATAGTCCAATTCATGGGTGTAAGGTGTTTGCTAATTATTTAAATATTCTTTAAACAATAATTTTTAATTTTCAGAGTAAAATCTTGTATCACATTTTCCAAATTAATTATTATTTCTTTTTTTGATGCTATTTTAAATTGAAGTGTTTTCTTAAATTCATTTTGGGGTTTTCATTGCAGATGTGTGCAATTGATTTTTGTACATTTACTTTGTTTGCTGTAATATTGCTGAAATAATTTACGAGTTCTATCGTTCGGTGGATTCCTTAAAATTTTCTATATACAAGAATGTTATTTTCAAATAAAGTTTTATTTCTTCCTGTTCAGTATGGGTGACTCTTATTTTTTTAGTTGCCGATTTGCCCTGCATAAAATCTTTAGTACAGTGTTGACTAGAAGAGGTCAAAGTATATATCCTATCAAAGTATATATCTCTGACCATAGCGGGAAAGCATCCTTTACCATTAAGTTGCATGCTTGCTGTTGGCTTTTCACAGGTGCCATGTATCAGGTGTAGAAAGTTCTCTATTCCTGGTTCATTGAGTTTTTATTTTTATTTTTAGTCATTAAAGCATTTGGATTCTGTTAAATGTCTTTTCCGAATCTATCGACATGATCATGCAATTCTCGTTTCTTATTCTATGGATAAGGTGTATTACCTTAATGGATTTTGGGCTGTTAAACCAACCTGGGATTACTTGTATAAATTTCACTTTGTCATAGTGTATAATTCTTTTATATGTTGCTAGATCTGATTTGTTAGTATTTTTAAAGGAAGTTTGCATTTATACTTATAGTAGTTTTATTTTTCTATGCTATTTGGACTAATTTTTGTATCAAGGTAACACTGGCCCCACAGAATAAATTGGGAAGTGAATATTTCTCTTTTTTAAAAAAGCTAGTCAAGAAGTAATATCAATTATTCAACACTAACAAATATTATTATTATAAATTATTAATTTCTCTAATTTTAATTTTCTTCCTTCTGCTTGCTTTAGGTTTAGTTTGCTAATCGTTCCAGTGCCTTAATGTGGAACGTCATCTTATCTCATCCTTTCATTTGTCTTTTCATTTTGTAAATAGTGTCTTGTTAGCATCAGGTGAGCTCCCCAGGTTGGTAGTACTCCATGTTTGTTGCTGTACAACAGTGACAGGTAATATGTCCTGAAGACAATGGAAACTTAACATTCAAAATCTCCTAGATTCCACC
This sequence comes from Homo sapiens, assembly GCF_000001405.40. Lineage (NCBI taxonomy): Eukaryota > Metazoa > Chordata > Mammalia > Primates > Hominidae > Homo > Homo sapiens. Next base: position 32,793,342 of record NC_000016.10, read on the forward strand.
TTATATGATATGTCTCTTCTATTGGTCCTAATTTCTACCCTTTCTCTATTATAAACCATGAGTACAGTGGCATTCAATGAGTTCTGTGAGTCTTTCTAGTAAACTCTTGAAACTGAGGGTGTTCAGGGGAAACCCCTGAACTGGCAGTTGGTGTCAGAAGTGAGAATCTTCTTACATGGCCTCTTCCTTTGAACTGTGCAGCTGGACGCAAACTCTTCACAATTTGGGCCAGAAGTCTCGTGTTGACTTTGCAGCCTAAAGTATCTTGTAGTTTGTCTAACCCTCAATAAATTTGCTTTCATCAAATATTGTATTTGTTACCCCAAAATTACCATCACGTTTTTTTTTCTCCAAATAACTAACATTGGAGAAATAGCCAGCTGAGTTTGTAACTCAACAGAAACAAGTGATCCATATACCATATAAGTGGCCATCTCATTTTGCCTTCTTCCACCAAATCTTAGCAACCTCAACCATTGCCATGAGCCACTGTAGGCCTACCAGCTACAAACAAACAAGTATCTTGTAAAAACACTTCATACTCCCATTTGATAAATTTCCCAGCAAAGAGATGTCTACTTTAACTCTATGCAAGTGGCTCATATTCACGAAGTCTGTAGATATTATTCATGTAGTGTGAGAAAATCATCCCAGCGATGCCAGCACATTCTCCTTCCCATGATCTGCTTAGTTTGCAAACATATTCAGGCCATGGGTGAGAGATTTGTATTTCACAGTACAACAATTTTATGGAGGGCATTGAAACTTACATTGAGCATTTTAGTACAGTCACACATCACTGAATGATAGGGATACGTTTTAACAGATGTATTCATAGGCAATTTCATCATTTTGCAAACATCACAGAGAATATTACAAACACCTAGATTGTACAGCCTACCACGTTTAGGTTATATGGTATAGCCTCTTTCTCCTAGGCTACAAATCTGTGTACTACATTACTCTACTGAATACTGCAGGCAATAAGAGCACAGTGGTAAGAGGTTATGTATCTAAACATACTTAAACGTAGAAAAGTATGTAAAAATATATATTATAATCTCATGGGACCACTTTTGAATATGTAATCCATCTTTGACTAAAATGTTATTATGCATGACATGACTCTGTGACAAAAATAAAATAACACATTGTAAAAAATGTACACAGGTATCAAACATATTAATATTGTAAAAATAAAAATATTTATTCAGTGTAAGAATTTGTAATGATCACAAAATGTTCACAGCTTATATTTTAGTACAGTTTCAAATACCTAGTGCAATTGCTATTTATTTCTGTGTGTATTTTAAACATGTATATAATAAATATTTTTCAGGTTCAACAATATATATCAATCCAACTGGCTCTTATAAATATTAGTTAACATCAATTGGTAAATTCATATATATATATACACACGTGAATCAGTCTGTATGCATGTATGTGTGTGTAAATGTAACTGGATGCATCCTAATATTTACCCTTACCTACAAGATTTCCAAGATTCATTTATTATCGTTAAATGGTGTGCATTTAAAGATTTACCAAATAAAACCGCAATCATGGAATATATCAAGATGTTATTAAATTCATCTTGTGCACATAATTGTTTCTTTAAATTTATGTTTCTTGCAAAACTTGCGGTAATGCTCATGCACAAAATAATTTTCTAAGTAAAAAATAAAAACATTTTCTCAGTCATTAATTCTTAAAAATTATTTCTCCCCAATAACTGATGTGAATTAATTCTTAATTCTTAATTATAGAATAATGTTGCCCTTCAGAGTTCTGAATCTTTTGCACGTTGTATACATTTCACTCACTAGAACATCTTCTGGAATATTGGCATTAATTAATGTCACTCAGCAATTAATGATTTCAAAGAAATTAAATACCATTCATATTCTGAATCACAAGGGTACTTTGGCAGCTTATTTAATCAAGCTCTTTGTATCATCATCTACAGTTTAATTACTTAACAAACATTTCTCTGTGTGAGAAAGATTGAGCAGGTTATTGTGCTTTTCGTTGTATACATTTCATTAACTAGAACATCTTCTGGAAAATTGGCATTAATTAATGTCACTCAGCAATTAATGATTTCAAAGAAATTAAATACCATTCATATTCTGAATCACAAGGGTACTTTGTTATCTAATTTAATCAAGGTCTTTGTATCATCATCTACACTTTAATTACTTAACAAACATTTCTCTGTGTGAGAAAGATTGAGCAGGTTATTGTGCTTTTTTATGATGCAACTTTTGCTTAATCTAGAGATAGGCAATGCTCCCTATAAGGGACAAAGAGAAAAATGAAAAAGCAATAGAGATGTGACAGGCATGGAAAAAGACAATACATTTATAAAACAAATAGAGCCACAGATGATGATAATGGGGATCAAATCTTGAGATACTGACTCAGTTTATAACCGCACTGTAAAATAGAGCAAATCATTTGTTAATTATTTTACAAATGGAATCTAATTTAATTAAGATGAATACAGTGTTTTAAACAAGGCAGGTCATCTTAAAATAAAATAGTGGAAAAAGTGATAAAACCAATGTAAAAATCATAAACATTTTATAAAGAATTTTTGTCATGTAATTTAATATTTTTCTTTATTTAAAATCACCCAAATCAAAATAATTTTATCTTAATTAACAAATAATCATCAGAAGTTAACTAATTTTTACTTTATAATACTAGGTTTAAAAATTCTTCACTATATTTTTAATCATACATGCTTATACATAAAATAGACATAGGGTATATGTTTACATGTTCACAATATTATATTGTAATTGTTCCTATGGATGTGGTTTTTCAATAGAATTAAGTACTTTTAAAAAGTTTCAATTTCAATGATATATATGTTTGATTTTTCTTTGACAAAGCATACATATATTGATAGGTAATAATAAGAAAATCTTCTAAAGACATTACAGGAACATGAATAAGTAATTAAATCCTCAATAATTTGTAATGTTTTATGTAAGCAGAACACATTTAACTGAAAATTGCTTTTATATAATACTCGAACGAGACTAAAAACATATTAACTAGCGGAGTAAGTCTTCAAATTGATAATCTGAACCATAGAAGAGGAGAAACGTCAAGCACTCAAATATTTGAAATGCTACAAAATATTTATATAAACTTATTTAACAATTTCTGTTTGCAGAATGCTATACAGTAATCAATATAAATGACATCTCAGTCTTTCTATAGTTTTGACCACATTTACCTCCTAATTTTAATTATTAATATGTTGGAGCAGCGCATACAACTAGATTCCGATCTTCCTTTTTAATGAGTAAAAATATGTCCTTTGAGACAGCATTAAAGAAAGAGCACCTTGTATAAATTCAATGCCAAGAGACAAGATATTCTTGATTCTGAAGTCTTGTTCTTTTATACAGCAATGTAATTAATAAGAAGAAGAAAAGCAGGACATAGAGATGGAGTCTATTTTCATCAAAAATTGTCTATAGATTTTGATGATAAAATTTAAAACTCTACTATATTTAGTTACTCACAAAAAACTAGGTTGTGGGAACATATTTGGTCAATAAAACACCCCTACCAAATGCTGACAAGAAAAAAAGTTAGGTACCACCTTTCTTCTCTGCAGATGGCCTGAGATGGGTTAATTTGAAAGAATGCTTCCAAACATGAGGTGAGCCCTGAGAACAGCATAATCCACTGCTGTCTCCCACATTCAGTTTCTCAGTTTGTGCTCTTTTCATTTTGGGGGGAGGGAAGCCAGTCCTTTAAAGCGATCTTCAGCATGATGGCAGAGCCAAGGAGTGTGGACAGGTGGCACGATGTCTGACTTTGTTCCAGCAGCCACTTGGGCTTTCTCTGGGTCGTCTCTGCCCTAGGGATAGCACTACTATTGAAAACATGTCTTTGTGACATCTCTATGCCAGGAACTCCCAACATATTTTCCTTGAAACTGATGAAATGAATACAAATAAACCAAGAGGTGTGCTGTTTGTTTCTGTTTCCTCCTTTCTGCAGCCCTTCTTGATCATCTAATATTTTTAAATACATTGTCGATCACCAAAAGGAGCATAAGGGCTTTATTCGTTTGTAGCAGATGTATTAATAGCCCAGCCCCTATTCCTTACCTGTAGCTGCTGGGAAGAAAACCATTCTTAACACTCTACAAGGTCTCATCTCCAGAATTTGCACCAGTTTCTAGCTGAGGACTTTCTCTAGCAGCACGGGAACTTGTTACTGGGCATGAAGTGGAAAGAAAAGGTGAGGGTAACTAAGAAGAATCTCCCTGGATTCAGTGATGTAATTCTGAGGCATGCTCCACATAGCTTCCCATAAAATTAAACCCAGATATCTAACACAGGAACTTACCTCTTAACACGTGTGGTATTGGCTTTTCTATCTTTCCTGTTTTATTTTGTTCTCTTTTCCTTGTCTCACTTTCACTGTGTCCTCACTCCTGCTTTAAGAATACCCAAACAAATATGTTCATTTATTTTTTTAGACTCTCAGAACACAGTTGATAGTTGAACTTGTAATCTATGATAATCAGCTTGGATGCTATATTGACAGGAAGATGGTGAACTCACAATGTCTAATTAAGATACAATTTAAAAAATATATTGAATCATGTCCAAAGACTTAAAAAGCCTAAGCGGCAGCGTCACAACTTCTTTTTAGTTTACATGGTTTCTTAAACGCCTACAATTATTTAAAAGGAAGCCTTGAGTCTAGGAAAAATTGAGACATATGGAATAAATTACTAACCCATTTCTCCTTGAAATCCATTAGATGTTTGATGATTCTTCACATATATTTCTGAACTGAAAAGCTAGTTGGGAATTATTTTTATAAGCATATCCTTATGTAGTATTTTGTTTCTAAGAGTGAATGGAAGGTTTAAAGATTAAATTATTCTATCCAGAGAATAAAAAGCAATTATTTCACAAGGAGAACATGTGTATGTTGACACATTTTAAAATCTAGATTTTAAAATAGGTCCCATATAATTTTGAGTCAATTAGAATATGTTTGTATCAGTCTGTCTACAGTTTTACACCTGTCAAAAGGTACTTGAACTAAAAGAAGTACCTTGAACAATTTTGAAATTTATTATTCCTCTGAAACTGATTAAAAGAATTACGGTAGAGTGAAATTTGGATTGGCATAATTTAGGAGAGAAATTATTCCTTGGAGATCAACCTCTGCCAAGATAGTTTATAATGACATTGAGACTTTTTGATTTACACAATTTGTTATATAAAAAATACTAAGACGATGACAGATAAAACACAGACTTTAATTAAAATTGTACTAAAATTAAAAGTCTAAATAAATTACAAGGGTATGTGGTACATCTAAACGTATGTTTATATATTTTATTTGTGCATTTTATTCCTAGGGTTGCTTTTGCTTTAGTTTGTAAAACGTTCTTATTTTTATGACAATGTAGTATATACTAAATAAAGAAAAATCAGGAAATAGAAAATGAAGAAGAAAACATTAGCTATTGTCAACCAAATAAAAATTGTGCAATCACTAAGTACATGAACGATGTATTATTTGTACAGCATGTACAATGTTTATGCTTCACAGGGTGAGGTAGAGACTGCAAAACATTGAACCTGGGACAAATAAGAAAGTAAGGAAATTTTCACAATATATTAATATTACAGAAAATGTTGAACTTAACAGTTAAGATACAAGTAGTGAAAAATGATAGTATTTAAGGAGATCTAGAAAATTTAATCTATATCAGTAATGTGTGAGAAGTATTAGAATAGTGCTTGTATTTCTGGATTGGCATCGATTTCTATTGAGACTGGAAACATAATAGAAGTGAGCAAAAAAGAATTTAAATCGTGGATACTTAAGTTTTATACCTAGGAGTTCGAGAAATACATTTTGTTCCTATCAAAGCAGTTGGCACAAGAGTGTACAAAATTCCCTAATTGTGTCTATGTGGTGAAGACATAGACAAACAGAGAATAGCAAAAAATAATAGCAAAAAAGCACAAATAAATTTTACCTGTATTTTTACATAAAAGCCAATTAGAGTAGGAAAACATGAAATTTGTGTTTTATCAAAATTTTTCTCTTATAGTATAGTTGATTATATTACTGGAAAAAAATTGAAGCATTGGTATGTTCACAAAAAAAAAAGAGTAAAATATAAGGTCAAAACTATGGGAATGCAGGGAGCAGACAAAATACACCTAAACACTGAAACTGATTTTGCCCTACGGACAGGTAGCAAAATGAATGTGTACAGATTCCTACTGTCATACATCACATAGGACAGTAAAGAAATACATAGTGTTTCCCAAGATAGGGCATCACACAGGAGCTCTTCCCTAAAGCTAGCACCAAAATTTATATCCTCAGTCTAAAGAAGAATCAGAGGTAAATTAGTCTCATTTCACATTCCCTGGAAATGGCAAATAAAAATGACTTGAGATTGGACAGATTTAAAGAAAATCATTAATGATTTACAGCAATTAATTTAAAAATTGTTTAAATGTGCTGTCCAAACATACGTCCAAACACCTTTAGGCCAAGAATTAATATAATGTGGTCCCAGAATGGTGGTGCCTTTAGTAGACTCACAAAAAATTCAAATTCTCTTTGGCAAATTTTCTTCTTACTAATATGCAAAAGTGCACAATAATAATTTTCAGAGAAAAATAAATCTTTGTCATTCAAAGACATCTAAGTACGCAAGGAAATGATATTCCACCATTTGAAAGGAAAGCAGAAAAAGAGTACAAACAGATCCACAAAGGTTCATTGGTAGAAATATCACTGTTAGATTATAAAGCACATTTGTTTCAAAAATTTTAAAAAAATGAATATATATTTAGGAGACTAAAAAATTGATGTAGTAAATTTGAAAAGTAGTTTGTATATAGCATTTTAAATTAAAAACTCAAAAATGAACTCATCAGATTAGACATGGCCATGGTGAGAGTTCATAAATATTTCAGAATGCATTACAGAAAATTTAAATAAAGGCACAATGTGGACAGAATCATGAAGAGACATGGAACATACAGTGAGAAAGTGTAGCATGTGTTTAGTGAGTGTTCTCATAGAAGAAGGGAACTGGGAAGGGACAATATGTGATGGTATTTTGGCTGAAAGTTCTCTAGACTTTTGTAAGACACTAATCCACATATTCAAAACTTCTATGCATGCTAAGCAAGCTACAATGGAGATAAACCTACATCTACATATCTCCTAGAGAAATAGTAAACAATCAGGAAGGGAAAAATATTTCAATTAGCACTAGAAAAATCAAATTACCTTTAATCATATTGAAATCTGAAAGCATGAAAGGTAAAATAAACAATATTATTTGTTAAGAATAATAATGCCATTCGGAAATTCTCAACCAAGAAAAATATTCATCAACCTATGGCTAAATAACATATTTAGAGACAAAAAACAAAACACCACCAGCAGAATTCCACTAAAGAAACTCAAAGGAAACTCTGAAAACATGCTTCAGAAAGATTGAAGTTCTGAAATCAAAGAATGAACACAGAGGAAAATATATTGTAAATATACAGATAGATCAAAATAGAAAATTAGGTGTTGAAACAAAAGGATATTTAAAATTAGATAAACACTGCAATATATATGTTAGGAAGGAAATTATTAGGGCTGAAGTATTCAAAGACCCCTTAATTGTCTGACAAGAGCAGAAAGGTATGACTTTGCAACTTTTTTTTTTTTTTTTTTTTTTTTTTGAGAAGGAGTCTCATTCACTCTTTCTCCCAGGCTGGAGTGCGGTGGCGTCATCTCCGCTCACTGCAACCTCTGCCTCCCAGGTTCAAGCAATTCTCCTGCCTCAGCCTCCTGAGTAGCGGGGATTACAGCCGCGTGCCACCATGCCTGGCTAATTTTTGTATTTTTAGTAGAGACGGGGTTTCACCATGTTGGTCAGGCTAGTCTCCAACTCCTGACCTCGTGATCCACACGCCTCGGCCTCCCGAAGTGTTGAGATTACAGGCGTGAGCCACTGCGTGCGACCGACTTTGGAACTTTAATAAATTGACTGGACATTATGCATTTCTCTGTTGTGTCTATGAAAACAATAAAAATAAAAGTCATAATTTTAAAACAAGAAGACAGAAAGTGATAGGAGAAAATGAGACATTATATATATATATATATATATACACACAACAAATTAATAATACAAAATTAAGTATAAATGATCAAAGATTAACTTAAACCTAAGTAGACAATGTTTTTGTTAAAATACAAAGATTGGCAAAATTTAAAACATCCGTCTCTATCATAGTTACAAGAGACACAACTAATATATAAATTTACAGAAACTTTGAAGTTCAAACAATACAGATACTGTGTATATATGATATACATACAAACATACTACATGAATATAATTTTTTAAAAAGTTGCTATGTAGACAAAATAGAATGTAAGTTAGAAACATTTATTAAAAGAAGTTAGTCTAACCAGTGTGATAAAAGTTTTAAGTTATTAAGAAGATGTGATGACTTAAATGTGCATTAGCCTGATACATACATATATATAGACACACAAACCACACACTCTCTCTCACACACACAGACACACACGTATGTAGAGAGAGAGTCAAATTATATAAAGCAAAAATATCAGAAAGTAAGTAGAAACGGATAAGCCCCCAAATATTATAGACATTTCAAACACACGTCTTTCAGTAATAGATAAAAGAAAAAATTAAAAGAGTAAGTTTTAAAAGAAGCTAGTGGATTTTAAAAAGGGCAAATATTATATAAGGAACATGAATATTATAATTCATGTTATTTTCATGTTCATACAGAATACTTACAAAAATTAACATTTTCTAGACCATACGAATACCACAAATTCAAACAATTTTCACGGAAATAACATGACACAGAATATATTTCCTAAACAAACAGCAATGAAGGCAGATATAAATACAAAAATGAAAGTTAGAAACATAAGTGTAATAATATTGGTTGGAAGCTATTTTAATGAATATTGAAATATTTTAAAGGTGAATAGTCAATACAAATAAACCAAACACTTTTGTAAGGCCACTAAGATGCATGTGTAATGTGTAATGCCTCCTTTTATAAGGAGTAAATCTGTAACATCACCTGGGCTATTTGACAACTGCAAAGTGAATGTGAGAAGGAGAGAAACAGTGAGAGAGAGAGAGATAAAACCAGTAAAATAAACATAAAGAATGAAGGAGATAGCCAGGCGCCATTGTTCACGCCTGTAATCCCAGCACTTTGGGAGGCCGAGGCAGGTGGATCACCTGAGGTCAGGAGTTCGAGACCAGCCTGGTCTAACATGGTGAAACCCACTCTCTACTAAATATACAAAAATTAGCCTGGCATGGTGGCATGCATCTGCAATCCCAGCTACTCGGGAGGCTGAGGTGGGAGAATTGCTTGAACGTGGGGGGTGGAAGTTGCAGTGAGTAGAGATCACGCGACTGCACTCCAGCTTGGGTGACAGAGCAAGACTCCGTGTCAAAAAAAAAAAAAAAAAAGAAAAAACCAAAAACAAAAAAAACGAGGAAATAGTACACGAAAAAGCAGAATTAAAGCAACTGGGTATATATTTAAAAATGCAAAAGCTCACTTTTTCAGAAAAATATTAAAGTATTAAATCTAACAAATGTCTAGGTAGACTGATGGAGAAAAATACAGAAAATGCACAAAAAAACAATTACCTGGAATGCGAACGTTACAAAACGTCAGCAGTTGTAGATTTTAAATAAGCAATGATTTTTGATTTCAACCATGTGGGGTATATTGAAAAGAATCTCTCAGAAAAAAAAGAAAAAGAAAACTGTTATAAAGCTATGTACAAAATGTTAAGCACTATTAAAGTCTTCCAAATCTACCAGTTACGGAGTTATTGGTCTTGGACTAACACTCCTTAAAAGGAAAAAACCAAACAAAACAAGACAAAACCTAAAAACCTGGATAAAATGGCCTACGGTGGGCACTGGCAATGCATCCAAGCAGGTAGGACCTGGGTGTTACATTCTCTTTGTCAGAACACAAAGCATTCATACACTCTTCTCACCCTCACTTTCACCTTTTAATCTTATCTACTATTAAATGTATTCAACATTACTATCAATCCTTTGGTCAAAATTTCTTTACTCACATTTTGCTTGATGCACTTGGATAGACTGTTCAAGAAAGTGTGAGTAGTGAATTCCTCAAACTCTTGCATATTCAAAATCACATTTTTGAACCTTGATGCTTGAAGTGTAGCTTGGGTAACAGATGGGCTTTAAGCCAATTTTGGCATGCAAGGGGTTGAGTTTATTAGGCATCAGCACTGCTGAAAATCGTGGGGATGCAGGCTTAATTTCAACACTATTCTAAATACTTGAAAGATATTATATAAGTCTTTAATAAACTCCTGTGTCTACAAATGGTTCACATTAACTCAATATCCATGATTAAACATCTACAAAATCAAGGCACTGTTATTTAGTGGAGACTTGCTGGCTATTCTATGAGAGGAGGTATTGTTATTGTAATCTCGTCATCTCATAAAATTGTATCATATTACTCATAACCAGCCCTTCATATCCTATTCCTATTTTGGTATTTTAAAATAAGATATCTTTGAAACTCTTGAATTCAAAGAGGGAATCTGAATAATTTTTAAAATGTCAATGAAATGCCCTTTCTTCATGCTTCAACAACTAAAAATTGACTAAAGTGCTTCTCTTCAATCTTTCTGGAACATTTTTTATCTAAATTCTAAGAACAATCACTATAGGTTTTAACCACAAATGTGAAAATATTCTAAATGTTAGGGTGGAACAATTTTTTAAATATTTTATAGTAATTTTTTTCATCATAGTGACAGTGTGCTAAATTTTTTTAAGCCAACTATTACTGTAGACATTTAAGTCAGGATTCTAAGAAGCTGTGCTAAAGTCCAAAATTTAGTTTCATGTACACTGATATTATATATATATTTGCTTAAAAAATTAATACATGTGAGCCGTGTTTCAAATAGTTGAGAGATTATTATATCAAATATTCTTGATTATATAAAATGCCAATTACTTATAGGCAGACATGCTTTAAATAATTACTAAGGCAGTTGTGGTTGATTCTACTCTTGCTACTGGCATTTATAAGGACATACTATTATGGTCTGAAGAATATTTAGGCAAATTTATCCCTCATATGATCAGAAGAACAATGCAAGATAGTTTATATCTGAAAGGAAAAATATCTTTATATGGTTCTGAAAGCGTAAATCATTAACAACTTGGATAATAATTTGCATAAAAATACACAAACATGCCCTCTTCCTAGCAGTAAGTACACAGTGACAACAGAATCAAAGCATGTGGCTATGTGCATGTTTATATTTCAAGACGCAGAGCACTCTATTCCTCCTCTCTGCCCTTTCTAGATGGCACAATCCCTCATGAATCTAAGTGCAGTCATAGGGTGGATTAGGGTGACCTGCCATTTGTATGCAACTGATCTCTAGTTTGGAAGTAATTAATGTCAAAATATATTTTTAAAAGATAATTTCAAATTTCAGGGCAAACTAGCATGGTTTCACCCCTTTTCTTTGGAACATTTTTTCTAAGGTTGGAAAAGTAAGGTAGGCTTTAGTACGATTTTAAATAATAAGTTTTCAAAATGAGACGCAAAATGGTGGCGCCAACACATTTCAAATCTGCTACATTTTGAAGACACTTATTGGAGAAAAGACCTTCTCATTTTTCTCTTACAGGAAAGGAAATAACATGTACAGTTGACCCTTAAGCAACACGGAGGTTGGGGTGCTGGCCCCCTGCACAGTAGAAAATCCACTATAACTTTGACTCCCCCAAAACTTAACTACTAATAGCCTACTGTAAGCCTTACAAATAACACAGTCAATTAACACATATTTAATATGTTATATGTCTTATATACTGTATTCTTAACAAACATGCCAGACAAAAGAAAAAAGAAAATCATAAGGAAAATAGATTTACTAGTTATTAAATGGAAGTAGATGATCAAACAGGTCTTCATCCTCATCCTTTTCATGGGCAGGGTGTGGATAAGGATGTAGAATTGTTGGTTTTGCTAAGTGGACGTGCACAGTTCAAACCCCTGTGGTGCAAAGGCCAACTGTATAGCCATTGAATAGCAATTTATTTTTAGAAATTAACCTCACTAAAATACTCTTAGAAGGATGCCAAGAAAAAAAGTGAATAAGTATTTTTGGTTCATCTATTACATCATTTCATTTCATTATTTCATTTCTTTTCATCATTTCATTTCATTTCCTCATTTCATCCTTTCATTTCATCATTTCATCATTTCATTTCATCCTTTCGTTTCATCATTTCATCTCATCATTTCATCTCATTTTATCATTTCATTTCATTCTTTCATTTCATTTCATCATTTCATCTCAACATTTCTCATCATTTCATCATTTCATCTCATCATTTCATTTCATCTCATCATTTCATCTTTTCATCTCATTTCATCATTTCATTTCATCTTTTCATCTCATTTCATCAATTCATCATTTCATCTCATCATTTCATCTCATTTCATTTCACCTCATTTCATTGTTTCATTTCATTTCATCATTGCATTTCATCACTTCATCTCAACATTTCATTTCGTCATTTCACTTTATCTCATTTCATCATTTCATCTCATGATTTCATTTCATTTCATCTCATCATTTCATCTTTTCATCTCATCATTTCATCATTTCATCTCATTTCATTTCATCATTTCATTTCATTTATTTCATCATTGCATCATTTGATTTCATGTCATTTCATCATTTCATATCATTTCATCATTTCATCTTTTCATTCCATCATTTCATCATTTCACTTCATCATTTCATTTCCTCATTTCATCATTTCATTTCATCCTTTCATCATTTCATCTCATCATTTCATCCTTTCATTTCATTATTTCATTTCATAATTTCTTCTCATTGTTGCATTTCGTCATTCCATCATTTCATCATTTCACTTCATCTCATCATTTCATCATCTCACGATTTCATTTCATCTCATCATTTCATCTCATTTCATCTTTTCATCTCGTCATTTCATTTCATCATTTCATTTCATTTCATCTTTTCATCTCATTTCATTTGATCATTTCATCAATTCATCATTTCATCATTTCATTTCATTATTTCATCATTTAATCATTTCACTTCATTTCATCACGTCATTTCATTTCATCATTTCATATCATTTCTTCATTTCACCATTTGATCTTTTCATTTCATTTCATCATTTCATCATTTCATTTCATCATTTCACTTCATCATTTCATCATTTCATTTCATTTCCTCATTTCATTTCACCATTTCATTTCATCATTCCATTTCATCATTTCATTTCACTTCATCTCATCACTTCATCATTTCATCTCATGATTTCATTTCATCGCATCATTTCATCATTTCATTTCATTATTTCATTTCATTTCATCATTTCATCTCAACATTTCATTTCATTTCATCATTTCACTTCATTTCATCATTTCATCATTTCATCTCATGATTTCATTTCATCTCATTTCATCTTTCCATCTCATCATTTCATTTCATCATTTCATTTCATCTTTTCATCTCATTTCATTTCATCAATTCATCATTTCATCTCATTATTTCATCTCATTTCATTTCACTTCATTTCATTGTTTCATTTCATTTCATCACTTCATCTCAATATTTCATTTCGTCATTTCACTTCATCTCATTTCATCATTTCATCTCATGATTTCATTTCATCTCATTTCATTTCATCATTTCATTTATTTCATCATTTCATCATTTGACTTCATGTCATCATTTCATCATTTCATATTTCAACATTTCATCTTTTCATTCCATCATTTCATCATTTCATTTCCTCATTTCATCATTTCATTTCATCCTTTCATCATTTCATCTCATCATTTCATCCTTTCATTATTTCATTTCTTCTCATTGTTGCATTTCGTCATCTCATTTCATTTCACTTCATCTCATCATTTCATCATCTCATGATTTCATTTCATCTCATCATTTCATCTCATCATTTCATCTCATTTCATCTTTTCATCTCGTCATTTCATCATTTCATTTCATCTTTTCATCTCGTCATTTCATTTGATCATTTCATCAATTCATCATTTCATTTCATTTCATCATTTAATCATTTCACTTCATTTCATCATTTCATTTCATTTCATATCATTTCTTCATTTCACCATTTGATCTTTTCATTTCATTTCATCATTTCATCATTTCACTTCATCATTTCATCATTCCATTTCATTTCCTCATTTCATTTCACAATTTCATTTCATCATTTCATTTCATCATTCCATTTCATCATTTCATTACATTTCATCATTTCATCATTTCACTTCATCTCATCATTTCATCACATCATTTCATTTCATCTCATCATTTCATTTCATCTTTTCATCTCCTCATTTCATTTAATCATTTCGTTTCATTTCACCTTTTCATCTCATCATTTCATTTCATCAATTCATCATTTAATTTCATTTTTTCATCATTTCATCATTCACTTCATTTCATCATTTCATTTCATCATTTCATATCATTTCCTCAATTCATCATTTCATCTTTTCATTTCATTTCATCATTTCATCATTTCATTTCATTTCACTTCATTATTTCATTTCATTATTTCATTTCATTTCATTTCCCCATTTCATGTCATCATTTCATTATTTCATTTCATCATTCCATTTCATCATTTCGTTTCATTTCATCATTTCATCTCATTATTTCATTTCTTCATTTCATCATTTCGTTTAATTTCATCATTTCATTTCATCATTTCATCATTTCATTTCATTTCAGTGATACATGTATTTAATTGCTAATGCGATGCCCAGGAGACACCCTATTTCCCTTTGTAAAACACCTCCTTCAACAAAAGGCAACTTCTCATGGCTGGCTAAGTCTACAGGGATACCAGCCTCTCTTCAACCACCCAATTTCATTTAGAACCTCAAACGGCATCTCAGTTTCATAAAAACCTAAAACATAAACACAACACTTGGTTGTAAGTGAGCCAACAGTTTCTTGTCTCTTTCTCTGCTCAAGGCTTAAGGCCGTGTCTCCCCAACTACATTCAGTGGAAGAAAAGATCCCATGGACAAATAAGTTTGAGAATTGTTGTTGCAGGAAGTCTCAACACTTTCAAAACACAAATCCTCATCCGCAGGGACCTTCAAGAGGGAGATGGCTGATGCAGCACAACTTTCTTTCACAGGAGTATCTTGCAGAATACAGTATGAGATACAGAAAGACTGCATTGAGTCTTTTTAATGGCCCGGGCCTTGGTGGGGGTGGGGTAGGAGCTCTCCAGATAGCATCTAATGAGTAGGAACATTCAGGTGGCTTTTTTTTTACCTTATTGGCAAAACTGTGTGTACACCATGAATGAAGCTGGTCTCCCTTATCCACGTCAAAACTAAACCCAAATTAATTGGCGAAATTGGGACTCAACACCTCCAGGAGCCACGCAGCAGAAAGCCCCAACACACTTTAAATTAGCTTACCTCATCATATTTGAGGAAAGCAGAACGCTTATGACCAGTATGCTGCTAATACAAGTCTACAGATAATGCTGTATGAAAAACTAGTTTTCCCAATCATAGCTGGCATAGTCCACATTTTGCATTACACTTTCCCCCCTTTTTTTAAATTTTAAACACAAGTCTTTTTCTCTTCTTTTTTTAAATTTTAATTAAATTATACAAGACGGAGTCTCAGTATGTTGCCCAGGCTGGTCTTCAACTCCTGAGCTCAAGCGATACAACAGTCTCCGCCTCCCAAAGTGCTGAGATTGCAGGCCTGAGACACTGTGCCTGGCCTTAAACACAAATCTTAATTCATTCTTACAATTATTCTGAGGTTACAAAAATGGAAGTGGAAGAAAAATGGCAAGTAGGTAGGCTGACTTCGGCTTCATTATTTGGAAGGACAGTTTGCTCGGTTAAAACACACTACTGCCTACAAAGGCCAAGACAACAGAAAAATACAGACTTACATAAATGGATTTTATATGTGACAGCAGTTTGAATGGAGACTTTTTCAATGCAATGAGAAACAGCTGTGCTTGGGAATAAATGACAACGAATTTTTTTATCTCAACAGCTGTCCTGAGACCATGTCTCTACATCTCTACCTGCATTCTGGAATCAGGGAGAAAGCCAAAACGGACAACAAGACACTAGATCAGCAGTGTCCAACCCTTTGACTACAAGGACTTTTCCACCTATCTTTGGTGGTGGGTAGCATGAAAATTATGCACAAACTTTTTTTTTTTTTTAACCCCATCAGCTGTTGTTAGCATTAGTGTATTTTATGTGCAGCCCAGGAGCATTCTTCTTCCAATGTGGCCCTGAGAAGCCAAAAGACTGGACACCTGTGCACTAGATCAAAAGGCTACTCCTTCTGGAAGCAATTGTAAAGAATTTCTGACATTATCTTGACATGAAAACCAATGGATAGTGGGACAGAATGCAAAATCTTGAAGAATTTTTCTTGTCTTTTTTTTTTTTTTTTTTTTTTTGAGTCACGGTCTTGCTCTGTGGCCCAGGCTGGAGTACACTGGTGAGATCACAGCTCAGTGCAGGATCAAGTGCTCCTCCCGCCTGAGCCACAGTAGTAGCTGGGACTACAGATGCTCACAACCACCCCTGGCTAATATTTTCTTTTTTGTAGAGATGGGGTCTCACTATATTGTCCAGGTTGGTCTCAAACTCCTTGACTCAAGGGATCCAGGAAAGGATAACAGGTGGGAGCCACCACACCTGGCTATGTGCATGAACTTTTAAGACAAACACAAGGCTCCACAAAAGTTAAGGTTTATCCCACCTAATTTCCAGAGGGATCTTTTGGTGCAAGGCTGAGAAGCCCTTAAAAGTACACAGACAACTCCAAAGATTCAAGACAGTTCATTCGGGCTGAGCCAGCCCACTGGGCAGACTGACCTTCAAAAAAGACCTACCCATGACATACACCAGATGGCTCTCCAAGAATCCCTTCAGTCCTCAGGGTCCCTAACGTACTGGACAGAGCTAGGAAAGCAAACCCATTTGCTTCTTCCTGCAGGAAACCCTTTGAGGTTAAGACCCCACAATCACATGAGGATGGAGTGGCTCACCCTCAGTCAACAGGCCAGACTCAAGGTGGTATAATGTCTTAACCACGGGTGCGGGCCTCCAGGTCTGACTCCCAACTCAGTTCTTCTTTAATAACCACACTTTGTTAATTTTCCTTAACAGGGGTTCCTGGCAAGTCATTTCTCCCTCAGGCCTTCGGTTTCCTCACCTACAAGATGAGAGGGCTGGACCAGATGGAAATTCAGGGGGTAAGGGGATGTCCTCGCGCAGCCCACCCCCACCCCCACGGGACCCTGGAGCCTCCATCCCAGTTCCCACCACACACCCGCTCCACAAATCCTGCCCAAGGTGAGGGCTGGTCCCGGGTCCTCTGGCTGCCGCATCAGCGAGTGCAGGAGGGAGGGGAAGCCTCCAAGGGGGTGACGTGGGCTCAAGGGTGCAACTCGGCCAGGAGTGAACTGGGGCCCCGAAGGAGGTGTCCGGGCTGCTCCTGGAGCCCAGCCCGGGTCCCCGAACCCCTTACCTCCAGGGTCTGTATCTCCTGCTGGGTGAGGTCACTGGACACAGCGCACTTGGTGCACAGCCCGCACAGGCTGCCAATGAAGATGACGATGAGCTTCTGGAGCTGCCCGCACTGCTGCAGCGCCCGGCTGGCCGCAGCCCCTGTGCCACCCTCCGTGGCCGCCGCATCACCCCCACCACCACCATCCTTCTTCTCCCCCATCGCCTCCGCAGGCAGCGCCGCTCTATGCAGGCCACAGGGGCCTAGGCAAGGAGCCCGGGGCGCCGGCACCTAGGCAAGGAATCCCTAAGCCAGGAGAGCTGGACCTGGAGCACCCCTGGGCGCTGCCCTTGCCAGGACGCCAGTAGAGCTGGCAGCCGAGCCTGCCGCTCCCGCCCTCAGAGCCGCGGCGGCGGGGACAAAAATCCTCGGCGGCGGGGGCAAAAAGTCGCGGTGGCAAAAAGCCGCGGCGGCGGGGACAAAAAGCCGCTGCGGCGGGGGCAAAAGGCGGCGGCAACAGCGGCAAAAAGCCGCGGGCGCAAAAAGCGGCGGCAACAGCGGCGGCGGCAAAAAGCCGCGGCGAGGAAAAAGTCGCTGCGGCGGGGGGGCAAAAAGCCGTGACAGCGGGGGGCAAAAAGCCGCGGCGGGTAAAACGCCGTGGCGGGTAAAAAGCCGCGGCGACAAAAAGCCGCGGCGGGCAAAAAGCCACAGCGGCGGTGGGGCAAAAAGCAGCGGTAGCAGAAAGCCGCGGCGGCAAAAAGCCACGGCGGCGAGGGTGCAAAAAGCTGTGTCGGCGGTGGGGCAAAAAGCCTGGTCGGGCAAAAAGCCGCGGCCGCGGCGGGGGGCAAAAAGCCGAGGCGGGCAAAAAGCCGAGGCGGGGTGGGGGCAAAAAGCCGCGGCGGCGGTGGGGCAAAAAGCCGCGGCGGCGGGTGGGTGGCAGAAAGCCGCGGCGGGCAAAAAGCCGCGGGGGCAGGGTGGAAAAAGCCAAGGCGGTGATAAAGCCGCGGCGGCGGGGGGGGGGGGGGACAAAGCCCTGGCGGGCAAAAAGCCAGGGCGGCAAAATTCGCAGCGGTGAAGAGTCAAAAACCCGCGGTGGTCAAAAAGCTCTAGCGTTGAGGGGGCAAAAAGCCGCAGCGTACAAAAAGCCGAGGCGCGGTGGGGGGAGAAAGCCGCCGCGACGGGGCGGGAAAAATCCGCGGCGGCGGGGGGACAAAAAGCTCCGGCGGCGGGGGGTCAAAAAGCCGCGGCGGCGGAGGGCGAAATAATGGAGATGGGGTAGAAGGCTGGCACAGCTTGGCATTGCTGGAGTGGATGTGACAGGAAATGTGCAGCCAAAGACAAAAAAAGATGTAAGTAGGCTTGACTCATTGAAGCTAAGAACCCAGATGTTATCTTGAGGGTATTAACTAATAAGCAGTTTAAATCAGAATGGCACATTCTGATTTGTTTTTTGTATGTTCACATTTGGCAGGCATAGATACTGTTTGAAGAGAGAAAAGTCAGTAGAGAGAGGTAACAAACTTAAATATGTGCCAAGTCTAGAAACAAGAGACCAGGGGGATAGGGACCTTTCAAAATAAAATGCAAGATGTGAAAACTGGCTGGGGGATGAGGAAAAGGCAGGTCTTTAAGGTCCATCCCTGTTTTGCTTTAAGTTGTTAGGGGGTGGTTTTATCACATGTTGTAGAATATGTCATTTCAGTTTTGAACATCTTGAGTTAAATTGTCCTAACATATCTTATGAATTTGATTTTCTTCCCTGGGAAGCTAATATTTCAAACACTTAAAGAGTATATAGATTTCCAACTTGTATCCCGTTTATAAAACTATCTCTAGGCTGCTGATTTCAGGAGGAGGCTCATGAATATTCTCTTTGCAGAGAATATATCAGGAGTTAACAACAGCTTCAATATTTGTGGACGACCAGTTAACTAAGCCACCTCTTAGTGTCTTTAGTTGGGAAATCTTAGCTGAAGATATTCAATAATGAACCAAGAGTGACTAAAAAATTCAATATTTAAGTATATTTCATTGTAATTAATTTGAATTGAAATAGCCATATACAGCTAGTATTTACTATATTGAACAATGCAAATAAGAGGAGAAAATTAATAACCATCTCTAATACCACATGCCAAAATCCTCATCAATTTATTCTAGCTAAAGGAGTTGATCAGAAGCAGTAGTTGAAAGCATCAACTAAACCAGCTGGGGTTAGTTCACTGTCATTCTCTCAGAACCATCTCTTCTCTGAACAAAACAAGTACAAGAGTTCATTGTGAATCTGCATTCTCCTTGCCTATTTTAAGGTTTTGATGTTGACACAAATTTGTGAAATCCCTCCTGTGGTGTGATATTTCGTTTTCCTTGCTTTCTGTTAGGACAAGAATGCTTCAGCTCTTCATTTAAAATTATGTTTCTCCCTCCTAGGTTGAGTGAACTTAGAATGCATTCTCTGACATATCCAAGATTTTGTTAATATGAATTTCGGGAAAAAAGCATACTTAATTAGCTAAGACATCTTATTCTAAGCTTGACCCTATGTTCGACATCTTTTGAATTTCTAGTTGCATGGGCTGCTCTCTGACACTGGTTAGTGACCTGGAAGCTATATTAATGTTAGGGGAGGTGGTGTATGAGCATTAGAGGTATCCTTGCAAGGAAAGACTTGTATTATCTCAATATGTCTTTTTTTTTGCACACAAGAAAGTCAATGTCTGAGTCTTCTAAAATCTTCCTATTTCCAAATTGCAGATTATGATTGATTCCTAAACAAAGACCTAATTTTTGACTCAGAGACGTGGCAAGGTAGTGAATCACCGTTATAATTTAACAATCTTCAAGATAAAATTATCTCTGATATTTAGATTTTACCCAATTATTAAGATATTTGGGTGTTTCGTTAAGAATGGAAAACTCTAGTCTCTTGAGCAGAGACTATAAAGGCCTCAGATGATCATTTTTAATTTCATGCTCTTTTCTTTAACACCTTCAACACAGTTGGAAGCAGCTGATATTCCCCAGAGTTGTTGTGTTTTTTAAACCAAATGCATGGTTCAGTGGTAGAAAACTGGGCTGATCCAAGCTGTTTTCAGTAAACACTTCATTTCAGGTGACCTATTTCATATTAAATAATCTGTAGATCCTGTCTTTGAAACTAACTAGATCAGATAACCTACCCTGGATTTTCTCCTTTTAGGGTCTGTGAGCTGCAGTCACTTTTGTGAAAATGATTGCAATGACAAGATAGAGTTATAGATGGGGAAAATGTTTTGACTAATTTAAGCATAGTGATATTTCATATGAGAATTTAAGTTACACACATTTGAAAATTATAATGGAGTCTCTTGGCTGAGCTGTAAAAAAAAAATGGCGTTTAGGCTAAAAAGGGAACTGCTACCTCTCCTAAAATCAGAAAGATGTTACAGTAATTCTCCATTCTCTAGAATTATCAAGAAGCACCTTTGTGATGATTTACTTTTGCTCTTGCGAGTGTGAGCCCGTGCAGTCGTGGAACCATCAATTAGAATGGTGGCTTTCTGATCCCAAAGTCACTCGTTCTGAAAACAATATTTTTCATAAATTTGAAAGTGAGAAATTTTGATCTTGCCATTCCCAAGTAACTCTCTTAATAAGAGGCATCAGCATGCTTCAGTGACAGCTGTCACCTTCCATTGCTGAGAGTCATCTTTGAGTTCTCTATTTCACTCCCTACACTCCAATTTAGCTGCAGTTCTCTTGGCCAGTCCTATGAAATACATCCATGGCCTAACGACTTCTCACCACTACTACCACTCATCCTGACAGCATTCTCACCTAAGTCACTACCTTTTTTCGCTGGATTAGAGTAGCCTCCCAATTTATTTGCTCACATAACCTATTTATTCTACACAGTGCACCAGATACACCCCCTTTGAAATGCAAACACAATCATATTATACTCTGGTGAAATTATCTCATATATTCCTATCGCATTTAAAATTAATTCAGAATCATCCCATGATTATCAAAACCCTACATGCTCTTCCACAACATGGTTTACTTCCAAGATATCTCTTCAACATTTTTTTCACTGTACTGAATTGGTGACTAATAGTCATATTTTTGTTTTTGCTCAAAAAGTCTTGACTTGTAAGTTTCTCAGTTTCTCCTTTATCCACAGGTAACTCTTTCCTCATAAGGTGAATTGCTTGCTTCCTTGAGTTCTGCTCTCAAAGATACCCTTCATTTTCTACCTAATATTAATAACTTTAATCATTCATTATTCCATTACTATGCTCTATAGTGTATACAATTTCTGTTCTTTGTCATGTTATTAACTAAATTATTTATTGGGTCCAGTAACGTATTCCATAAATATTGTACACATAAAAATTGTGTTATTTTTATTCCTGTATGCTCAGCTGCCCAATAACAGTCTGAGGATTAACATATTTGTTAAATGCACAAATACATTCTTTCACAAATATTAGTTTAATAATTTTATATTAAACTCCCTCTATACTTACAATATGAATTAGATAATTCAGAATAAACATTCCATTGGAAAAAGCTACACAATTTGTTATAAAACATCCTTAAAAGCATCAGAAAGTTAATACAGCAATGAAGAATTACAGGACCAGATTAAGAATGGTATGAAAGCCTGTTTGTGACGCTTATGTTTGGGTTATCTCTTTATTTGAGTGACTATAAATCTCAAAAGAGAACTAAAGGGAGAAATAACCGTATCTACTAACATGGTAAGGGTACTTAAACATCTCTTAGTAATTGAGAAAATTGAAAGAAAAGAAAAAGGAGAAAGGGAGAAAGAGAAACAGTGAAAGGGATAATGAAGGAGAGAAAGAAGAAGAGAAAGGAAGAGGAAGAAAAGTAAAAAGGAGGAGGGGGAAGGAGGAAGGAAGAAAGGTGAAAAGAAAGAATGGTAAACTTTTTAACAACAAAATTTATCCTTCTAGAATATGAATGTTGGTCTATTTGATGATGTCCCACAGATTCATTAGTCTCTGCTCATTGTTTATTTTTTATTCTTTCTGTTTCTGAGAGTCAGTATTTTCCATTTTCTTCTCTTCAAGTTCATGGCTTCTTCTGTGTGTGCAAATATACTCTTAAATCCCTCTGGTGATTTTTAAATTTTTATCATTGTAGTTTTCCACTCCAGAATTTCTGTTATCTCTTTGCTGATATTCCTACTTTTTAATATTTTTTCTGATTCCTTTATTTCTTTGTTTATGTTTTCCTTTTGACATTTGAGTATAATGAAGAGAGTTGTTTTAAAGTCTTTGTCTGGTAAGTTTGATGTCTGGGTTTCCTTAGGGATATTTTCTGTCAATTTATTTTGGTCCTTTGAATGAGCCACACTTTCCCATTCTTTGTATGCCTTGTAACGTTTTTGAAAACGGACATTCTAATAATTATAATTACTATGTGGTTACTCTGTAAATCAGACCCCCCCCCCCACAAACACAGTAATGTTTTGTGGTTTTAAATTTTCTTTACTTATTATATTGTTAAGGATTTTTTTTTTTTAGTGAAATTTTCTAAAGTGATTTACAAAACTGTTTGGTTTATAAGGTGTGGTCACCGAAGTCTTTTTGTTTCCTTAACAAATGTTAAGCTAATGTTTTGACAGTGATTTTCTGGTATGTCAGGAACCAATCAAACAGGCAAATACAAGAAAAACAAAAAGAAAAACAAGTAATCATTGTCCAGCAAAATATGTCTCTAGGCCATGCAGACTGGCTTTGTGCTGGGTTCTTTAAAGCCGGCACAAAGTGTGTGTTCACTCTTGCACTGAGTGAAGTTCAAGTTCACTCTTGCACAGAGCTTGCACTGAGGGGAGGGATCGGCCAAGGTAAAAGCGTAGTGTCTTCTTATGACATTTGTCAGCATGTGGCTTAACCTATGAATACATGTGACTTTGTAGACTCTCCCATGTATGTGAATGATTTTGTATGTCTTAGTTTTTGAAATACTCTTCTCCAACTTTTCTTGCTCTGCTGAAGGTGATCTACTATATGTGTAAACTTTAATTTTTGCCCTAAGCATCTGTGGTTTGTTAGGTCTCCTTGCAGAGTTTCTTAATAATGTCCATTCCTTATATGTTCTGTATTCTAGCAACACAGAAAAAAAAAAAGCCTTTCATGAGTCCTTTAGGTATCCCCCAGACCAGTCAGAACAGACACATAATAATTTGTGGTTAAGATCTTCTCTTGTTCCTTTGGACCATGGACCAGGCTTCCTCACTGGGAACGTGGGCTTCTGACACTTCAGAACTGCCAATTTGCTGGGGCAAAGGCAAGTTAAAAATGTAGTAAAGTTTTCCAGTTGTCTTTTTCTTGAGTCTGCTTTCACTTGGATGTTGTAATCTTTTGACCATTTTCCAGAGTTTTGGCGAAGTTTATTCGGACAGTTTCTCTTAGTTGTGTGATGTTTCTGTGGGGAAATGAAAGATTGCAGCTTTCTCCACTGCCATTTTGCTGATGCTCCTCTTTTGTCAATTTTTGCTTCATGTTATTATGCTTTGTTATTAGTTCATGTATTAGTTTTCTAGGGCTGCCATAACCAAGTAACACAAACTGGGTGCCTTGAACAACATACATTTATAGTCTTATAATCTTATAGTCCTGGAAGCTAAAAGTCTGAGATTGAGGTGTCAGCAGGGATGGTCCCTTCAAGGGCTATGAGAGGAAGCCTGCTCTGTGTCTTGTTTCTCACTTCTGGTGGTTTAGTGGCAGTCTTTGGCATTCCTTGGCTAATCTCTGTCCTCATAATCACATGGTACTCTCCCTGTGTGTATGTCTCCCTCTACTCAAATTTCTTCTTTTCACAAGGACATCAGTCATATTGAATTCAGGCTCATCTGATTGTATCTTAACTTGATCAGCTGCAAAGAACATATTTCCTAATGAGGTCATATTCAGTGGTTAGAATTTCAGCATCTATATAGAGGAAACAATTTAGCTCCTATCTGTGCATACATGATTGTAATAGCTATGTCTTCCTAAAGCGTAGTCCCCCTTTTCACTAGAATATAAATTTTTAAAATCCTATTCATATTTTTAATAGTCTATATTGTGTGTTATGAGTATAATGATTTCAGTGTTCTTATGATTGCTCTTTGCATGATATTTTTTGTCATCTTTTTACTTTCAATCCATTAGTATCCTTGCATCTCAGCGTATATTGGGATCACTTGTTTTAATCCAGTCTGACAATCTCTGCTTCTGGAATGGATTTTAATCTGCTCACATTTAAGATTATAATTGGTATAATTCTATTTATGTCTGCCATTTTACCGTTTGTTTTATATATTTCTCAAATATTTTTCTTTATCGCTTTATTTTGCAATGAAAGAATATTTTCTAAAATAGGGAACTTTAGATTACTAATGAATTATTTTATTATATATTTTTGAGAATTTTTGTTGTTGTAAGTTTACCCTATATGTATATGGAAAATTAATTATTCAAACCATCTTCCAATCTACACTAGTAAACTTTTAGTAATACATAGAAACAACATTCTTATATAAATCTCTTTTGTTTCCTCCATTTTAAAGTATTATCACTTTACACATTACATCTATTAAAGTTACAAAGCCAACAATACATTTTAGTAATTATTACTTTACCATCTAGAGTTATTACCTTATCGCAATACATTTTTCTTCCAACTACCTCCTTTTTGATGTTACTGGAAAATATGTTATAGACGTGTTCCATTTCTACATGTCAAATACTCAGCAATACATTCTGCACATATTATTATTATTATCATTGAGACGGAGTCTCCCTCTGTCACCCAGGCTGGAGTGCAGTAGCACAATCTCTGCTCACTGCAAGCTCCATCTCCCGGCTTCATGCCATTTTTCTGCTTCAGCCTCCCGAGTAGCTGGGACTACAGGCGCCCACCATCACGGCCGGCTCATTTTTTTGTATTTTTAGTACAAACGGGGTTTCACCATCTTAGCCAGGATGGTCTCGATCTCCTGGCCTTGTAATACGCCCGCCTTGGCCTCCCAAAGTGCTGAGATTACAGGTGTGAGCCATCGTGCCCGGCCATTATACACACGTTATTTAATAAACAATTTATGATAAAGAGAAAAAATGCATTTTTACTGTCTTTTATAATGTCAATATTACCTATACCAGTGTTTTTTTAAAAATGTGGATTCAAGTGACTGTCTTCTGTAACTTGCTTTTAGCCTTAGGAATTTATTTTAGAGTTTTTTTTATATAGTAGGTCTGCCAGCAACAACTTCAGTTAATATTTCTGTTTATCTGGGTAAGTCTTTGTGTTATCTTCATTTTTGAAAAATAATTGCTGGATAAGGAATTCGTGGCTGAGAGTTTTTTTTTCCTTTGCATCTTTTGAATATATTATTCTACTGCCTCTTGCTTCCATTGTTTCTCTTAAGTCAGCTGTTAATCTTACAAAACATAGGTGCTCAAAAAATAAACATGTGCATGAATATTTACAGCAGTAATATTCATACAGTCAAAAAGTGGAAACAATCCATATGCTTGTTGACTCATAAATGGACACCCAATTTTCAGCTATAACAAAGAATGAAGTACTTATATATGGTATAATATTGGTGAAATTTGAAAGCATTCTGTTAAGTGCACAAAAGGACAAATATTACTTGATTTTATTCACATGAAACATCAGGAATTGGCAAATCAATTGGGATATAAATCAGATTAGTGGTCATTAGGGCTCAGGGAAGCAGATTAGGGTGTAACAACCTTAGGTATAATGGGTTTTTGGAAGGGACATGATGAAATTGCCCTGGAACATTGTGAATATACTAAAAGCAAGTGCATTGTATGCTTTAAAATGGTGGTTGTTAATTTTATATTATGTGATTTTTACCTTAAAAAACAAAAAAGAGAAAATAGCCTTACTCTATACATAATAAACTCAAGATATGTTACAAATTTACATGTGAAATCCTAAATACTATAATATTTAAGGAATAGCTAAGTAGAATAACACTGAAATTTAACATAATGAAACATTTCCTTAGAAAAGAAAAAAGCACAGTAATTAAAAAGGGAAATATATTTAATATTTTTTCTCTCCATTAAGCATGCCATTAACTGAGTAAAAAATCAAGCTGCAATTATGTAAACTACCTTTTCTAAAACCATAAAGAAAAGAAGAAATAAAAAGGTATTTGGGGAAAAAATCCAAAGGTACAGTCAACTACACAAAAAAGCTTAGTCTCATTAATCATTATGAAAATGCAAATGGTAACTGAAAGAAGATAAAACTACAATTCAAAGAGAAACCCTAAAATTTCAACCCCCCAAAAAGTCTGGGTTTTGAAGATCTGGGATGGAATAGGGTTCCAAACCTGACAACAATGAAAGACCCAAACTAACTTCAAAGTCATGACTTTATTTTTATAGCAACGAGGTTGCCAAGAACTGAGTCAAAATGTGAGGGAAAACAAGCACCTGCAAGGCGAAAGAGGACGGATGCACTTACATAGGACAGACGCAAATAGGCACCACCATGACAAGTAAAGCTGGAATAATCAATAAATTCCTAAACACAAAGTGGGGCTGGTGAGATTGGGAGACGGCTGACAGCTGCAGAAGTTGGGAAAGATCCATCATCTTGAAAACTTTTTCCCCACAAACCCACTGCGATCTCTCAAGCAATTGGTAAGGAATCCAAGAGAGTCTGTATATGACACAGATCAGGGAGAGCAGAACACTTGGGAGGTGACCAGGTCTTGGGGGCCGAGCCCTTATGAATGGGATTAGTGCCTTTATAAAAGAAGCTCAATGGAGTTGTTGTGTGCCTTCCACTATGTGAGGACATAGAAAGCAGGCACCACCTATGAACCATGAAATGGGCTCTCATCAACACTGAATTTGTGAGCATCTTGACCCGAGATCTTACAGCCTCAAGAAATGTGAAAAAAGAAATATCTGTTGTTTTTTAGTCACCCGGTTTATGTTATTTTGTTATAAGAGTCCTAATAGAGCAAGATATTCCACTTAATATGTAGGGGAAGGCAACAAAAACTGCCACACTTAGGATCCTCCTGATGCTGGGAGTATGAAAACAGGAAAAACAAAACAAAACTGCTCTTGAAGGTGAAGGAGGAATATCACTGAGCTCACCAACACAGCCAGGAAAAGAACGGAAGTGTGAGAAGGCTACATTCCTGAGACCCTGAGAAAAAGTACCTGCATAAGACTGAGATGAAATTACCTACTCTAGTTATGATTGAAATCCCAAAAAGAAAAGAGGGAAAAATAATGGAGCAAAAGAAATATTTTTCAAAATAACTGCCAAAAATATTCTAAAAGAAGTGACAGAAAATCAAACTTCAAATATAGGAAACTCAGAGAATGTCAAATAGAACAAAAAGAAATAAGAATCGCATCTTGAAAAATCTTTAAAAAATCAAGTCTAAATTTTATATCTTGCTCCAAATATATAGAGATATAAAGAGGTTATCATCAAGATATGGAGAAAGCCATATCATGGAAACACTAAAATAAGGCTGTGGAAGGACTACATTGATATTAGACACAACAGAGTTCGGAACAAGAAATAGTATCAGAGATGAGAGATAATAGATAATAGAATAATCAATTCTCAAGAAGATGTAATCATCCTACTAATTAGGGTATGCAGCTCACAACAGAACCTCCAAATACATGAGGTAAAACAGGAAAGAAATCAAAGGTGAACTGGAAAAATCCAAAATTATATTTGCCGACATCAACACTTTTGTCTTAGAAATGGAAAGACTAGGCACTAACTCAGTAATCATGTGGAAGATAAGAACAACAATATCACCAACAAGACATCCAATCTTCAATGGCAGATACTCTTTCCTTTCAAGTGAAAAAAAAAAAACAGTATGGCATATTCTCTAACAAACCCAGAATTTCTAATATTTGCGTTCTTCCTTCTTTCTTTCCATCTTCCTTTCTCTTCTCTTCCCTTCCCTTGCCTTCCTCCTTCCTTTCTTCTTTTCCTCTTCCTTTTCTTTTCTTTTTTCTTTTCCTTTCTTTTTCTTTCTTTTTTTCTCCTTCCTTCCTTCTTTCCTTCTTTGTTTCTTTCCCTTATTCTTCCTTCCCTAATCCCTCCCTTCCTTTCTCCCTCCCTTTTCTTCCTTCTTTTCTCATATTCTTTCTTTCTTTCTCACGTTCTTGCTTTCTTTCCTTTTTTGTTCCCTCCTCCCGCCCTCCATTTCTTCCTTCCTCCCTCCCTTCCTTTCCTCTTTTTCTTTCCTTCCTTTGCCTGTTTATTTTCTTTGTTTCTTTGCCTTCCTCCCTTTTACCATTCTCTCTTCCTCCTTTCCATCCTCCCTTTCTCCTTTCTTTCTTTCTCTCTCTCTTTCTTTCTCTTTCTTTCCTTCTTTCTTTCTTGTGTTCATGCTTTCTGTTTTCTCCCTTCCTGCCTTTCTCCCTTCCTCCCTCCCTCCCTTCCTTCCCTCATTTCCTCCTTCTTTTCTTCTTTCTTTCTTTATTTCCTTCCTTCCTTCTTTCCTTCCTTCTTTTTCTTTCTTTGTTTTCTTTTCTTTCTTTCTCTTTACTGCAATTCATATTATTTTAAAAAAATTAGAAAGGGAGAGAGAAAAATATAGAACGCTTTAATCTGCAGGTAAATAAATTATTTCTGCTGTAGACCAAAGAATGGCCTCCCAAAAATTTTCATGTCCTAATTCCCAGAGTCTAACATACAATTATGTTAGGTTGCACGGCAGTGTGAAATTAGATTTCAAGTGAAATTAAGGTTGCAGAAAAATGATAGAGAGATTGTCTTAAATGGGTGGGATCAATGAAATCACAAACTTCCTTTTAAATGAAAGAAGAAGGCAGAAGAAAGGCAACCTTGGAGGTGGTGGCATGAGAAATTACTCAACATTACTGACTTTTAAGATACAAGAATGAGGACCCAGCGCGGTGGCTCACGCCTAATCCCAGCACTTTGGGAGGCTGGGGTGGGTTTATCACGAGGGCAGGAGATCGAGACCATCCTGGCTAACATGGTGAAACCCCATGCCTACTAAAAATACAAAATATTAACTGGGTGTGGTGGCAAGTGTCTGTAGTCCAAGCTACTCAGGAAGCAGAGGCAGAAGAATCATTTGAACCCGGGAGGCAGAGGTTGCAGTGAGCTGAGATCGTGCCACTGCACTCCAGCCTGGGTGACAGAAGGAGACTCCATCTCAAAAAAAAAAAAAAAAAAAAGAAAAATAGGATATAAGAATGAGGTCATGTTCCAAAGAATAAAGGTGGCCTCTGGATGCTGAAAAATATCAAGTAATAGATTATGCCACATAGCCCTCAGAAAGACTGCAGCCCTACCCAAAACTTGATGTTAGCCCTGTGAGTTTCATTTAAGGCTTCTGTACTACAGAACTGTTGGACTAACGGTCACTTTATTGTAAGACATGACGTTTGTGGTAATTGGTTACAGCAGCAAGAGGAAGTTTATATTGTAATTGTATCATGAAAATGAGAACCATAAGTTACAACTGCTTTTAATACAGCACTTGGATGTTTGAAATCACGTACATGGAAATGATCTCTATGTGCATGAGGGAGGAGAGCAAATTGATGCCAAAATAATGCAAATGCAAATCTTACACTCATTTCTATGTAGGTTTCATTTAATCTTTGAAATTAAAATGAAATTAAAAGATTGTGATCTTTTGATGAAATTAGACTAAAATGAACAATAACAAAATAAGAACTTACTTACATTCTTTATATGGTCAATAAAGAAGTGATAGTGGAAAAAAACAAGATCAAATGAAGGTGATGATTTAGGAAGTTGGAAAGATAGCTGAAACTACAAAATGGTATATAACCAGTGAACCCTTAGACACACTGATTAATGAACTTCAGCTTTTGGCTTGGTGAGAGCATAAAATGAGAGCAGCTGAGCTTTGCCAATTTGTAATCTCCTTGTGGAAAAACAGGGGAAAACACATCTCAGCCTAATAAGATTTATCTACTAAAGAGTCTAGACTTGATCCATTTGTCCTTGTAATTCAAAAGCTAATTCAAATACTGATTTGATGTATTGTGTGAACAACCATTGCTGATTATCATCGCATACCTGGCATTCTCTTGTATCTGATATCTAAAAGATTTGGTAATTCCTGGACTTTCTCTTTTCAAACGCAGTACGGTTTAATTTGAGTCTTAGAACAGTTGTCTTTGAGAAATTCTTCCCTCTACTGCCTCTGTGAATGGGCATAGCATGGTTGCATACATACTGTCACTCCATAGAACATTTGTTAAATTAAAGCCAAAGTTTAAAGCAAGAGCTTTAACTTACTGGTTTTACTAATGGTTTCCTCCCCAATAGCCACAACAATATTGATACCCTCACACCTTTTAACATAAAGCTTGGTGTTGTCTATTTTTCAGATGCTGTCATCTATATGATCTCAGTATTTTAAAAATCAGCTTCCAGCCCATATGGTGGTTCATGCTTGTAATACCAGCAGTTGAAGAGCCTGAAATGAGAGGATTCCTTGAGCCCAGGAGTTCACAAGCAACCTGGGCAACATAGCAAGATCCAGTCTCTATCAAAAGTTAAAAAAAAAAAAGTGTTCCTATTTCTCCACATCCTCTCCAGCACCTGTTGTTTCATGACTTTTTAATGATTGCCATTCTAACTGGTGTGAGATGGTATCTCATTGTGGTTTTGATTTGCATTTCTCTGATGGCCAGTGATGATGAGCATTTTTTCATGTGTTTTTTGGCTGCATAAATGTCTTCTTTTGAGAAGTGTTTGTTCATGTCCTTCGCCCACTTTTTGATGGGGTTGTTTGTTTTTTTCTTGTACATTTGTTTGAGTTCATTGTAGATTCTGGATATTAGCCCTTTGTCACATGAGTAGGTTGTGAAAATTTTCTCCCACTTTGTGGGTTGCCTGTTCTCTCTGATGGTAGTTTCTTTTGCTGTGCAGAAGCTCTTTAGTTTAATTAGATCCCATTTGTCAATTTTGTCTTTTGTTGCCATTGCTTTTGGTGTTTTAGACATGAAGTCCTTGCCCATGCCTATGTCCTGAATGGTAATGCCTAGGTTTTCTTCTAGGGTTTTTATGGTTTTAGGTCTAACGTTTAAGTCTTTCATCCATCTTGAATTGATTTTTGTATAAGTTGTAAGGAAGGGATCCAGTTTCAGCTTTCTACATATGGCTAGCCAGTTTTCCCAGCACCACTTATTAAATAGGGAATCCTTTCCCCATTGCTTGTTTTTCTCACTGTTGGTGGGACTGTAAACTAGTTCAACCATTGTGGAAGTCAGTGTGGCGATTCCTCAGGGATCTAGAACTAGAAATACCATTTGACCCAGCCATCCCATTACTGGGTATATACCCAAAGGACTATAAATCATGCTGCTATAAAGACACATGCACACGTATGTTTATTGCGGCATTATTCACAATAGCAAAGACTTGGAACCAACCCAAATGTCCAGCAATGATAGACTGGATTAAGAAAATGTGGCACATATACACCATGGAATACTATGCATCCAAAAAAAAGGATGAGTTCATGTCCTTTGTAGGGACATGGATGAAATTGAAAGTCATCATTCTCAGTAAACTATCACAAGAACAAAAAACCAAACACCGCATATTCTCACTCATAGGTGGGAATTGAACAATGAGATCACATGGACACAGGAAGGGGAATATCACACTCTGGGGACTGTTGTGGGGTGGGAGAGGGTGGAGGGATAGCATTGGGAGATATACATAATGCTAGACGACGAGTTAGTGGGTGCAGCGCACCAGCATGGCACATGTTTACATATGTAACTAACCTGCACAATGTGCACATGTACCCTAAAACTTAAAGTATAATAAAAAAAAAAAAGTGGGCATGGTGATGTGCACCTGTTGTCCTAGCTATTTGGGAGGCCAAGGTGGAAGGATTGCTAGAGCTTGGGAGGCTGAGGCTGCAGTGAGTAGTGATTGCAACACTGCACTCCAGCCTGGGCAATGAAGCAAGACCTTATCTCAAAAAATATATATAATAAAAATAAAAATCAGCTCTCATTGATTTCTATGTAAATATGCCCAGGTGATGTCCATATAGACATAAATAATAATATTTCTGACAATGGGTCCATATGATCTTCAAAATGTAAAATGCCTATCTGTGTAATTGACTGGTTAGTCTCATTAATGAATATAGATTCAATTCCACTTTCTTGTTCTAGATAAATTATATAATCTAGCTTTTCATTTCACTTATTTACTGATAACAACAGGAAGAATGACAAGATATCCATTTTGCAAAATTACTCTGGTAGGAGTAAAGATGAAATAATGACACAATTGCACAGAAACCTAGAAAAAAGTATGGTCTTCTGATATTCTATCACATCACATACTAAAGGCCTCATAAAACTCAGATACTTTATCTAAAAATGTTATTTTCATCATAGGAATGATCAAAGCATGAGTCCACAATTGCATTAAAATGTGCTTGTATCACAAGCACAAAAGGAGGGGAAAACATCCTTACTGATATTTTCAACGTATGCTTTACTTTTCATCAATATGAACCTCAACTTGATATGATGCAGATTGAAGGAAATCACCCATAATTCCGTAATAAATATAATTTATTGTCCAGTAAAGGGTATATTAAAAATCATATTAAAAGTCATGCAGTGAAGTTGTCCAGGGAAATCAAGACTTAACAGTCTCACTCTGACAATAATGAACAGGGGGATTCCCTCAAGATAGACTAGGACATGACCCCACACTGGCAGGTAGTAGTACCAGAAAAGAACGCATGGAAAAACTTTACCTTATGCTTGAGGTAGGGACCAGGCTAAAGTGAAAGCCAGACCTAAAATTCTATCTAAAATAAATCCACAATCGAAGAAAATATGTGGTGTACAGGCATAGAATGTCTTTACTGGATCATTGAAATAGTAAGATAAATTCAACTTTTTACATTGTTTTCTTTTCCTCCAGTTAGGGCTTGAGGTTTGTCTCTGGAGAGTGACTGACAATTGCAGCCCTGCCTTTCTGGGGTTCTGGTCAGGGGGTTGTGGATGCTTAACATGTGCCTTTCACAGGACACTTCCTTACCCCAGCAGTGGCCAGGTGTGCATCCCACGACCAGGCCTCCCTCTCACAGAACATCTGTTGAGACTAGGAGATGCCTAGTGACTGTTGCCTGACCTGTGTCCTGTGTATTTCTGACAAGAGCCACTCTCAGAGACCCTGGCCAGGAAGAGAGTTAGGTTCCAGTGTAGGTCAGCTCAGACACATGGAGGCCACAGAACCAAACATGGGAAATCACAGAAGTAGGTTTATTACTCACAGATCCAGAGAGAAGAGGGTAGCTGAGAAGAGGGTTTAGCTGTGTCCCCAGCCAAATCTCATCTTGAATTCCCACATGTTGTGGGAGGGAACAGCTGGGAGGTAATTGAATCACGAGGGCAGGTCTTTCCCATGCTGTTCTTCTGATAGTGAATAAGTCTCACAAGATCTGATGTTTTTATAAAGGCGAGTTTCCTGCACAAGCTCTCTTGTCTTGTCTGTTGCCAGGTGAGATGTGCCTTTCAGCTTGTGCCATGATTGTGAGGCCTACCCAGTCATGTGGAACTGTGCGTCTATTAAACCTCTTTCTTCTGGAAATTACCCAGTCTTGGGCATGTCTTTACCGGCGGTGTGAAAATGGACTAATACAGTAGCACACCTCATAGGGCTGAACAAAATGGGGAAGATGAGTGGGGAGCAGGAGAGAGAAAAGGGGTCTGTGGGACTCCAGCCTTTATTGGGCCCAGAACATTATCCAAATAAGTTTTCCACGGGGCACTAGTCGGTGGGGTGAGTGCCAGCAGGCACACTTCTTGACTCCTGCTGCAATCGAGCAGGTCACTCTGGCGTGTGGGGGCTGTCCATGTGCACTGTGAGGTCTGTGGGGTGAGTCAGGTAGGTTGTATCCAACGGTTCCATAGCTGGTAGTCACCAGGAGGAGGCAACTGTGTAGGGTCAATATCTGGGCCAGCCACACTGAGGAACTGTGAGGGTTAGAACTGGAAATTGTCAAGGGAATCCGAACCCAGCTACCATATGAGAGAGTTCAACTTATGTTCAATGTGAATGCCATGGCAATATTAAAAGGTACGAATTCGCTACATACGTGCTTGAGGTAAATAGGAGAAACCTAGAATTTATGTAAACAGTGAGAAGATTGGATGCGTTTTATGTCACATATTTTAATACTAGCCGTTTATTATATATGTCAATCCATCAGGCATTCAGAAGTACATGCTTATGAAAATTTTTTGCACCATCAGACAAAAGACAAGGGTAGAAGACATTTGTAACCCTATAAACACTAGTAAATTAAAAACAGAAGGACCTTTATGTCCTAACATATCTGTGTTGTGAAAGGCTGCCCTGTGAAATACGGGATTCCTTAAACATATTTTAAAAATCATAGGTGTCAATATTTTTTAGAAATCCATTTAAATTTTCTCTTGTTATTTTACAATGCCTATTTATTTATATAGTGGCTCTGCTGATTTTGATGTATATCCTAAACTTTATATTTTCTTTAAAGGATGTTTTATACAACTTTATGTAAAATGTTTCAGTATCTTCACATTATTTCCCTGTCCTTTTGTTTTGCTCTTATATGGTGTTCTTGAGTCTTTTCTCTGGCTTTTCAAACCTGGTAAGACTAAGACACTAAAGGAACTTTGCCCGTGGTTTTGTAATGCCTTCCAAAGCACATCTTAAGCTCTGGTGCATACAGGGGTCTCCTTTGAGCTCTGTGCTTTTGAGATCCCATATACCTAAATTCCAGTACTCCAAATCAGTACTGCTCAGTTTTAGTGACTAAGTTTAAAAAGGTATTTTAATAGCAAGTTAGTTTAGTGCACTCTTGCTTCTTTCTCGACTGCTTGTATACATGTATATTCCTTTAAATGAATCTTGGAATTTATTTAAAAATTTTAAATTATACTAATGAAACTGTACATTGTTGTGAATTCATAAGTGAATTTGGAAAGAATTTGTCTTTATGATACTAAATCTTTTTTACCCAAGAATCATATGTGTCTTTATATTTATTCCAGTCTATATTTATATCACTGAGTAAATATATAGAAATGTAGATACATACAGCTGTAGTTATAGATACAAATATAGGTATAACATGTTAAATCTATATCTATCCCATATAACATATATACATGTTATATGTGTGTGTGTATATATACATATTATTATGTTATTAAAGAGCTCCCTTAAAATTTTTCTTTTATTTCCCATATAATTTTAGGTCGAGCTTGAATTTTCCTTGTATAAACAAGCAAATGTTATACTAGTTTTAATACTGATGTTTAGACATTGTATCTTATTTTAGCATTGAATATTTTCACAATTAGTATAAATATTATCTAATAATAATGTACCTGTTAAAAATATTTAAAATTTTACCTTTGAATTATTTTATTGTTGAATTAAAATTCCTTTAATATGATAGTAAATTTCTATGTTATGCTCTCTCTATGCATATGCTAATTAATCTATCCACTTCTCTCTTTGTAGTGACATATGAAAATCAGGCCTCTCTTCTAATGGACATACACATGTTTGCATATAGAATATCAGACTCTTCATAGCATTTAAAATCTTTAAAGACATGAATATTGCCTTTTAACAAATATACTTTAGCATGTACTGAGAATCCCCTATTTATTTTTAATTTGGGCTAATCAATATGATTATTAATATTATTGGATTACCAAATTTGGAAACACACTTTCATCCCCAAGGTGCATATTTGTTTTATTTTTTTTTTTTTGCCAGTTTCTTGTCTTACTGTTTCAAATATTGTTGGATATTATTTTTATTTTATTTGGCATTTTAGTATCAACATTTGTAATTGAGGAACTCTACATATTTTTTCTTCAATATCTGGTGGGTTGTATAATTATTGTTATATTGGATTTGTAGTAGACATTGACAAAAATTATTCCTGTATGTTTTATAGCTGTATGAGGGAAACTAATATATTTTACCCCTAAATATATTTCCTTGATATATTTCAAAATGGCTATTGAGAAGGGCTGGAAATGCAAAGTTAGCTGCAAAGCTGTCTTGGGGAGATTTGCATCGGTAGAGAATATGCCTTGATGCAGCCAGGCTTTCTCTGAGGTCTGCCCCCTTGTCTGGATCTAGGAAAGTTTAACTGAGAGTCTCAGGTCTCCAAAGGTCTGAAAGAAACATTTTCTGTCTATTCTCTCTGAGGACTGCTCCCAGTGAAGTTCCACCTAGGTAATAAGTCCACTGTTGCTAGCCAGGGTCGTTTTCTCACATAACCTTTTTCTTTCTTTTCCCTGTGATCCAAGACCTCATTCTTTTTGTACACTTCATGTGGTAGATAAGCTTCTGCACGCATCGTGTGTCTGGGTCTTCGTTCTAAGGGCTCCAGTGTACACACATTGCAGAAAGCTGTATGCCTTTTCTACTATTTATCTGCCTCCTATTAGTGATTTTCAGGGAAAATTCATTAGGCAAAAGGGACATTCTCCTTTAGCCCATTCTCAGACAAAATCTCCCAACATTTAACTGATTCCTAATAGCTTAAAATCACTTTGAAAAATCCATATATTTATATCCTTTTCTTCCCTCTATGATTTCTGGTCAGCTTGGGTTTTGTTTTTCATTCCATTTACTTCATCCTCGAAAAGATCTATTTTACGTCTATTTATTCTCATTTATGGACATTGAGAAAAGAAAATAACTTTCATGTGAGAAATGCAAGTCCCTTTAAATAATCAGGCCCAGAGAGATATTCAAATGAGACAGCAGTTCTGTCCTTCTCCTCTTTGAGCTGTATGTTCACCTAGGCTGCTTGCTGTTGCCATAGTAGTTATAGCTATAAATTAACCAATAACGCCACACCAGACACTATAATCCACACCTGATAATAGTGTAACAGTGTATAGCCAGTCACTGATAAATGTTATTTCCATAAGCCAATGGGAATTTGTGACAAATCTCTTTGCATCATCCCACTTCTGGACCCCTTTTTGCCTTTAAGAAACTGCTTGTTGCAAAGCTCCAAAGGGAGTTCATATCCAAGGATACTTGGGTCTGTTTCTTCCAGGCAGCTGTCCTCATTGTGGCTCAAGTAAACTCTTTGAATTACGTTTTGTGCTTCAGCCCCTTCCACTTAGATTAACAACATGGATTTGTGTCACCATGTACAGCAATTAAAATGTTTACACTTTTCCCCTCGAGGGCACTGATGTGTTTTCCTGAGCACTTGGAATAGCTACGTAGTGTTTCCTGTCTAGATTATGGTTTCTGAACCTTGGTGCTACTTACCTTTAGGACCGGAGGATTCTTTGTTGTGGGAGGCTGCCTTAGCAATGCTAGGTGTTTCATTTGACCTCTAAATTTCACACCTCCACCAGTCTTGACATCCCCACAATAACCCTAGACATTGACAAATGTCTCCTGGGGAAAACTCTCTACCAGTTGACAGGCAAAGTTCTGGAAATATTGGAATTGTCAATTGAGATTTTATGTTATCCAAAACAAATATTTTTCTTTGTTTTTAAACATCTACTTCCATCTACTTATCTACTTATTTTTACTTTTATTTGTAACTTAATTCCATCAAGGAGAGAGAGTGCATTTTCTGTTATGCTAAATTTTTGAAGAATGTATTGACTTTTTATGACCTGATATATGGATGATATGTAGATATTACATGTTTGTATTATCAAATTTCAGGGCGTTAATAAAATAAATACTTACAATATTTATACTGTCACTGTATATTAGTTATTTTCTTTCTTCACTACAGGAGTTTTTCAACCTATAGGCTATTTTTCAATTCTAGGTTATCCAGTAGATTTTGAAATGTTATGATTAAATATCTACTTCTCAAGCATTCATCTTTGCAAATGAAACTATCCCAAGCTCTTATAAAGCACATCATATAAAGGGCAGATTAGTCAATATATGGTTCAGAAATAATTATGTAATATTTATAAGAAAATTAAAAATTTAGATCCTTAACTCAGATAACAATAATCCAAATTAAAATTTGATTTCATTACATAATTTAAAATGACACCAGAATACTAGTAAAATGTAGCTAAGTTTATATAATCTTTTTTAGCTGTAGGACTTTATTAGCATAAATTGAAATACAGCATCCAAAGCAAGATTGAGACCTATAGTCAAAGATTAAAATGTACACATCATAGGGGCATGATTAAACTAATTTAAAGCATAATAACATGGAGAAATATTGCGAAACATACATTTTACTGAATTAATTGTTAATATCTAATCATTATGTGAGAACAAAATTAAAGAGTAGCTACACAGGCGCACACCCACACACAACTGCAATATTGTCAAATAAACGATGTTCAGCTACACTAGAAATCACACCTGTGTTTTTTTCCACAGAAGAGCAAAGATTAAAAACACAATATTATTTATTGTACATATGGAGGTAAAGATACTCAAAATATTACCCAAAAATGCATTTTTTTTTGAGATGGAGTTTTGCTTTTATTGCCCAGGCTAGAGTGCAATGGCACAATCTTGGCTCACTGCAACCTCAGCCTCCCAGGGTCAAGTAATTCTCCTAGCTCAGCCTCCCAAGTAGCTGAGATTACAGGCATGCACCACCACACTCGGCTAATTTTTTGCATTTAGTAGAGACGGGGTTTCACCATGTAGGTCAGGCTGGTCTCCAACTCCTGACTTCAGGTGATCTACCCACTTCAGCCTCCCAAAGTGTTGGGATTACAGGCGTGCGCCTGGCCAGCTTTTTGACATATTTCAAGATGGCTACTCGGAAGACTGGAGATAGCTTCTTCTACAAAAATAGCTGAAAAGCTGTGTTTGTTGGGGAGATTTGTATTTGTAGAGAAAATCTGCATTGATATAGACAGGCTTTCCCTGAGATACTCCCTTGTCTGGGTTTAGGAAAGATTAACTGAGTCTGGCACGTTTACATTTCTAAAAACCATTTCCTATCTATACTTCCCAAGAGGAGGGCTGCTCCCTGTGAGGTTTCATCCATGTAACAAGACCACCTCTGCTGCCAGGCTCCTCTTTCTTCCTTGTCGTCACCTGTCTTCCGCAAAGCCTGATTTACCAACCTACAGCTCTGTGTTTTCTGTAACCTCAAGACAGTATAGGCGTGTTGACTACCTTGCCTTTCCTGGAGTTTTTATATATATAGTATATAT
Source organism: Homo sapiens (assembly GCF_000001405.40). Classification (NCBI taxonomy): domain Eukaryota; kingdom Metazoa; phylum Chordata; class Mammalia; order Primates; family Hominidae; genus Homo; species Homo sapiens. The sequence goes on from NC_000016.10 coordinate 32,833,256, forward strand.
TTGTATATCTCTTTATAATATACAAATATTTGTATAGATATATTATATATATTATGTAAACTCCAAGTGCATACTTGTGCACATATCTGTAAACCTTTTTTCCTGTTAATTTGTACATTATCAGTTTATTTTATAGACTCAAATAATTAAAGCTTCAAGGGAAAAATTGAAACTTTCCTATAGAGAAAAGACAACTATATAGGTGACAAATAATATTTAGAGTGTAAGATGTTTTTTAAAGGTATATTTGCAATTTGTGTCAAAACATTTAAGTATACATTTGTTACTTTAACTATAAAATTTCAAATAATTTAAGCAAAATACATAGTTTATGCAGAAAATTAGCAATATATCTATGTAGCACCTTACTGTGCATTACTGTAACCAGCCGTCTAACATAAAGAACTAATTAAGGTAGCACCTACTTTTCAAATATCGCATTTTTTTCACAGACCTATTAAATAAGACAAATAACATTTAAACTTTATTTTTAAATTTGCAGAATATTAGTTTTCAGCAGATGGTTTATTTTAGCAAATTCCATCTTCACATTGTGCTATGCTTCTATGAGTTCCAGCTGTTAACGGATCATATTTTACTGCTGAAACTATCATGTGTGATATAATTGCTCATTATGTGCCTTAAAACACAAGCAATATAATTATTTTCAACTTGGAGCAAATTAAAATCTTATCAGCAATTTAAAATCTCTAGAGTCGTCTTCTTCTGGTTAATTATTTTAAACTTGTATTTTTCTCTTTATGTTTTTAGTGAGTTGTCTTATCAAGGAGAAGAACTCAAGCTGATTATTCTTTTTTTTCTCTTCCATCCACCTCGCAGGTGTGTTAATAATTTCATTTCTCAGAAAATGTTCTTTCATATCCATCTTACAAGATGAGAGACCTTTCAACATCTTCCATTCGGATGTCATACGAGTAATGGAACATATTCCAGCTTCATGAATATGGTGATACAAATAGTTATCCGTCTAACCTCTTTCAGTGCCAAATGTTTACTTTACTCAGTGAATTACTCAGTTGACTGGTAATTTCTTCTGAAATCACTAATGAGAGGATCAGAGGTCTGGCTGTGGTCTGTACCTCATATGACTCCCAGTGCAGACAATTGTTTCTATGGAGCACAGACAGTTGAAAGGATTGACTTCCTGCCTAGAATAGTTTCTGCTGTGCTTCTTATCCTTCTTGTGGAGATTTCAGATTATCTGAATTGCTTTTCTATCTTAAGAAAAAACGCAACAATTCTCCCACCTGAGAGGCATGTAAACTGTAGTAAGTTAGCAGAACCAATCCGTAAAGTTTTTACATTGTTTGTTGCAAAATGCAGCGCTGGTGTCTCCATCACTAACCTTTTCCATCCCTCATTGCTCTTTCTTTGACTGCAATAGGATACCTCTAGGCAAATCTGTATTCCCGAGACAGAGTGCCCTTTTGGTGAGCTATAAGTACACTCAACGGTAGGCTGAAATACTAGCTTTTATCTATGGCGAAATTGAATCATATCAGTGATTTTTTTTAAAAAAGGAAATTTAACTCTTGCTATGGTTTGAATGCTTGCCCCTTCCAATCTCATGTTAAAATTTGATCCCCAATGTTGCAGGTGGGGCTCACTGGGAGGTGTTTGTTCATGGGGGTTGGACCTTCATGAATGGATAATACCCTCCCTTAGGAATCTAAAGCTATCCTCCCTCCTCGGTGCCCTCAGGAATGAGTGTACCATTCTTTATTCACCTATAATTCCCCCATCCATCCTTTTTGAGATATTGATTACATGTATGTTACACTGCTGCATATTGTCTGACGTATCTGTGAGTTTCTGGCTTTCCTATTTTAGTTTACCCTTTGTCCTTTAGTTTGTAAAGCTTCTATTTTGTTCTATAAATTTTCTGATGTTAGGGTAAAATCGATTACTCATTCTATCTCATGGAATTTTTATTTCAAATATTTATTTTTCATGTATACATGTCACATTTTTTACTTTATAGCTTCTATTTTTCTCCTATGTTCAATTTTCATTTAAGTACCTTGACATATATATGTATTTATTTATATGTATTTATAAAATATATTTACTTTAAGGACCTTGAAATTTCCTTCTTTTCTGTCATTTATAAATGACTTATTTTTATCCTGTTAATATATGTCTTAATTATATATATCTTACGGCTTCTTTGCATGTCAGAGTTTTTTTTTGGGGGGGGGTATTTTGGTGTTATGCTATTGAATATCTAGATTTGATTGGCTACCTTTGAACAATGTTGTGGCAGGCAGTTCAGTAACTTCAGGATGAGTATTTTTCTGTTGTTGTTTTAAATGTTTTCTTTAAACTTTGTTGAGTTATTCTAGAGCCATCTGTAATTTGGAGCTAAATGAGCACTGTCACTAGGGCATGAACCTCCAGTGGTCTTTACTGAATATCCTGGAGGTACAGAGGGGATTCCCTTCTCTGGCTGGTCAGAGCTAACGTGTCTTCCTGTCATGTGATGCCAGGGAAATGTTCTTCTTCCAACTCCCTGGTAGAGTCCTTTGCTGAGCTCCTTAGAATTTCATCCTATGTACATTTGGCTTAGGGACTTGGGAGAATCCTTAGGCTGATTCTTGGTTCCTTTTTCTGTAAACGTTCTCTTCTACTACACATTCCAGCTGCTTAACCTTTTTTGATTTTTATCTGGTTCCTCAGTGCAATGACAATGTCTGCTGTCTCTGGGATTCGTCTCTACTGCTGTCACGGAGAATCTGGGAATAAAGCAGGACTCATTCTGGCTCCTTCTCTTCTCTTGCCGAGCACAGTCCTGTGCTGCCTGATGTTCAGTACTTCAAAAAAATGTTTCATATATTTTGTCCAGTTTACTATTCTTTAACTCTAAAAGTGTAACTCCAGTCCCAGTTACAGCATCATGTTCTGTAACTCTACTCCTTCTTGCTTCATTCTGCCATTGTCTGGTATGATCTCCCGTTTCCCTTCTGTAATCAGGCCAAGAGCATAATATAATACTAGTTATAACTGCACAGGTTGCCTTCGTTGTGTAAAAAAATCCCTGAGACTTAACTGTGTCCAACTTTTAAAATGTGAATATAAGTACAACTAAAGTTATATTTTGGTTAATATTTGCATTGCATGCTTTTCCATTATTTACTTTCAACATATGTGAAATATGAATATAAATTATAAAAACTTTAAGAGAGTCCATTTAAAAAATCTGGCCTGGTAATGTTTTACCTGGTTTGATACAACGTGCATTCTTGAATTCAGGGTCTAATATAATTGGTACATCTATTTACAAAAAAAAAAAAAATGACAATATTTTAAAATTAATTTATCCAACTCACAACTTATATGCTTCTGCCGTTGTATGGAAGATACATGTTAAACTTTATGAGATAGCATTCTGTTATACAGTCAATATCCAATTAAATTTCTCTCAATGTTTATTTCTTTCATTAAAAAATTGTTCTTCTAACTGCAAACTTTCATCAGGGATCATGGCTCTTCTACCTGAAGAATAATCTTTAGTATTTCTTTTCCTGTGGGTCTGCTTGGGAGAAATTCTTTATTGTATCTTTGTATTTGATGGATATGTCCACCAAGTAGACAGTTCTAGGTCAGCACTTATTTTATTTCAGGACTTGAAAGATATCAATACCTCACTTGTTGGCTTTCGTTGTTTCATTTGAGAAAGTTGTTATCAGTCAACTCTTTCTCTTTGTAGTTAGCCCAATTTTTTTATCAAGTGCTCTTTACATTTTTCTTTTACTTTTCAGAAATTGTCCCATTATGTTTCTAGATGTGTCCTCTGTGTGTGTTTTCCTTTGCTTTGAAAAGCCTCCTGAACCTGTCGTTTAATATTATTGGCCAATTTTGATAAAACCTCAAACATTGCCACTTAAAATGCTGTTCAGACAAGCTGTTTTCTCCTTCTTAGATTTCAACGTGTTAGATTATTACTCTATCCTTCATATTTTTTAAATGACCTTTCTCTACAATTTTTTTTAGTTGGTTAATCTGTATTAGTGTATATTTTGTTATTTTATTCTATTTTATTTTATTATTATACCTTAAGTTTTAGGATACATGTGCACCATGTGCAGGTTTGTAACATAAGTGTTCATGTGCCATGTTGGTGTGCTGCACCCATTAACTCGTCATTTAGCATTAGGTATATCTCCTAATGCTATCCCTCCCCACTCACCCCACCCCACAACAGTCCCCGAAGTGTGATGTTCCCCTTCCTGTGTCCATGTGTTCTCATTGTTCAATACCCACATATGAATGATAACATGTGGTGTTTGGTTTTTTGTCCTTGTGAGAGCTTACTGGTCAGATGAGTAGGTTGCAAAAATTTTCTCCCATTTTGTAGGTTGCCTGTTCACTCTGATGGTAGTTTCTTTTGCTGTGCAGAAGCTCTTTAGTTTAATTAGATCCCCTTTGTCAATTTTGGCTTTTGTTCCCATTTCTTTTGGTGTTTTAGACATGAAGTCCTTGCCCAGGCCTATGTCCTGAATGGTATTGCCTAGGTTTTCTTCTAGGGTTTTTATGATTTTAGGTCTAACATGTAAGTCTTTGATCCAACTTGAATTAATTTTTGTATAAGGTGTAAGGAAGGGATCCAGTTTCAGCTTTCTACATATGGATAGCCAGTTTTCCCAGCACCATTTATTAAATAGGGAATCCTTTCCCCATTGCTTGTTTTTGTCAGGTTTGTCAAAGATCAGACAGTTGTAGCTATGCGGCATTATTTCTGAGGGCTCTGTCCTGTTCCATTGATCTATGTCTGTGTTTTGGTAACAGTACCATGCTGTTTTGGTTACTGTAGCCTTGTAGTATAGTTTGAAGTCAGGTAGCGTGATGCCTCCAGCTTTGTTCTTTTGGCTTAGGATTGACTTGGCGATGCGGGCTCTTTTTTGGTTCCATATGTACTTTAAAGTCGTTTTTTCCAATTCTGTGAAGAAAGTCATTGGTAGCTTGATGGGGATGGCATTGAATCTATAAATTACCTTGGGCAGTATGGCCATTTTCACGATATTGATACTTCCAATCCAAGAGCGTGGAATGTTCTTCCATTTGTTTGTATCCTCTTTTATTTCATTGAGCAGTGGTTTGCAGTTCTCCTTGAAGATCTCCTTCATGTCCCTTGTAAGTTGGGTTCCTAGGTATTTTATTCTCTTTGAAGCAATTGTGAATGGGAGTTCCCTCATGATTGGGCACTCTGTTTGTCTGTTATTGGTGTACAAGAATGCTTGTGAATTTTGTACATTGATTTTGTATCCTGAGACTTTGCTTAAGTTGCTTATCAGCTTAAGGAGATTTTGGGCTGAGACAATGGGGTTTTCTAGATATACAACCATGTCATCTGCAAACGGGGACAATTTGACTTCCTCTTTTCCTAATTGAATACCGTTTGTTTCCTTCTCCTGCCTGATTGCCCTGGCCAGAACTCCCAACACTATGTTGAATAGGAGTGGTGAGACAGGACATCCCTGTCGTGTGCCAGTTTTCAAAAGGAATGCCTCCAGTTTTTGCCCATTCAGTATGATATTGGCTGTGGGTTTGTCATAGATAGCTCTTATTATTTTGAGATACGTCCCATCAATACCTAATTTATTGAGAATTTTTAGCATGAAGGGCTGTTGAATTTTGTCAAAGGCCTTTTCTTCATCTATTGAGATAATCATGTGGTTTTTGTCCTTGGTTAGGTTTATATGCTGGATTATGTTTATTGATTTGCATATGTTGAACCAGCCTTGCATCCCAGGGATGAAGCCCACTTGATCATGGTGGATAAGCTTTTTGATGTGCTGCTGGATTCGGTTTGCCAGTATTTTATTGAGGATTTTTGCATCAATGTTCATCAAGGATATTGGTCTAAAATTCTTTTTGTTGTGTCTCTGCCCGGCTTTGGTATCAGGATGATGCTGGCCTCATAAAATTAGTTAGAGAGGAATCCCTCTTTTTCTATTGATTGGAATAGTTTCAGAAGGAATGGTACCAGTTCCTCCTTGTACCTCTGGTAGAATTCTGCTGTGAATCCATCTGGTCCTGGACTCTTTTTGGTTGGTAAGCTATTGATTATTGCCATAATTTCGGAGCCTGTTATTGGTCTATTCAGAGATTCAACTTCTTCCTGGTTTAGTCTTGGGAGAGTGTATGTGTCGAGGAATTTATCCATTTCTTCTAGATTTTCTAGTTTATTTGCATAGAGGTGTTTGTAGTTTTCTGTGATGGTAGATTGTATTTCTGTGGGATCGGTGGTGATTACCCCTTTATCATTTTTTGTTGCATCTATTTGATTCTTCTCTCTTTTCTTCTTTATTAGTCTTGCTAGTGGTCTATCAATTTTGTTGATCTGTTCAAAAAACCAGCTGCTGGATTCATTAATTTTTTGAAAGGTTTTTTGTGTCTCTATTTCCTTCAGTTCTCCTCTGATTTTAGTTATTTCTTGCTTTCTGCTAGCTTTTGAATGTGTTTGCTCTTGCTTTTCAAGTTCTTTTAATTGTGATGTTAGGGTGTCAATTTTGGATCTTTCCTGCTTTCTCTTGTGGGCATTTAGTGCTATAAATTTCCCTCTACACACTGCTTTGACTGTGTCCCAGAGATTCTGGTATGTTTTGTCTTTGTTCTCGTTGGTTTCAAAGAACATCTTTATTTCTGCCTTTATTTTGTTATGTACCCAGTGGTCATTCCGGAGCAGGTTGTTCATTTTCCATGTAGTTGAGCGGTTTTCAGTGAGTTTCTTAATCCTGAGTTCTAGTTTGATTGCACTGTGGTCTCAGAGACAGTTTGTTATAATTTCTGTTCTTTTACATTTGCTGAGGAGAGCTTTACTTCCAACTATGTGATCAAGTTTGGAATGGGTGTGGTGTGGTGCTGAAAAAAATGTATATTCTGTTGATTTGGGGTGGAGAGTTCCGTAGATGTCTATTAGGTGTGCTTGGTGCAGAGCTGAGTTCAATTCCTGGGTGTCCTTGCTAACTTTCTGTCTCATTGATCTGTCTAATGTTGACAGTGGCATGCTAAAATCTCCCATTATGATTGTGGGGGAGTCTAAGTCTCTTTGTAGGTCACTAAGGACTTGCTTTATGAATCTGGGTGCTCCTGTATTGGGTGCATATATATTTAGGATAGTTAGCTCTTCTTGTTGAATTGATCCCTTTACCATTATGTAAAGGCCTTCTTTGTCTCTTTTGATCTTTGTTGGTTTAAAGTCTATTTTATCACAGACTAGGATTGCAACCCCTGCCTTTTTTTGTTTTCCATTTGCTTGGTAGACCTTCCTCCATCCCTTTATTTTGAGTCTATGTGTGTCTCTACACGTGAGATGGGTTTCCTGAATACAGCACACTGATGGGTCTTGTCTCCTTCTCCAATTTGCCAGTCTGTGTCTTTTAATTGGAGCATTTAGCCCATTTACATTTAAAGTTAATATTGTTATGTGTGAATTTGATCTTGTCATTATGATGTTAGCTGGTTATTTTGCTCGTTAGTTGATGCAGTTTCTTCCTAGTCTCAATGGTCTTTACAATTTGGCATGTTTTTGCAGTGGCTGGTACCGGTTGTTCCTTTCCATGTTTACTGCTTCCTTCAGGAGCTCTTTTAGGGCAGGCCTGGTGGTGACAAAATCTCTCAGCCTTTGTTTGTCTGTAAAGTATTTTATTTCTCCTTCACTTATGAAGCTTAGTTTGGCTGGATATGAAATTCTGGGTTGAAAATTATTTTCTTTAAGAATGTTGAATATTGACCCCCACTCTCTTCTGGCTTGTAGAGTTTCTGCTGAGAGATCAGCTGTTAGTCTGATGGGCTTCCCTTTGTGGGTAACCCGACCTTTCTCTCTGGCTGCCCTTAACATTTTTTCCTTCATTTCAACTTTGGTGAATCTGACAATTATGCGTCTTGGAGTTGCTCTTCTTGAGGAGTATCTTTGTGGCGTTCTCTGTATTTCCTGAATCTGAATGTTGGCCTGCCTTGCTAGATTGGGGAAGTTCTCCTGGATAATATCTTGCAGAGTGTTTTCCAACTTGGTTCCATTCTCCCCGTCACTTTCAGGTACACTAATCAGACGTAGATTTGGTCTTTTCACATAGTCCCATATTTCTTGGAGGCTTTGTTCATTTCTTTTTATTCTTTTTTCTCTAAACTTCCCTTCTTGCTTCATTTCATTCATTTCATCTTCCATCCCTGGTACTCTTTCTTCCAGTTGATTGCATCCGCTCCTGAGGCTTCTGCATTCTTCATGTAGTTCTTGAGCCTTGGCTTTCAGCTCCATCAGCTCCTTTAAGCACTTCTCTGCATTGATTATTCCAGTTATACATTCATCTAATCGTTTTTCAAAGTTTATAACTTCTTTGCTATTGGTTTGAATTTCCTCCTGTAGCTCGGAGTAGTTTGATCGTCTGAAGCCTTCTTCTCTCAACTCGTCAAAGTCATTCTCCGTCCAGCTTTGTTCCATTGCTGGTGAGGAACTGCGTTCCTTAGGAGAAGGAGGGGCGCGCTGCTTTTTAGAGTTTCCAGTTTTTCTGCTCTGTTATCTCCCTATCTTTGTGGTTTTATCAACTTTTGGTCTTTGATGATGGTGATGTACAGATGGGCTTTTGGTGTGGGTGTCCTTCTGTTTGTTAGTTTTCCTTCTAAAAGACAGGACCCTCAGCTGCAGATCTGTGGGAGTTTCCTAGAGGTCCACTCCAGACCCTGTTTGCCTGGGTATCAGTAGCGGTGGCTGCAGAACAGCAGATTTTCATGAACCACAAATTCAGCTGTCTGATCGTTCCTCTGGAAATTTGGTCTCAGAGGACTACCCGGCCGAGTGAGGTGTCAGTCTGTCCCTACTGAGGGGTGCCTCCCAGTTAGGCTGCTCGGGGGTCAGTGACCCACTTTAGGAGGCAGTCTGCCCGTTCTCAGATCTCCAGCTGCGTGCTGGGAGAACCACTACTCTCTTCAAAGCTGTCAGACAGGGACATTTAAGTCTGCAGAGGTTTCTGCTGACTTTTTGTTTGTCTGTGCCCTGCCCCCAGAGGTGGAGCCTACAGAGGCAGGCAGGCCTCCTGGAGCTGTGGTGGGCTCCACCCAGTTCCAGCTGCCTGGCTGCTTTGTTTACCTAAGCAAGCCTGGGCAATGGTGCGTACCCCTCCCCCAGCCTCACTGCCGCCTTGCAGTTTGATCTCAGACTGCTGTGCTAGCAATCTGTGAGACTCTGTGGGCGTAGGACCCTCCAAGCCAGGTGCAGGACACAATCTCCTGGTGTGCTCTTTTCCAAGCCCATTGGAAAAGCACAGTATTAGGGTGAGAGTGACCTGATTTTCCAGGTGCCGTCTGTCACCCCTTTCTTTGACTAGGAAAGAGAACTCCCTGACCCTTTGCACTTCCCGAGTGAGGCAATGCCTCGCTGTGCTTCAGCTTGCACATGGTGCGCTGCACCCACTGTCCTGCACCCACTGTTGGGCACTCCCTAGTGAGATGAACGCGGTACCTCAGATGGAAATGCAGAAATCGCCTGTCTTCTGAGTTGCTCATGCTGGGAGCTGTAGACCAGAGCTGTTCCTGTTCGGCCATCTTGGCTCCACCCCTCATTTCATTATTTCATCATTTCATCATTTCATCATTTCACTTCATTTCATCATTTCATTTCATTTCATCATTTCATCCCATTTCTTCATTTCATCATTTCATCTTTTCATTTCATCATTTCATCATTTCATTTCATTTCATTTCATCATTTCATCATTTCATTTCATCATTCCATTTCATCATTGCATTATTTCATTGCATCATTTCATCATTTAATTTCATGTCATCATTTCATTTCAACATTTCACCATTTCATTTCATCTCATCATTTCATTTCATCATTTCATCGTTTCATTTCTTCATTTCATCATTTTGTTTCATCATTTCATTTAATCATTTCATTTCATTTCATCATTTCATCATTTCATTTCATTTCAGTGATACATGCATTTAAGTGCTAATGTGATGCCCAGGAGACACCCTATTTCCCTTTGTAAAACACCTCCTTCAACAAAAGGCAACCTCACATGGCTGGCTAAGTCTACAGGGATACCAGCCTCTCTTCAACCACCCAATTTCATTTAGAACTTCAAACAGCACCTCAGTTTCATAAAAACCTAAAACATAAACACAACACTTGGTTGTAAGTGAGCCAACTGTTTCTTGTCTCTTTCTCTGCTCAAGGCTTAAGGCCGTGTCTCCCCAACTATGTTCAGTGGAAGAAAAGATCCCCTGGACAAATAAGTTTGAGAACTGTTGTTGCAGGAGTTCTCAGAACCTTTTAAACGCAAATCCTCATCCACAGGGATCTTCAGGAGGGAGATGGCTGATGCAGCACAACTTTCTTTCACAGGAGCATCTTGCAGAATACAGTATGAGATACAGAAAGGCTGCATTGAGTCTTTTTAAGGGCCCGGGCCTTGGCGAGGGTGGGGTAGGAGCTCTCCAGATAGCATCTAATGAGTAGGAACATTCAGGTTGCTTTATTTTTTCCTTATTGGCAAAACTGTGTGTGTACCATGAATGAAGCTCGTCTCCCTTATCCATATCAAAACCAAACCCAAATTAATTGGCTAAATTGGGACTGAACACCTCCAGGAGCCACGCAGAAGAAAGCCCCACCACACTTTAAAGTAGCTTACCTCATCATATTTGAGGAAAGCAAAACGCTTATGACCAGTATGCTGCTAATACAAGTCTACAGATAATGCTGTAGGAAAAATTATTTTTCTTAATCATAGCTGGCATAGTCCACATTTTGCATTACCTTTCCCCCCGCTTTTTTAAAATTTGAAACACAAGTCTTTTCCTCTTCTTTTTTTAAATTTTAATTTAATTGTACAAAACGGAGTCTTAGTATGTTGCCCAGGCTGGTCTTCAACTCCTGAGCTCAAGCGATACATCCGTCTCCCCCTCCCAAAGTGCTAAGACTACAGGCCTGAGACACTGTGCCTGGCCTTAAACACAAATCTTAATTCATTCTTACAATTATCCTGAGGTTAGAAAAATGGAAGGGGAAGAAACATGGCAAGCAGGTAGGCTGACTTCGGCTTCATTATTTGAAGGACAGTTTGCTCGGTTAAAACACACTACTGCCCACAAATGTCATGACAACAGAAAAATACAGACTTATATAAACAGGTTTTATATGTGACAGCGGTTTGGAGACTTTTTTAATGCAAATGAGAAACAGCTGTGCTTGGGAATAAATGACAATGAATTTTTTTATCTCAACAGCTGTCCTGAGAGCACGTATCTACATCTCTACCTGCATTCTGGAATCAGGGAGAAAGCCAAAACTGATGACAAGACACTAGATCAGCCGTGTCCAACCCTTTGACTAAAAGGACTTTTCCGCCTATCTGTGGTGGTGGGTATCATGAAAATTATGCACAAACCTTTTTTTTTTTATAAGCTCATCAGCTGTCGTTAGCAATAGTGTATTTTATGTGTGGCCCAGGAGAATTCTTCTTCCAATGTGGCCCTGAGAAGCCAAAAGACTGGACACCTGTGCACTAGATCAAAAGGCTACTCCTTCTGGAAGCAATTGTAAAGAATTTCTGACATTATCTTGACATGAAAACCAATGGATAGTGGGACAGAATGCAAAATCTTCAAGAAATTTTTTTTTTTTTTGAGTCAAGGTCTTGCTCAGTGGCCCAGGCTGGAGCACACTGGTGAGATCACAGCTCAGTGCAGGCTCAAGTGCTCCGCCTGCCTCAGCCACAGTAGTAGCTGGGACTATAGATGCGCACAACCACTCCTGGCTAACATTTTATTTTTTGTAGAGACATGGTCTCACTATATTGTCCAGGTTGGTCTCAAACTCCTTGACTCAAGGGATCCAGGAAAGGATAACAGGTGTGAGCCACCACACCTGGCCATGTGCATGAAAAAGGTCCCATGAAAGTTAAGGTTTTCCCACCTAATTTCCAGGGGATCTTTTGGTGCAAGGATGAGAAGCCCTTAAAAGTACACAGACAACTCCAAAGATTCAAGAGAGTTCATTCGGGCTGAGCCAGCCCACTGGGCAGACTGACCTTCAAAAAAGGCCCACCCATGACATACACTAGATAGCTCTCCAAGAATCTCTCCAGTCCTCAGGGTCCCTAAGGTAGTGGACAGAGCTAGGAAAGCAAACCCATTTGCTTCTTCCTGCAGGAAACCCCTTGAGGTCAAGACCCCACAATCAGACGAGGATGGAGTGGCTCACCCTCAGTCAACAGGCCAGACTCAAGGTGGTATAATGTCTTAACCAAGGGTGTGGGCTTCCAGGTCTGACTCCCAACTCATTTCTCCTTTAATAACCACACTTTGTTAATTCTCTTTAAGAGAGGTTCCTGGCAAGTCAGTTCTCCCTCAGGCCTTCGGTTTCCTCACCTACAAGACGAGAGGGCTGGACCAGATGGAAATTCGGGTTGTAAGGGGATGTCTGTGCGCAGCCCACCCTGCCCACGGGCCCCTCGAGCCTCCATCCAAGTTCCCATCACGCACCCGCCCCACAAATCCTGCCCAAGGTGAGGGCTAGTCCGGGGTCCTCTGGCTGCTGCATCAGCTAGTGCAGGAGGGAGGAGAAGCCTCCAAGGGGGCCATGCGGGCTCAAGGATGCAACTCGGCCAGGAGTGAACTGGGGCCCCAAGGGAGGTGTCCGGGCCGCTCCTCGAGCCCAGCCGGGGTCCCGGACCCCCTTACCTCCATCGTCCGTATTTCCTGCTGGGTGAGGTCGTTGGACACAGAGCACTGGGTGCGCAGCCCGAGCAGGCTGCCGATGGAGATGCCTATGAACTTCTGGAGCTGCCCGCACTGCTGCAGCACCCGGCTAGCGGCGGCCCCTGCGCCTCCCTCTGCGCCACCGCATCACCCCCGCCACCGCCCTCCTTCTTCTCTCCCATCGCAGCCGGGCGCAGCGCCACTCTATGCAGGCTGCAGCGGTCAAGGCGGGGAGCTAGGGGTGCGGGCGTCTAGGCAAGGAACCCCTGAGCCGGGAGAGCTGGACGAGGAGCGCCCCTTGGCGCTGCCCGAGCCAGGACGCCGGTAGAGCTGGCAGCCTAGTTGGCGGATCCTGCAGTCAGAGCCGCGGCGGCGGGGGCAAAAAGTGGCATGGGGGGGCGGGTGCAAAAAGCCGCAAAGGCAGAAAGCTGCGGCGGCGGGTGTAGAAAGCCGAGGCGGCGGAGGCAAAAAGCCGCGGTGGGAACAACCTGTGGCGGCGGGGGCAAAAAGCCGGGGCGGCGGGGGCCAAAAGCCACAAAAAGCCGCTGTGGCAGGGCAAAAAGTCGTGGCGGCGGGGGCAAAAAGCCGCAAAAAGCCGTGGCTTCGGGGGCAAAAAGCCGCGGCGGCGGAGGCAAAAAGCCGTGCCGGCGGGAGCAAAAAGCAACGGGGGCGGGGGCAGAAAGCCGCCGCGACGAGGCCGAAAGCCGCGGCGGCGGGGGCAAAGAGCCGCGGCGACGGGGTCAAAAAGCCGCGGCAGAGAAAGCCGCGGCGGCGGGGGCAAAAAGCCGCGGCGGCGGAGGTAGAAAGCCGCAAAAAGCCGCGGCGGCGGGGACAAAAAGCCGCGGCGGCGGGGACAAAAAGCCGCAGCGGCAAAAAGCTGCGTCGGCGGGGGGCATAAAGCCGGGGCGGGAGAAACCTGCGGCGGCGGCAAAAACCTGCGGCGGCGGCCAAAAGCCGCAAAAAGCCGCGGCGGCGGGATCAAAAAGCCAGCTGCTCCCCTGGGATTCCTCCAATTACCCTGTTTAAAGCCTCTGCTCACTCATGCGCTGGAAGAGGGATGTCAGAGATGCAGTCTACTCTTCCTAAAGGGCTGACAGGGCATAAAGACAAGATTGATTATCCATGGAACATTCCTACAGGAATGCACCTATGTGCAGACACACTAATAAGCAGTGTGTCTTGCAGTGTGTAAATGGCTGAAATGCTATTTACACTTCTTTACACAATACATTTTTAAATGTTTTGTTGATGTATTCTCTATCATTTAAAAAAATCATCACTTTCCCCCTAAACAAAGAGGATTTTTATCAGAAACTTATGGGAAGCCCCTTGCTCTACCAGATTCCCACCCTCATTTCTCCTGAAGGAAGAAAGAAAACCATCTCTATTGATTTCTCCTCTCATCCTCTAGGACTAAAACCAGAAAGCTGCATGCTGCCTGGGTGAGACTTAGAGAAGACCCTGTCTGTAGGAGCAGGAATCTCAGAGCCTTGGCTGAAAGGCATGGTCCTGAAATGAGATGGAGTCCCCCATGGAGAGCACACGTGGAAGTCCACACCTGAGGGCTCACTGCTCTTCACCACAGATGCACTCCCCTACTGAGTCCTGAGACCTGAGTGCACCCCATAGAGTAGGACTCAGATGAGGGGATGCAAATCTCCACCAGCTCCACCCTCCTCTGGGTTCAAAAGCCGAGAATGGGGCCTCGCTCAGTGACTCCTGTGCCCCACTATGGACACGTTTTGCTCCACACTCCTGCTGCTGACCACCCCTTCCTGTGAGTGTTGTGGTCAGGGACTTCCTCAGAAGTGAAACATCAGTTCTCTCCTTTGTGGGCTTCATCTTCTTATGTCTTCTCCACAGGGGTCTTGTCCCAGGTCACCTTGAAGGAGTCTGGTCCTGCGCTGGTGAAACCCACAGAGACCCTCACGCTGACCTGCACTCTCTCTGGGTTCTCACTCAGCACTTCTGGAATGGGTATGAGCTGGATCCGTCAGCCCCCAGGGAAGGCCCTGGAGTGGCTTGCTCACATTTTTTTGAATGACAAAAAATCCTACAGCACGTCTCTGAAGAACAGGCTCATCATCTCCAAGGACACCTCCAAAAGCCAGGTGGTCCTTACCATGACCAACATGGACCCTGTGGACACAGCCACGTATTACTGTGCATGGAGAGCACAGAGACACAGCCCAGGATGCCTCCTGTACAAGAACCCAGGCTGCGTCTCAGTGGTGCTCCCTCCCTACCTCTGCAGAACAGGAAAGTGTGACTGAGATGCCATTTCCTGCCAGGGCTTGTGTTTCCTATACCAACCAGACTCAGAGCCCTGTCTGTTTTCCTATTCTGTATTATTAAATGTCATGCTCCCTGTTAGTGATCCATGTAAGCAGAGGCTGTATCCTGTTTGACAAAGATTGAGCATCTAAGAGTCCCATTACCTCGGCCACATGCATCACTGATATGTGGCCACTTATTTCTTGAGCTCATATCCTTCCAAGGGTCTGAATACAAATATCTATAACATATGACATTCTTAAACTGCAGGAAATAGTGTTGGAGAAGAATGTGGAGATAAAAGAGCAGGATGATTAATTAAAATCCAGATACCATCTTTTCTTGCAGAGACAAATTTACACTAATAAAGTAATTTTATGAAACAACAAGAAAGACAGAATGTGTCCTCATCATGGAGTGTCTCACTTGCAGTGTACAAATAAATTTCTAGAAATTTTATAGGGAAGGTGTGATAGATGAGGCTGATTTCCACACAGGGGGTGATTAAATACCCAGGTAAGTATAAAATCCAACACTTGGAAAGTAAAATGCCTCAGCTTGACATCAGAAACCCATCTCAGTAAGTCTGAGGATCAATGTGGAAAAGAAATGAAAAATTCGACAACACTTTTCTTATGAAATTCCTAGCTCAAGTTTGAACAGGACTATAAATCATGCTGCTATAAAGACACATGCACACGTATGTTTATTGCGGCACTATTCACAATACCAAAGACTTGGAACCAACCCAAATGTCCAACAATGATAGACTGGATTAAGAAAATGTGGCACATATACACCATGGAATACTATGCAGCCATAAAAAATGATGAATTCATGTCCTTTGTAGAGACATGGATGAAACTGGAAACCATCATTCTCAGTAAACTATCACAAGGACAAAAAACCGAACACCACATGTTCTCACTCATAGGTGGGAATTGAACAATGAGAACACATGGACACAGGAAGGGGATCACACTCTGGGGACTGTTGTGGGGTGGGGGGAGGGGGGAGGGACAGCATTAGGAGATATACCTAATGCTAAATGATGAGTTAATGGGTGCAGCACACCAACATGGCTCATGGATACATATGTAACTAACCTGCACATTGTACACATGTACCCTAAAACTTAAAGTATAATAATTAAAAAAAAAAAAAGAAAACAGAATTGTCCACAATTTTAGGAAAGCCATCGCATGACAACAAACCACGACAATGATAGGAGCATCACTGAGTCAATGGAGTTCAAGCAGTGAGCAGATCAGTATTGAGGCCCCAGGAAAATCAAGGCTCTTGGGTACATTTTGCAGAACCCAGAATTGAGCCACATAATCTATGGCCAAGTGATCTTTGACAAAGTTAACAAAAATTAACCAACGTATACACCAGGGAAAGGTCACCTCATTCAATAAAGGGCGCTGGGGAAATTGGATAGCTATATGCACATGAATTAAACTGGACACCCACCCTCAACATGTAAATAATTAACAGAAAATAGATTAAAGGTTTAAATGTAAGACCTCAAACTGTAAACGTATTCAAATAAAACACCAGGACAACTCTTCTGGACACTGGCCTAGGTAAATAATTTACGACTAAGAACTCAAAAGCACAAGCCAAAAACCAAAAGACAAAAAGCAAATAATAGACAAATGGGACTTAATGAATCTAACAAGTTTCTTCACAGCAACAGAGTGAACAGACAAAGTGCAGAATGATAGAAAATATTTGCACACTGTGCCTCTGACGGAGTACTAATATGCAGAATTAACAAGAAACTCAAACAACTACGAAAGAAAACAAGAACCAAATAACCCCATTAAAATGAGCAAACAACTTGAGTAGACATTTTTGTAAATAACACATAAAAATGGACAATAGATACATAAAAAATGCTCAGCATCACTAATCATCAGGGAAATGCAAATTAAAACTGTAGTGAGATATCATACCGTTCACAATGGCTATTATTAAAAAGTCAAAAATAACAGATGTTGGAGAGGATGAAATGTAAAGTGAACTCTTAGACACTGTTGATGAGAATGTGGACGAGTACGACCTCTATAGAAAACAGTATGGATTGAGTATGATATTGACTATGCATTTCTCATAAACAGCTCTTATTATTTTGAGATACATTCCATCAATACCTAGTTAATGAGCGGTTTTAGTATGAATCGGTGTTGAATTTTATTGAAGGCCTTTTCTGCATCTATTGAGATAATAATGTTTTTTTTTCCATTGGTTCTGTTTATGTGATGGATTATGTTTATTGATTTGCATATGTTGAACCAGCCTTGCATCCCAGGTATGAAGCCAACTTGATCATGGTGGATTTGGAAACCGGCACAAGACAAGGATGCCCTGTCTCACCACTCCCATTCAACATAGTATTGGAAGTTCTGGCCAGGGAAATCAGGCAAGAGAAATAAATAAAGGGTATTCAAATAGGAAAAGAGGAAGTCAAACTGTCTCTGTTTGTAGATGACATGATTATATATTTAGAAAACCCCATCATCTCAGCCCCAAATCTCCTTAAGCTGATAAGCAACTTCAGCAAAGTCTAAGGATACAAAATCAATGTGGAAAAATCACAAACATTCCTATACACCAATAATAGAAAGACAGAGAGCCAAATCATGAGTGAACTCTCATTTACAATTGCTACAAAGAAAATAAAATACCTAGGAATACAACTTACAAAGGATGTGAAGGACCTCTTCAAGAGAACTACAAACCACTGCCCAAGGAAATAAGAGAGGGCAGAAACAAATGGAAAAACATTCCATGTTCATAGATAGGAAGAATTAATATCATGAAAATGGCCATATTGCCCGAAGTAATTTATAGATTCAATGCTATCCCCATCAAGCTACCATTGACTTCCTTCACAGAATTAGAAAAAAACTACCTTAAATTTCATATGGAACCAAAAAAGAGCCCATATAGCCTAGACAATCCTAAGGAAAAAGAACAAAGCTGGAGGCATCATGCTACCTGACTTCAAACTATACTACAAGGCTACAGTAACCAAAACAGCATGGTACTGGTACCAAAACAGATATATAGACCAATGGAACAGAATAGAGGTCTCAGAAATAATGCCACACATCTACACCCACCTGATCTTTGAAAAACCTGACAGAAGCAATGGGGAAAATGATCCCCTATTTAATAAATGGTGTTGGGAAAACTAGCTAACCATATTCAGAAAACTGAAACTAGATCCCTTCCTTACACCTTATACAAAAATTAACTCATGGTGGGTTAAAGACTTAAATGTGAGACCTAAAACCATAAAAGTCCTAGAAGAAAACCTAGGCAATACGATTCATTACATAGGCATGTGCAAGGACTTCATGACTAAAACACCAAAAGCAATTGCAACAAAAGTCAAAATTGACAAATGAGATCTAAGTAAACTAAAGAGCTTCTGCACAGCAAAAGAAACTATCTTCAGAGTGAATGGGCAGCCTACAGAATGGGAGCAATTGTTTGCAATCTATCCATCTGACAATAGGCCAATATCTAGAATCTACAAGGAACTTAAACAAACTTACAATAAAAAAACAACCCCATCAAAAATTGAGGGAAGGTTATGAACAGACACATCTCAAAAGAAGATGTTTATTCAGCCAACAAACATATAAAATAAAGTTCATCATCATTGGTCATTTGAGAAATGCAAATCAAAACCACAAAGAGATGCCATCCCATGCCAGTTAGAATAGTGATGACTAAAAAGTCAGGAAACAAAAGCTGCTGGAGAGGATGTGGAGAAATAGGAACGTTTTTACACTGTGGTTGGTAGTGTAAATTACTTCAACCATTGTGGGAGACAGTGTGGTGATTATTCAAGGATCTAGATAGAACTAGAAATACCATTTGTCCCAGCAATCTCATTGTTTGGTATATACCCAAAGGATTATAAATCATTCTGCTATAAAGACACATGCACACATATTTTTATTGCAGCACTGTTGACAATAGCAAAGACTTGGAACCAACCCAAATGCCCATCAATGATAGGCTGGATAAAGAAAATGTGGCACATATACACCATGGAATACTATGCAGCCATAAAAAGGATGAGTTCATGTGCTTTGCATGGACATGGATGAAGCTGGAAACCATCATTCTCAGCAAACTATCACAAGAACATAAAACCAAACACCACATGTTCTCACTCACAAGTGGGAGTTGAACAATGAGAACACAAGGACACAGGGAGGGGAACAAACATCACACACCGGAGACTGTTGGGGAGTGGGGGGCTGGAGGGGTTAGCATTAGGAGAAATACCTATTGTAGATGATGAGTTGGTGGGTGCAGAAAACCACTATGGCCTATGTATACCTATGTGACAAACTTGCACAT
This sequence comes from Homo sapiens, assembly GCF_000001405.40. Classification (NCBI taxonomy): domain Eukaryota; kingdom Metazoa; phylum Chordata; class Mammalia; order Primates; family Hominidae; genus Homo; species Homo sapiens. Next base: position 32,852,639 of record NC_000016.10, read on the forward strand.
TCTGCACATGTATCCCAGAACTTAAAGTATAGTTAAAAAAGGAAAAAAGAGAGAGAGAGGGGGGAAACAGTATGGAGACTTTCCAAAAAATGAGAAACAGTACTGGCCTTTATTCTACCAATCCCACTACTGGGTAACTACCCAAAGACAAAGAAATCACGATTTCAAAAAGATACCCACACTTCTATGTTTACCACAAATCTATTCTCAATAGCATATATGACAACCTGAGTGTCCACCGACAGATGATTTTATAAAAGAATATAGCATATATGCACAATTTAATACTAGTCAGCCACAATAAGGAATGAAACTGTGTCTTTTGCAGCAAGATGCCTAGAACTGGGGGACATTATAATTAGTGAGCTAACTCACAAACAGAAAGCCACATATCACACATTATTACTTATAAGTGGGAGGAAAACAGTGTGTACACAAGGATATGGAGAGAGGGATTATGGACATTGGAGACTTAGCAGAATGGGAGGGTAGGAGTTGGGAGCATGATGAAAAATCACCTAATGGGTACAATGTACGTTACTTGGGTGTTGGGTACACTAAAGCCAATACCACTGTAATATTTCTGTGTAACAAAGGTGCACCCATAGCCCTTAAATTTATACAAATAAAGATAAAAGCAATTACAATTGAAAATATAAAATTATTAAGCATTGGGAGATATACCTAATGCTAGATGACAAGATGGTGCAGCGCACCAGCATGGCACATATATACATATGTAACTAACCTGCACAATGCGCACATGTACCCTAAAACTTAAAGTATAATAATAAAAATAAATAAATAAATAAATAAAAAATAGTTGACCAAAGATCTTGAAAATTAAAGTTTAAATCATGATCAATAAATGAAATTAATATCAGTTGAACTTCATTTAACTTAAAATCCTTTTGTACTCAAGTGATTTTAAGAGAATGAATGTCAAGTTTTAGATGAGAAGATTTGCAAATCATATCACCACCTGTGTAATTATAGTAAGAAACTTCAAAACTCAACAGTGAATAAAAGAAGAGGCAACCCGTGGATAAAATAGGCAAAGTTTTGTGCAGGCATTTCATTAAAGAAGATGTACAGATTACACATAGGCATATAAACAGGATCTCAACAGGATTTTTCATCAGAGAAATTCAAATCAAGACCACTATAAGATACCCAAACACCCTTTTTAGAATGGCTGAAATTAAGAAGAAAGATGGATCACACCAATGCTGGTGAGCATACCAGGTTTCCAGAGTCTAAAACATTGCTAATGGGAATGGAAATAGAAACAGCTACACAGGAAAATAATTCTTAGTTTCTTGTAAAATTATATATGCCCTTAACACATTACCTAAAAATCCCCCTCCTGAATATTTGCTTCAGAGAAATATAATTTTATATTCAAACAAAACCTCTATGCAAATATTCAACATAGTGTGTGTGTGTGTGTGTGTGTGTGTGTGCATGTGTTAGAAACTAAAAATAACATGAATGTATGAAAATTCGAATGGGCAAAGAAGGTAGGCACCATCTATACATTGAATACCATCAGCATAAAAACTAACAAATGACTGATACACAAACTATTACAAGTGAACTCCAGACATTACACTAATTGAGAGAAGCCAGTCTCAACGACCAAAGGGACATAGTTGTAAGAAACACTGCCATTCTCAGATATCAGTTGTATGGGCTGAGCTTTCTCTGTCTCTTTCCTGACCAGGCCCAGATGTTGAATTCCACCACTTGCAGATTGAAAATTCTGTTCTTTTTAACAAAGCACTAAGGTTTGAATTGCATCACAGACTAATACAGACAAAACTGGGCTTGTTTGAAGAGTGTCTGATATTTGTTCTGACCCCAGAAGAACTCCAGGTCTCTCCCTCCTTGGTTTTCTCCAGCCAGCCAGCCAGCAGGCCTGCAGTTTAGCCATTGTCTCCCATGCATCCACCTGTTTCTTTCCAAGGGCCTTCCTTTCACCACAGCCTCCAATATTTTGGAGAGCACACTCAAGCTTTGAACTTTTCCACATTCTATTGTAAACGAATGTAGGTAGTTTAAGACCAGATTCAAGATTCTATATTATGGCTAAATTACAGCAGCCCCTCTTTCCTGGGACAGAGCTCCTAAGTAAGTTTCTGCAGATGGAGACAGATGAGCTTTTTCCTCCCTCAGCATAGGCTCTGACTGCTCAGCGGAGGGTTGGGGAGAAGTTTCCCACTTTATCAGCAAGCAGTTCTTGCTGGGGTGGACTCTCTGCCACAGGAGCAGGGCTGTGAACCAGGGACCCAATGTCCTCTGTGGTGCTGCACCCAGGGAAGAGCCTCCAGCCATGAGTGGGGCTGTGTGGAGGAAGTGAGTCTCTTATCAGTAGCTCTTGTCCAGAACTGAGCCTCAGCAGCTCGTTCTGTCATCAGGGTCAGAGGGCCGATGTCCTGGTTCCTAGGGAGCAGCATCCTAAAATGGGAGCTGGCATATATGAGAATAACAAAACCTACAAATTCAGAAGCCCTTTGGTTTTCTTTCCAGAAAATATAATTTCATTTTTTGTGGGTGTATGAGAACACCCTAGCAAACCGTATACACACCCACATTGATGTTTACAGGTCTATGACACTTTTATCTCTGTAAGTAAAAATTATTGGTCACTGTGATCTTTTCTGCAACTTTGCCATTTCACTGAAGGCGAGGACAGGTCCTTCTGCATGGGTTCAAACAAAAGGCTCAGAGACCACCTGGAAAGTGAGGAGCTCACCTGGTTCTGGAAGTTTGGTCTGTCTCTTCCCCTCTGTTGCCCCACAGAAGGTCAGCCCACTTTTTCCAGGTACTAAGAAGAGAGCCCAGGTTTGTCCTGATTATATGACTCACCCAGCTTCTGATGACTCTCCTGTTACCAAAATCCATGGATGCATATTTATTATGTAATTCACTAAACTAATATCAAATACCAAAGTTGCAATGCCCCTCACCAGAAGGTATGTTCATGCAATTCAGTGGAGGAGAGGCCTTTCAGAGACAGAAGGATCAAGCTAGATTGGTCAATATATGAATGAGGACAATAGACTTGATTCTTGTTGTCCTCAAGTACCCGTGTCACAGGTGTGATCTGTCAGGGCAGGAGCAGAGTTCTTTGTGTGCTCAGATGGGAGGGCTCACGGAGGTTCTCCCTGGTTCCCAGGAAAGTAAGTGAAGTAATCTTGGTGATGAGACTATTCTCCAGTTATGACCTATTATAGAGTTTGCATATGAAATTGTCACTTCAGTCTGCCATCTACATCTTTTAACATGAAAGTGTACAGAAATTAGGCCACATCCTCAGGATCACACGTTGAGGAGAATGCAGATAGGCCCCACTGCTTTCTCCAAAGATCTTCAATAGATCTCAGGGTTCAAAACTGCTCAGAATGGCAGCTCTCAGGTGTTTCAGTTAAAATCACCCACTTCCTGGGACTGGAAGTTTCCCTCTAACCAGGATGGATAAAAATAAATCACACTCTTGATCTTGTCCACACATTCAAAAATTCCTAAAGGCAGAGCTGATTGATGTCCTCACAGACAGACTACTGCCATTCAGAGGTGACCTTGGTATTCAAGTTCTAGCAATTCTGAGAATTCAAGGACATCTCCATCTCTCCAGTGCTTTGTACCTCACATAAAAACAGCTTTCTCATTGGAGTGTCTTGTGTTTCCTGATATAAATATGTCACAAAATTATTTTAAATAGAATGAGAAATAAAACCCAAACTTACTCAAAACACCAATTCCTTGGAAATTATTTTGAGAGCTGGGAGTTCATGAAGAACTCCAAATTATTATTCCAACACCTCATTGCCATTGTCAGTCTATGAGAAAATCAGCACCAATCACACATCACAAGCCAAATCAGTAAACCAAGAGTCTTCTATTGAAGATCTTAGGATCTCAGGCAGATGCTGAAGACACTGTCTCAGTAGCACCCAGAAGATCTCAGAGCTTGTCCATGGGGCCTGCTGGATACTCACATGGGACATCCAGCGGTCACTTCATCAGAGCCCCCAGTGGGCTGTGCTAGTGCCTGATGAAACCAGGATGAGGCAAAGGCATCTGCTCAGTGTCATAGACAGTAATGGTCCCAGAAATGATCCCAATTGTCTCCATGCTAATCAAATGTGGGTTCACTGTGAGGAGCATGTCCTGTGGGTGCTTGTTCTTCAGTGAAAGGACCTCTGTCTACAAAGTGTTTGGAAGTGGAGCAGGGCATGCATTTCCTCAAATGAGATTAGGACTTGGAGCATTAGCATCTCACTCTTGGATGGCTGATGTGCAGCACCACCAGAGTGGCAGGACAGGGGCTATCCAGGGCTGCACCTTAGGTCACAGTGTAGGGTAGGTTGGGGACGCTATCCAGGGTGTCATTGCCTGCATTAGGGGTACTGGTTGGTAGCACTGTACAGGGCTGCACTGCCCACGGCAGAGAGGGTGGGTTATGGGTGTTTTCTGGGGCTGCAATGCCCGTGGAGGAGGACAGGTTAGGGCACTATTTGGTATACGCTACTGGCGGCATTGGGGGATGGAGGTGGGGGGTGCTATTGAGGGCAGGACTAGCTGTGGGGGGGTGAGCTTGGTGCTATCAGGGGCTGTACTGCTGGCAGCGGTCAGCAGAGTTGGCATCCAAGGAAGGAGTGGTTCTCCTCTCCCTGACTCCACACTCCAGAGGGCGACCCACACTTGGTCATACTGGAGTGCGGCAGGCGCACAGCGTTTGCATGGGAATCCTGAGCACAGCAGAGCCCCCACACCCACCGTGGTTCCTGGGCCTGTGCACTCTGGGTCTGTGCCTCAGAGGCTGCCAGGCACCCCTGGGGACACCACGGGAGACAGGGCACTGTGTGTGGAGGCGTTCGGAACAGGAATTGGCACCTGCGTGTGGAGGGCTGGCTGGGTCTGAATTTTTCTGCTTCTCCTGCTCCCCGAGGAGTGCAGACCCGGTGGGCCCAGTGGTTTCTGTGGAGTGGGGAGCTGGGTGCTGTGGTGTCTCCAGCACCCACCCCAGACCCCAGTTCCCGGCCAGCTTGGGCCAAAAGGAGAGGCTGGACTTTGGAGGGTGGATGTGAGTGCCTTTGCTGAAACTGGCCCCTGCCACCCAGTGGCCAGCATGACAAGTTGAGGCTCTAACCCTTCCACCCCTCACATCTTCCTCTAGGCTTTTCTGGCTTTGCCCGCCCAGCTGCTCCATGCCAGGAGGAGGAGGAGACACCCAGAGCCTGCGACACCACAGCTCGCCTCGCTGCGAGTGGGTGGCAGCGACGGAGACTGCAGTGCGCCAGAGCGGTAGGAGAGCGGCTGTGCTAGGAGGGCAGGCGGCTGCAGCCAGGGTTGGGGGTCAGGCTTACAGCGATGGATGGGCTGCAGCAGTGGCCAGGCCGTAGGAGCTTTGTAGGGAGGGCTGGTGCATTGGCAATGGGCCTGTCTTTGCCCTGCCCCTGCCGTGGATCTGGCCCTTTACTGCCCTGCCTTGCCCTGTACCTGCCCTACTGTTACCTGGACTCTAGGCCCTGTCCTGCTCTGGTCCCATCCTGACACTGTCTTGGCCCTGTGCTACCCTGTCCCTGCCCTGGTCTTGCCCTGGCACTGGCCCTGCCCTGAACCTGCACTGGCCTGACCTTGGCTCTGGCCCTGGCTCTGGCCCTGCCTCTTGTCCTGACCCTGGTCCTGTCATGGCGCTGGCCCTGCCAATGGTCACGGTCCTGCTCCTGTTCTGGCCCTGACCGGGCCTTGGACATGTCCTGGCCTTGCTTTGGCCCGTCCCTGCCCTGGCCCCACCATGGGCCTTCCTGTTCTGCCCTCTCCTGACACTGACCTTGCCCTGTCATGGCCCAGTGGTGCCATTGCCCTGCCTTACCCTGCGCTGGTTGTGCCTTGGCCCCGCTTGGTGCTGGCCGCTCCCTGGACCTGACCTGACCCTGCCTTGGCTTTTGCCCTGCCCTCACTATGGCCTGGCCCTGGCCCTAGCCCTGGTCCTGCCATATCCCTGGCCCTGCCCTTATCCAGGCCCTGCCCCTGCTGCTGCCCTGGCTCTGGCCTGGAACCTGGTCCTGTCAAGGACCTGCCCTGACTCTGCCATGGCCCTGGCCCTCCTCTGCCTTTGTCCTGGCCCTGACCCAGACCCAGACCCTTTCCTGGCTCAGCACTGGCCTTTCCCTGGCCCTGAGCTGGCAGTGGTCTGCCCCTGGTCTTGCCATCACCCTGCCCTGCTGTGCTCTGGATGTGTCCTCACCCTGCCCTGGCCCTACTCTGCCTTTGACCCTGCCCTGGCCTTACCTTGACCCTCACCTTAGTCTTCGCTAGGCCCTGCTCTGGAGCTGGCCCTAGCACAGACCTGGCCCTGACCCTGGCCCTGGTCTTTGTCCTGCCATAGCCCTGGCCCTGAAGTGGACTTGGAGGTGTCCTGGCCCCGGCGTAACATGGCTCTGCATTGGTCTGTCCCTGCCCTGCCCCTACCATCACCTTGCCCTGCTCTGCCCTGTCCCAGTACTGACCCGGCCATACTATTTCCCTGCCCTACCCTGCCTTGGCTGTGCCCTGGCTCCGTTCTGGCCCTGGCCCCAGCCCTGCCCTGGACATGCTCTGACACTGCCTCAGCCTTGGCACTAGCCTGGCTCTTTCTTGGCATCAGCCCTGCTCTCTCTGTGGACCGGCTCTTGTCCTGTCCTGCACTGGCCATACCATGCCCTCTCCTGCGCTGCCCTGACTCAGCCCTGACTCAGCCCTGGCCCAGCCTTGGCCTTGGCATTGCCCCTAGTCCTGCCATATTTCTTGCCCTGTCCCTACCCTGGCCTTGGCCCTGACCCTTACCTTGCTCTGGCCCTGCCCTTGCCCTAACGCAGCCCCTGGCCCTGTCATGGCCCTGCCCTGGACCTGTCCTGGCCCTGGCCCTTCCCCGCTTGAGACCTTGCCCTGGTTCTCCTCTGGCCCTGACCCTGAAATGCCTGGCCCTACCCTGGCCTTGCACTGCTCTGGCGCTTGCCCTGACTCTGGTCCTGTCACTGTCACTGGCCTAGCCCCAGCCCTGTTGCTGGTCTTACCATGGCCCAGACCCTGCCTTGGCCATGCCCTGACACTGTCCTGGACCCTGGCTGTGCCAAGAACCTGCACTGTCCTTGCCCTTGTTTTGCTCCTGCCCTGAACCTGGTCCTGCCCAGGCCATGGCCATGGCCCTGGCCCTGGCCCTGCTCTGGCTGTTCCCTGGCCCTGCCCAGGTCCTGGCACTGGCCTGGCCCTGCCCTGCCTTGGCCCTATTCTTTCCTGGCCCTGCCTTGCCGGCCCTGGCCCTGCCTTGGCCCTAGGCTGGCTTTGGCCCTGCCCTGGCCCTACCTTGGCCTTCACCCTAGCCTTACCTGGGCACTGTGTTGGACCTGGCCATAACACAGACCTGGTTGTGGCCCTGGCCCTGCCATGACCCTGTCCCAGACCCTAGCCCTGCCAGGTACCTGTCCTGGCCCTGCTCTGGGCCTGGCTTTGTCCCTGGTTCTTAGATGACCGTGGCCCTGCCTCTGCCCTTGCCCTTGCCCTGGCACTGGCCTTGGACATGTCCATGGTCCTAACCCTGGCCCTGCCCTGGAGCTGCCACTGTCTTGGCCCTGCCCTGGCTCTGGCCCTGCCCCGGCCCTGGCCCTGCCCCGGCCCCATCCATAGACCTGCCCTGGTTGGTCGTGCCCTACCTTAACCCTGTGCTACCCTGGGCCTGCTCCACCCTGCCCTGGCCCTGCCCTCCCTTTGGCCCTGCCCTGACCCCGCCTTGGCCCTCACACTGGCCCTAGCACAGACCTGGTCCTATCTGTGGCCTTGGCCTGGCATTGACCCCTGCTCCTGACCCTGGTCCTGCCATGGCCCTGGCCCTGCCAATGACCCTGACAGCCCTGGCCCTCGCCCTGTCTTGGCCCTGGCCCTGAACTGGCCCTGCCCTGACCCTGGCCCTGAAGTGGATTTGCAGGTGTGTTGTCCTTGATTTAACCTGGTCCTACCATGGCCCTGTCCCTCCCTTGGCTCTGTCCTGGTCTTGTGCTGACCCTGACCCAGACCTTGGCCCTTCCCTAGCCTTGTCCTAGACCTGGCCATGGCCCTGCCTCTGCCCTGGACTGGCGCTGGCACTGGCATGGACCCTTGCCCTGGCCCTTTGCTACTTAAGGCCATACCCTGGCCCAGCCCTGGTCCTGACCCTGTCCTGGCCCTACTTTGGCCTGGCTCTACCCCGGCATGCTATTCTGGCCCTAGCCCTGACCCTGTCCCTGTCCCTGTCCTGGCCCTAGCCCCATTGCTGGTCCTGCCATTGCCCTTGTCCTGACATTGCCCTTTCCTGGTCCTGGCACTGGCCTTGTCCCAGCCCTGCTCTGGCCCTGGTCTGAACCCTGGCCCTGCAATGGACCTGCCTTGGTCCTGCCCAGACCCTGGCTCTGGCCCTACCTCTACCCTGGCCATACCCTTGCCCTGGCCTGGACCCCGGTCCTGGTCCTTGTCCTGCCCCAGCCATGGCCCTGGCCCTGCCCTGCCTGTGCCCTGTTCTATCCTGGGCTGGCCCTGCCATGGCCTGGTCTTGCCATTGCCCTGCCCTAGCCTGCCCTGCTTGTGCCCTAGATCTGCCCCGGCCTTTGCCCCTGTCTTGGTTCTAGCCTTAACTCTTAGACTAGCAAGGAGTATATATTTCTGGCAAAATTCCAGAAATGATTAACTAGATCGCTTATGGGCAACTGGTGAATCCACACTGATCCCTGGGATCACCATTTCCTTTTCTAAGAAGTCACGCAAGACCAACCTCATGGCTTTTTTGGATCAGGCTACTGGATGGGAACATGGGAGGGTGTGGCACCTGAGCCACCACGCCCAGCCTCCACATGCTTTTCAAAAACATTCCCATGTTTAAAAAAAGTTAACCATGGGGCTTTAAAGCACCACATGCTTTAAATGCCCCTTGGTGACTTGAATGTTCTACTCAGTTTATCATGAATGTTTTTCTGGGACAACTGACCTGTTTCCAACATATTTATTTATTTATTTATTTATTTATTTATTTATTTATTTACTTATTTTTGAGACAAGTTCTCACTCCATCACCCAGGCTGGAGTGCATTGGTGTGATCATGGCTCACTGCAGCCCTGCCCTTTTGCCTCAGCCTCCCGAGTAGCTGGGACTATAGGCACGTGCCACCACGTCCTAATTTTTAAATATTTTGTAGAGACAGAGTCTTGCTCTGTTGCCCAAGCTGATCTCAAACTGCTGGGCTCAAGAAATCCTCCCACCTCATCCTCCCAAAGTGCTAGGATTACAGGCATCAGCCACTGTGCCTGGCCTCTCCAGTGTTCTTGAGTGTTCCTGAGTGTCTACCCAATTCCTCAATGGCGGATGTCGAGACTGCAGCTCTGTTTCTGACGTCATAAACAGTGGCCTCAGCTAGTCCGTTTTCTTTGGGCCTCCTGATCCTCTTGGAGCACCCGTGCCACTCCTATTATCTGTCTGTTTCTTTGTCGTTGTTGTTGATTTTTTTTCTTTTTTCTTTTTCTTTTTTTTTTTTTTTTTTTTTTGAGACACAGTCTCTCTGTGTCGCCGAGGCCGGAGGGCAGTGGCACAATCTCGGCTTACTGCAGCCTCCGCTTCCTGGGTTCAAGCAGTTCTCATGTCTCAGCCTCCCAAGTAGCTGGGACTACAGTCACATGCCACCACGCCTGGCTAATTTTTGTATTTTTAGTAGAGAGAGGGTTTCGCCATGTTGGCCAGGCTGGTCATCTCCTACTCCTGTCCTCGTGTGATCCGCCCACCTCGGCCTCCCAAAGTGCTGAGAGTACAGGCATGAGCCACCACACCCACCCCCTTTCTTTCCACATTCTTTATGTCCCACGGAGAGGCTCAGTTCTTGAACGCGAGCAGGTACTCATGGCGTGAGCAGGTACTCATGGCCTGAGCAGGTTAGATGGTTAGGAGTTAAGGGCTCCAGACTTCGTATGCAACTTTTCTGAGTGGTAGAGAGCCTGCCTAGTGGGTATTCCAGTACTGCTGGGATGCAGTCACCTGTGTGGATTAATATTTTGCAAGGGTGTATGGGATGGAGTGGAGCAGGAGAGCCTGAAGTGGGGAGACCAAGTTGGAGGTTGTCAGTGAGACTTGCTGGGAACCTGAACTGGGGCAGTGGTAGCAGAAGTGGGGTTGAGGGGACAGAGCTGAGAGGCCCACGTGGAGTTGAATCAGCAGGCTTTTCCAGTCTCTGGGAGTCTGAGATGATCTTGGTTCTGCTCTGGGCTTTCGGAATGCCAGGACGCAGCCCCCTGCTGGAAAGGGAGCTCTGGCTGCCCATGGAGTAACACTATCATGCTAGGTGTGAGGGCTGGTTGCAGAGTGGGACTTCTGGCCAGGCCTGGGGACAGCAAGGAAAGGAGGGGACAGGGAGAGCAGGGTTGAGCAGGGGAGGCCTAGCAGATGATCAGGATAGGGTGCTTCCGGGCAGTTGAGCTTGGGTTGCTGGCTTCACAGAGGTATTGAGGCTGGGACAGAGGGAATGTGATGACAGGATGGATTCCAGCCTCCAGCAGAGCAATAGAAGATCGGGGAGCAGAAGGAAGAGGGAGGCAAGATCAAGAAGGAGGATGTGAGCAGGTTAGTGGCCAAGGAGGGGAGCATGTTCCGGAGAAAGCCTGGTGCTTAGCACAAGTTTTCAGTGGGACTGGGCTTAGGACACATAGGAGGTTAGCCTGAGAACCCCTGAGTAGCCCTTGTAATTGGGAAAGGGGGCCTGGCCTGAAAGGAAACATCACACCTAGAAGCAAGCCAGTACCCTTGGCCCCCATAGTCTTCTGCTGCTGCCTGGATAGCAGTGGGAGAGTCCCAGCTTCCCAGCCAAAGCCTTCTGAGCTTTTGTCCTGCCTCTGCCACTACTGTCTCAGTCCTATCACTTGACCCAGAAGCCTGGGGCTGATCTGCCCTTTCTTCTTGTCCCATGTGACTGCCCAACCATCATGGCCATTTCTCAGTGTGTGGCCCAGCAGGGTGAGGCACTTTCACGTTTTCAGGTAGCCAACCTCAAGAAGTCTTCAGCCTGCAGAGCTGGACTCCACCCATGAAAGAGCCTGTAGATGTCGCCTCCTAAGCCTCTCTCTCACAACCCTTGGGGCCACCACCATCCCATATAGACCAAGTGGGCTCCCTGCCACCTGCCTTCCCCCCTTTGGCTTGTGCACCCCACTTCCAGTGGCTTGCTATCACATGGATCCTCCAGGACGCGGCTCCCCCACAGTCTCTGCTTCGGCCTCCCCCTGTCACGAAGCAGCCATGTGGGTCTCATGGGAGAGCCTCACGTAATACATGCTCTCCCCCAACTCAATTCTCTGAGCATTTTGGGGGTCTCTGTGCGGAACACCCCCTCCAGCTGCCGGCCCAGCCAGAACCTCCTCTTCATGAATCTCTGAGGCTTCCCTGTGGAGCCTGTTCCGAGGGGCCCACACCATGTCCCTGGCTGACCCATAGTGCTGTCCTCAGGTCCCAGGGCAGCCTGCATATGCAGCTCTGAGGCGTGGCACTTGACAGGGTTGCCCATCATGGAAAACCTGGGCTCTTCCCCTTTAGACTGTTAAGCTCAGTGCCAAGGGCCTGGCACATATGAAGGGCCACTGAAACCTTTGGTGACTGAATGGGCTGTCCCGGGCTGACGGCGACAGCTTTAGGTGCATGTCTGGGTTGAACTTGTCGGGCTTTTTAGACAAGCAGCCCAGCTTTTCAGGTCTTAGGAGCTATGAGAGTTTGTGAAGATGGATGCATCGGGGCCACCTCCAGGGGACCACACTGGATGAGCCACTGGTTTCCGCTTGTGGAAAACTCCGGCAGTCGCTCCTGTTCCCTTCCTGCCAACCTTGCACTTCAGGGGGACAGCTAGCGAGAGGCCCTCTTGAGTCTTGGAGTGTGTTGGGGACAGCAGCTCCCTCTGGGCTGGGGTTTGTGTGTTCAGAGGACCTGCACTGCCTTCTCTGCCTTATTCAGTTTAAATGGTGGTCAAGGTTAGGCCCAAAGTGCTGGTTAGCAGCCAGTCACAGGAGGGCCCCTGTTTGTGTGGAAGCCCCCTGAATTTTTGCTGATCTGAACTTGATCCACAGGCATCTTTTGTTTCCTCCTTACCCCTCCAGGGTAGAATCCCATCGCTGTCATTAGCCCAGATGGAGCTGCCCGTGCTTCTCTGCTGAGCTGCTTTTTCTTCTTTTTTAGGTTGAGTCATCTAATCACAGACTACCTTTGCCTAAGTTGTCTTACCTCACTCGGTTGCTCTCTACCCTCCAGCTTACCCCAAACCGCTCAGATAGCTGGTTTTAAAAAAGATACACAGCAAAACCCCAGAAACCCAGCTGGTCTGTCACTTGTTCTCAAGAAGAAGGGAGGACAGGCGAGACCTACACCTGCCCCTTTGCCCTGTGCTTACTGCACTGTCCTCAGGATGGGCGAGCTCCATCTGGGTCGTGGGCTGGAGCTGCCACAAGGCATGTTCTCATTTGAAACGGCCTCCATTTCCCCCAGCTCTAGCCCTCCTCTTCCCATCTTCTCCAGTGTCTGTGTGCTGGGAGGCTACAAGGAAGGCAACGCAGCTGTACCAAAATGGACTTGGGGCAGCCCTTTGGGGCAGCCTTCTCGGGTCTGCTCTAGGTGACTCTCCCAGTTGTAACCTGTTTTCCTGATTCCAGACTTGTGGGTAAGAGTCGCTCAGGGCAGTAGAAGCCCTGGTGTTAGTCATTCTTCACTGAAGCCTTCCTGAGGCATCACCTGACTTGCTTCCTTGCCTGGGCGCTGCCTCATTTTTTTCTTCCACAGTTGGGGCATGTTCACGCAGAGTCCACTGGCCACCCTGCGGTAGGCCTGGAAAGTCAGCAGGTGGCGCTGGGACACCAGCTTTCTGCTGGCTGGGGGCAGAGGAGTGAGCTTGTGTGAACGCCATGTATATACAGGGGCTGGGGGTTGAATGACTTGACTCACCTGAAACCTGTCAGGTCAGCAGGGCGGGCCGAGGGTGGCCACAGCATGGAATCTTTTGGTCGGGACTTGCTTCTTCCCCATTTCCTATTAAGCCCATGTCCTCTTCCCCTTGCTCATGGGGGAAGACAGGGCTGCCGAAAAGTGCTTATGAGCCGTGGCTCTCCCCACTTGATATGGTTGGCCCTGTTTCTCTAGAGTCTGTGGAGAGGATCTGTTTCTCCTGTCTTCTCTGGTTTACTCAACCCTTTATAAAAGCACGACAGCCCCGCTCAGTGTCCAACAACATTCTATCAAGGAAGCCCAGTCAGACTGAGGCATTTGGGGCTGCCGTGTGTCTGCCAAGGCCACATCTGGATTCTGTTAAGTTTCATTCACTGGCCTTTTTTTGGACCCCAGGCCATTCTATTGGTGACCACCCTGTATCTGTAGGAGATGCCTTTGCCTCGTAGGTTCTTTCCTGTTTTCTGGAAATGAATAGCTAAGAACAGTGATTCGGGTAAGATTACTTGGGAGATCCAGCAGAGGCAGAAGCTAAAGACCATGTTCTGTGCCCTGTCCTGGGGGCCTGGGAAGCTACAAGGGAACAGACAGAAGCGCAAGTTAATGTGCCTGAGTGACCCAATGTGAGGGAGCAGGAAAATGTTCTAGAAGGCTGGCTCCCAGGCTGAAAAATGCCAGTGATCAGAGGGGACCTGGTCTGCATTGCTTGGGCCCTGGGTGGGGGCTGAGGGTGTGAGGATGCAGAGGCTGGAGCTCTGGGTTGTGCCTTCAGGTCGTGGCATTGAATGTTTTTTCTCCCTGCAGCCATGAGCCTGGCTTGCCCATCAGCACGGGTCTGAGATGGCGCCTTCCCACCCCTGTCTTCTGTCTCCTCTGTTGCTAGACTGAGCAGCTCTGTGTCTGTCTCTGCCACTCTTGGTGCCAGGCTCCCAGGTGAACACAGGTGCAATCTAGGCCCAGGGAGATTCTGTCCAGCCTTACATGCAGCCTCAAATCTGTCCCCTCACCTATCAGGGAGCACTTCCTCTCCTGGGAGTGGGATCTGGTCATCTGGAAGCCCAGTCCCGCCCCCCGCCCCCCTTTTTTTAGCTATACTTGCTGGAGTGGGCGCAAGACCCCTTTTCAGTGTGCCAGGTATGGGAGTGCAGAGATGAAGGCACAGTGCCCAGACTAAAGACCTTCATAGCCTGGTAGGGGAGCCATATAAATGGATGGCAGCCACGCAGAGAACCGAGAATGAGGTAGTTACATGCAGGTGCCTAGGGGGCTGCTGCAGGAGCCCCCAGAAGGCGTCCCTCTGATGGGGTGGGAGATCTGAAAGGGTTTCTGGGGGGGAGGTGAGGATTGAGCTGGGTCGAGAGGACATTCCGGCCTGGAGGACTGCCACACAGAACCAGGTGTGTTCCAGGAATGGTGAGGGGTTAGGTGTTACTAGAGAAGGGGGCCACGTGGTTAGTGAGGGAGGAGAGCTCACTGAGGGCATGCGTGCTGGCAGCAGGTGGCTTAAGCAGAGGGCTGACGTGGTCGGATTTGCCTTGCTCTGGGAGGTGGATGGGAAAGCCGTATGGTGGCAGATAGGGAGGAGGCGCCAGCAGTGGGGATGATGGCGGGTATGTTTGCAGTTGACATGGAAAGCGCTGGGTTGCGGCCTGGGCTAGGGGGCCAAGAGGGCCGAGTCTAAGGTGGTTTGCCTGCCCACGACTACAGCAGGGGCTACACGAGGTGGTCAGGTCAGGCAGGACAAGGGAAGGCCCATTTTGGACAAGCTGAGTCTAGAATGTCTCTGGGGACATCCAGGAGCCAATGTTTAGCAGGAGGTTAGGTGTGAGTCTGGGCCGCAGAGAAAACCCTTTCAGGGATAAGAGTGGCTGGGAAGAAGGTATAGGGTGTCAGCTGAAGAGTGCAGATCCCAGAGGGAGCAGAATAACAGTGGGAGGAGGGTGTTGTGAGGGGACCTCAGGAGGGTAACTTAGCAGCAGAGCAAGGAGCTCAGGGTAACCGCCTGCCTGGGTGGTTAGGAGGCCACTGGTGGCCCTGCTACTGGCTTGGAAGGGCAGGCTTTGGCCAGCCTAGATTGAGGAATACATGTGAGGGAAAAGACCAGGGGCTTGGGCAGGGTGACTCCAGGAAGGAAGCAGTTGAAGGTGAGGTTCCTGGGGGGAGAATGATCCCGGGTCATCCAGCAGGAAGAGAGAGGACCTAGAAGGTGTGAAAAAGAACTATCAGGCTGGGGGTGCAGTGGGAGGAGTATGCCTAGGGTGCTGTGGGGGTGGGGAGCACCTCTGAGGGTTGGCAAGAGGAAGGGGAACCAGGGCCTGGCAGAGGGGAGCCCCAGACTGTCTGAAGGCTGGGAACTAAAGGCCTGGGCTGGGGCTGAGCAGGGTCAGGCTTTCGGACAGACACGGCGTGGATCTTGTGCTGGACTTTGTGTATGCCCTGGCGTATCTTGGAAGCCCTGGTTCTCAATAGCCGGGAAAGGCCTGGAACGGTCCGAAAAGAGCTGGGCCTCTGCTGCACTGCCATGGAAGCATTTGTGTTAGCTATTTCCCTGGGTACTGGGGTGACAGCCATGGGCACTCACCAGCAGCCGCTTGCCTGGCCTGGTGGCGGGGATTATAGCCTTCAGTCTTGCTTGGTCCTCTCTCTACCACCAGGTGGCATGACCCCCACCCCTCAATTCCAGTTAGGAGTAGCGGTCCTCTTCCTCTCTACATCACTGGGATCTGCTCTGGGGCTGGGCAGCTCCTTGCCGGGGGTTGGGTCTTAGTCAGACTTGCCTTTCTTTCTAGGCCTCTCCAGTGACTTCTGGCCATGCCGATGTGAGTCAGATGCGTTCTTTCTCTCTGGCTCCTAGGGCGCTCAGTAGCTTCCTCCACCTTCAGGCTGTAGCCCAGTCAGGGGCAGGCCGGTCGGCAGCTGGGGGTTGAGGCAGGGAAACTTGAGCCCTAGGCCACGAGGTCCTGGGCCACTAATTTTAGAAAGCACATGTCACTGGAAACTCTCCTTCTCTGCCAGGAATCAATGGCCTGGCTCTTCTGGTGATGCCAGGGGCCCCTGGGAGCCTCTCCCCAAACCGGGAACCTCAGGGGTGTCTCCTGGCCTGGGTGGGTACTTTCTGTCCTGAGTACATCTCGAAAGGGGCTCTTCCGAGGCCCTGGACAGCCATGGCTTGGGCCAGGGAGGTAGCTCACCTTGTCTGCTCTCTACTTTCTCCAGCCCTTCCGGGCTGCCCCTGGCCATGAGCAGAGGCTGCGAAGTGTGAAGGCCTGGCTGGGGCAGGAGGCCACTTCGACTCTTCTGAGTAAGCTGTTGTTGAAGCACCCTGGACTAAGCAGATTTGTCTCTTCCTTCCCCCAGGCCCTGTGTGACCCTTGCCTTCTGAGGTGTGTGAGAAAGGAACCCCTACCTTGTTTTGACTGTTTGAACAAGTCCTTCCCTCCTCTCTTCCTGCCAGCTAACATCTCGGGGCAAGGGTGAACCAAGGGAAATGAAGTGGCCATTCCAATCTCTGTTTGGGGACTAGCATCTGCCTCCAGCTGCCACGTGTTTGCCTGTCTCTCCTGGCTTCTTCAGATAGGCAGCGTGTGCCTGTGTCCTGATTCCTGTACACCCTCCAGCCCAAGAAGACCTCGTTTGGGGTGCTGTTACATAACGGATGTGTTCCAGTGCAGCCTGAATGACAGGTTGGGAAGGAGGCTGGCCAGAGAAGAGAGTTCTATCTTATGTTGGGACCTGGGAGCCGTTCCCTGTTAGTTTAGAGAGTAGAGTGGTTCCAAGCTCAGGTTCTGGAGTCAGGCAGACATAATTTGGAATTCCAGCCATGTCCGTTTCTGGTTTTTGGCCTTGGGTACATTGATTTACGCTGCTGAACTTCAGTTTCCTTCTCTATAAGCTGGGGCAGTGATAGTAACTTCCTCATCAGGTAGATGTGAGGATGCGGCCTGGCATGTTGGAAGTGCTCAGATTAATTAGCTTCTCTCGTTACCTTACCAAGGCAAGCCCAGCCTTGAGGGGAGGAAGGTGGTGCTGTGGCTTGTCTGGCACGTCTAGGCCCCGACCCGGAAAGTGCCACGTTCCGGGACCTCATGCTGTATCGAGGCTCTTCCCAGCCCCCAGGCTCCTGCTTCCAGCCCCTCCCAGAGCTGAGGGTGGCCGTTGGGCACAGCGGCAGAGGACAGCTCCTGGGCTCCACCTTTTCCCTCACGCTGCCAGCACCAGGTTGGCGGCTTCTCGCTCAGCTGCCTTGGCAAGAGGGCAGGTCCAGGCTGGAGCCAGGTGTTGAGTGGCAGCAACCAGGAGGTGCTCCTGCCAGCCCTTCATGCACTTTTTCTCACTTCTCCCTTCTTTTTGTAAATAATCACGCCTGCTTAGATGCCTGGTGACTCTCATCTTGCAGCAGGCCACACTGTTGGCCTCCAATGAAGCCTTTAAAAAGCAGATGGAGAGTGCTAGTGAGGCGGCCAAGAAGTACACGGAGAATGACCAGCTCAAGAAGGTGAGTCCAGTTTCTCGACCCACCATGGGGCGTCCTGGTGTTATACTGCAGGAGCCATATTCTTTAGGGCCTCAGTGGCCACTGCTAGCCTATCACCCTGGGAAATGTGCCTGAAAAGCCAGAGTTGGGTGGAGGCACAGAGGGGAAGTCCTCAGTGGGGAGAGTATGCCTGCTGGAGACGTCTGTGTGTGGGGGTCCTGGTGAGGAGGAGGGTGTTGCTGCTCACGTTTCCATCCATTGCTTCCAGTCAGACCCTTCCCTGAGAAAAATGGCCCCTCAGTGAGCCAGGCCCTCTGCTGTGAACCGAAAGCCCTCAGCTAGGCCATTGTTCCCTGCAAGATTGCCGCACCCCCTCTGGAACTCGGGGTCTGTGGCATCCCTCAGTGCTGGAGAGGAGGTGGGGCCAGGGTAGTTGGCCAGTCTTAGAAGTCCTGTCAGGAGGTGAGCTGCAAGGCAAGCTCGGAGGGATGTGGATGCAGAGGTGGGATAGAGCTGGCCAGGCCGACTGGGGGCCCCTGACTGCAGTGAGTGGCACCGTGTAGAGAGCACAAGGCACCGCCATCCGCGGAGGGGTTGGTGAGCACCATGGAGCTGCTGAGCCCTGCTGCTCGGGAAGGAGGCAGGGCCAGGGGCCAGGGCAGGCAAGGCGTGCCCGGCGAGCTGCAGCAGGTGGCCCCACTGGCGCTTCTCTTCCCCTTGGCGGGCAGCCACGCCCTGGCCTTTGCCTAAGAGCTGGGAGCAAGTGGTGGCTCTGTTCCGCGTTGACATTTCCGAAGGGGCGAGTGGCCAGGGCAGCTTGAGGAACCGCAGCTTGGTGGGGAGGATGGGGCTGGAACCTCTCCCTCCCTCCCTCCTGAGTAACCCTGACCTTTGGCACTTTTCCCAGTGAGCTGCTGTTGACGGAGGCAAGTTGGATGTCGGGAATGCTGAGGTGAAGTTGGAGGAAGAGAACAGGAGCCTGAAGGCTGAGCTGCAGAAGCTAAAGGATGAGCTGGCCAGCACTAAGCAAAGTGAGGCTTGACCTCATGTCCTTCCCCGCAGGGAAGTCCAGAGGAGCGTCCTCTGCCCGCTGCTGCCCATTTTGTGCCAAAGTACTAGTAACAAGCCTTGCACGCATGCTCGAGGGCTGTGTGAAAACAAACAAATAGCACCCTATGCCTCCAACCCCAATGCAGCCATGCTTAGCCGGCAGGCCAGTGAGACTAAGTGGTTTGAATGGGGCTCAGGAGGAACCAGGCTGCAGTTGGTGGGACTCGATTGCCCTGCGCTAGAGCAGTGCACGCTGGGGCTTTCCCATCCAGAGTGTGGCACGGTAGCCCCAGCCTGCCTGGGGGCTTAGAATGAGGGGAGTGTGGGAGTGGTGTTCAGGAGCGGAGTGGGCAGCTCCCAGGCGGCCTGCCTGTCTTTGGTCTCCCATGCATAGACTTAAGTCTGGGGCGTTTTCCCACAATACCACAGGCCTCGCCTGCTGCTGCTGTCTGCAAGGCATGGTTGTCATTGGGTCTCGCTTTCAGGCTGGGATCTTGTTCCCTGTCTCCCACTCTCAGCCTCCCTGGAGGTTACCCTTGCCGAGAGCCACTAGAGTTCCCCTCCATTAAAGGGACTGGGGGATGTCCTCTGTATTTCTTTTGCTTTATCTTGAGCTTTTTTGTCAGCCTTTCCCTCTACTTTGGGGGCCTGCAAAAGCAGAGCGGTTTTATTTTGAGAAGTAGGCTCCTGTATAACCTCGTTTGAGATAGATTTGGGCCAGTTTCTGGTGTCTGTAGAAGCTGGGTTTTTACCCCCGATTCCTGTCTTTTCATTTCTGTTTTCTTGGTCATTTACATCATTTCAAGAACTAGAGAAAGCTGAAAACCAGGTTCTGGCCATGCAGAAGCAGTCTGAGGGCCTCACCAAGGAGTACGACCGCTTGCAGTAGGAGCACGCAAAGCTGCAGGTCAGCCCTCACGTATCGCTGCGCCCAGGGCAGGAAAGCAGAGCAGGATGAGGCAGCCCCTGCGGGTGCGGAGGGAACCTTCCAGGGGCCCAGGGGCCGGCTGCCCTCTCCCCCACTCCCCCTGGCCACCTCTGCCCTACCGAGTGGGACCATTCACCGGGCAGGAGAGGGGTGGCCTGGCAGCAGATGTAGACACTTGCCGAGGCAGCCCTCAGGAGTGGCACTGGCTCACTAGGCTCTAAGCCTTCCTATCTTCGTGCTCAGGCTCATTCCATGGTTTGGGGCCCAGTCAAGAACAAAGAAGCAGGTGAAACTCTGGGACCCACTGCTGGCCTTCTTTCCTAGAGTGCTGGGGGGTGACATAGGGCAAAGATCCCTGGGCAAGTAAGGGCACAAGGTGTCAAAAAGGCACCTCCCCTAGCAGGCACTAGTTGTGGCCATCACCTGCTGCCCTAGGCCTGATCCAAGTCCTCAGACTAGCTTGGGTGCACCAGGCCACATTTGGAAGCCAGGCGGTCTTGACGTTGGGAGTGAGGGCCACATAAATACTCCTAACTTTGGACAGCTGGCCTCAGTGCTTGGTGGCCCAAGTTTGGGCACCACAGCAGGTGGGGAGGAAGGGTCCAGCCTCAAAGAGGGCACCCATGCCCTCTGTATAGGGCAGGCTTGGCAGACGGGACTTGGGCTTCGAGGGCACCTGTCAAAGGTGTGCAGAGTTGGGAAGGGCCTGATCAGGTCTTGAAGGGTACTGGATACCTTGCTGTTCCCTGCAGCCAGGACTCAGCCCCCAGTGAGGTCCTGGCAGTCCTCCCTGGCTGGCGTTAGGTCCAGGGCTTTCCTTAGAGCGTGGGCCAGGGCTGATGCTCCTACCCTGGCAGGCCTTTGGGTGTAGCCGGGGAGGGGGCCCCTTGCTCACTTGAATAGCTCTCATTAGGAGAGAGGGGAACCGAGCTGGACCTCTGGGGCAGGGGGCTGGAGATGGCAGGGGAGGAGTGGACCTGGCCAACCTACTGCTGTGGGATTTCTGTCCCTTTCCAGGCTACAGTAGTTGGTCCCATGGACAAGAAGAAAGAGTAAGGGCCTCCTTCCTCCCTGGCCTGCAGCTGGCTTCCACCTGGCACGTGCCTGCTGCTTCCTGAGAGCCCAGCCTCTCCCTCCAGTACTTCTGTTTGTGCCCTTCACTTCCCCCATTCCCTTCCACAGCTCATAGCTCGTCATCTTGGCCCTTGTCCACACTCTCCAAGCACATTACAGGGTACCTGATTGCTACACGTTCAGAATGCATTTGCTGTTATCCTGCTTGGCCTGGCCAGGCCTGGCACAGCCCTGGCTTCCACGCCTGAGCGTGGAGGACACGAGTTAGTTGTAGTTTGGCTTGCGGTGGGGCTGACTTCCTGTTGGTTTGAGCCCTTTTTTGTTTTGCCCTCTGGGTGTTTTCTTTGGTCCCGCAGGAGGGTGGGTGGAGCAGGTGGACTGGAGTTTCTCTTGAGGGCAATAAAAGTTGTCATGGTGTGTATGTGGTGCGGTGTGTGACTGTGGCCATGGAGAGGGCTCTGCTTTCTTTCCTGCCTGGAGCCCCCAAGGGGCCACAGGCCTTCAACCTGTTTCCACCACTGAAGGCCAGGCTCACACCTGTTCTCAAAGGCCCTGCCCTCTCTGTCCTCTTGCTCCCCGGGCTGGGCCAGGCCTCGCTTCAGGGCCACCCACTGAGTGTGTGTCCTGTCTGCCTCCCTGGGTGTGGGCAGCTTGGGAGGCTCAGTAAACCGGCAGGGCTTCTGGGTAGAGGACTCGCTTGCCTTCTCTGGGTTCCCGTTCGTCACATTTGGGACAGACAGAACGTGGCAGAATGCCACTAGTCACTCCCTGCCCCACCCCCTCCTGAAGGTTTGCAGGATGACCTCTGACTAATGCCAGCTGGGAGAGGAGACTTGTCCTTGGCAGTGACCTGGAGCTGGCCCAGGGCAGAGCTAGGCAGAAAGGGGCTGGGGCCCTTGGCCCTGAGAACGTGCTGGGTGTGTGCCTGCCACCAGAGCGCTGTGCTGGTGCTGGCTCCAGGGCGTCCCTCCCGTGGCTCCCTCAAAGCTGTGTCTTCCAGGCCCACAGCAAGCCAGGCCAGAACCGAGGCTTCCTGCCTGGCGCCAGTGCCCAGGCCCCTGCACTGTGCTGCTCTCCAGTAGCACATGAGGAAGGCAGTCCCCGCCCGCAGCACAGTGCTCCCACCCTGCAGGGCCTCTGCCATGCCTGGTGTCTGCATGAGGACTGGGCGGAAGGGTCAGGGGAGCAGGTTAGAGGTGTGTCTCCTGGAACTGGGGGGACCCCTGAAGGATGTTGATGCTGGCAGGGTAGCTGATGGCCTGCTGTGCATGCTTGCTTCTGCCTGCCCTGCCCAGGCCCAGGCCAGTGGTTCCCTTCTCTAGCATCCTGTCGCCCTTCCCTTGTGCTCAGAGCACAGCTGCCTCGTGACAAGTTCTGTCCCTTTCCAGGCGGTCTGAGAGGTGGTGTCTGAGGGAGTAGGGGACACGTGGGCAATACCCTCTGGTTGCTGTGCCAAGGCCGAAGGCTGATACCACTTCTCCAGGAAGTGTTCTCGGCTACCTTGGGCCTCCCTGAGCTCACCCTTCTCTGAGCTTTGAAAGGCTAAAGTCCAAATGGGTGCTTCCCTCACCAGCCCTGATGGCTTCTTCCACTGTTCTGCCTAGGCTAGCAGCAGACAGAAAGCTGCACGAGGCCAGCTTCTGGAGCGCCCTTTCTAGTGGAGTGATGGAACAACATTGGGGCAGGGGGTGTGGGCACAGGCTCTTAGAGATGAAAATTGAGGCGCTTGCCCAGCCTAGACTGGAGGGCGGCCTGCAGGCTTGCGCTTTCCTGGATCAGCTTCTGTTCCAGGGCATCTGCACCCGTGGGCATCCTGATCTGTTTTCTCACCCATCTTCCACTAGACTGTGAGCTGCTTGAGGGCAAAGCCTGCTGCTTGTTGATCTCTGTGTCCTAACCCCTCATGCGGGAGCTAAGTCCTGAGGTAATGGTGTCTCCATTTCAGAACCCACTTTAAATGACATGCTTCTGTGAAGTTTCCTTTTTTCAATGTCTTTTTTCTGTGTGTTTGGTGTCATTGTGGTGCATGAGGTGGCTTGGAGGGCATTTGGCCTGGAGGTGTGGAGAACAATTAGCAGAGGGTGATTGTCATCCAGGCAGAGACCTGGCTGACAGTGTATAAAGCAGTTGGCCTGAGCTCAGGGGTCCTGAGGGTGACCGTGGGCTGCAGGACAGTTGGAGTCGGTTGGGGACAGGGGCTGTGTGAAGGCCTGGGGCACCCTAGGGAGAGGTCTTGCCGACGTTGGGAAGCACCTTTGCAGCTAAGGAGGGCCAGGCTGGAGATCTGGGAGCTGCCAGCCAGGTGGGGTTCTTGAAGGCGCAGGCATGGTGAGAGGACAGGCTTCTCGGGGAGAAAAAGAAAACTAGAAACAGTGGTTGCCGAAGAGATGGGGGCCAGAGCAGGCTCCAGAGCCCCCAGCTGAGCTAGGGTGGGACTGCGCTGCCACTCCTTTCTCTGCTCCCTGTCTGGTCCATGTATTTCTCACCCAGGCTCTTGGTTGGCCGTATTCTAAGCCAGGTCCCTCTCCTGGCTCCAGAAGTTTAGGGGTAAAGCCCCTCCATAGGGGGTGCTGCCTGCTGAGGAGCAGGGCCTCTGGGGGTTCTCCCATAGCATGATAGCAGTCCTGGGCAGGACGCAAAGGGAGCAGCCCAAGCTGTCATTTTGCTCTGAGGGGTCACCTGCTCCCCCTTCACAGGCTCCAATCCCTGATGCTCTCTGTGCTTGCCTGAGCCACCCACTGCATTGCCTGCTGTGCCCTGCCATGGTGCCCAGCCCTTTCAGGGTGGGGTGCCACATGCTCATCTTGTGCATGGGTCCCGCCCCTTGAAGGACCTGTCTGTACTCACTGTCTTCAATTCCTCTCCGCCTCTTCTCATGGTAAAACGCATGTATATCACACATATATATAGTGTCATCAATGTATATGTAATGAGCCATTTTCACCATCGTTAAGTGTGCAATTCAGTGGCATTAAGTGCAGTCACAGTGTTGCGCAGCCACCACTTCCGTCCACCTCTAGAATTTATCTTCTCAAACTGACACTCTGTCCCCACTCAACACTCCCCACCCTGTCCCCAGCCCCTGGCACCCACCCTTGCCCTCTGTCTCTGTGGATCTCCCTCCTCTCATGTAAGGCCCTGTCTCTCTCTCAGGAGCAGAACCCTATAGCAAGTGTCTCTTTATGATGGATCATTTCACAGAAATGCCCTCCAGGGGTCAGCCATGTTGTGTCGTGTGTTGGAGTGCCTTCCCTTTCCAGGCCGGCTCATATTTCCTTGTCTGGGTAAACTATGTTGTTGTCTCTCCCTTCGTCTGCAGATGACAATGGGCTGCCGCCACTCCTTTTCTCAATCGCACACCAACCAGCCTTTCACACGCAACCCCTCATGCAAGCCACCCTCACCAGGCCCCTGTGACCCTTGCCAGACTCAGTGAGCATTTGCAGGTCACTGTCCTTCACCAGCAGCAGCAGCAGCAGCAGCACTGGACAGATGGAGCCAGCCACTGCTCCTCCCTGACCTGTGAGGGGTCCTCACTGGCTCAGGTTGCAGGACCCCACCAGGAGCTCTCAGGCATCCTCCCCCATTGCTGCCGCATCTTCCCTCTGCCCCTCTCATTGTGTCCCGGGACTTGCGGCGTCCCTGTGAGCTCACCCAGGTTCAGGGCTTTCAGTGTCATCTCTATGTGGTAAGAACTTGCAAAGTTCCATCTCCAGTACTTTCTGGAACTCCTGTGTCCACCTGCCAACTAGACATCTCCACTTGGATGACACTTCCTGCATGACACACCCAAGGCTGACTCCGGACCATTCTCTCCTTGCCTCCCCATTGCAGGACCTGGCAGCTCCATCTTTCCTCTTGCTCAGGCCAAATCTGTTGTCCTTAACTCCTCTTTGAGCCCTGCATCCTGGTCATGCACAACCCCTACTGGCTCCACCTTCAAAATTGATCCCTGATGCAAAGAGTTATCCCCTCTGCTGCTATCAGCCTGGCCCAAGTGACACAAGGCACCTGTTCAGTGACAAATTCTTGGGGTAACATTTTGAAAATTTCAGCACCCATGGCTTTACACCCATCCTTCCCCGTGGGTGTGGCTGCTCTCCAGCTCTCTCATCCTGCTCTTCCCAGGTGCCTCGGCTCCAGGGGGACAAGGTTTTCCCTGGGCTGCTGCCTTCCCTGCTCCCTTCCCAGTCCCCAGAAGGGTGCCGGCCTCAGAGGCCTCCAGAGTAGAGCCTTGCCCACCACAGCAGCTCCAGCTGGAGGAGGTTCCCCCTACTTCCTGCACCTCGACCCCTTAGAGCAGCAGAGGCAGAAGCAGAGGCCTGCTTTGGAAAATGACAGGTTTTTATTGCTATGTTTGCAGTGGCTTTTTAGCACAGTAAGAATGTCCCCGCAGGCCCACCACCCTCACCCAGCCCCAGCCCTCCAGCCTCTGTCCGGGTGTCAGGGAAGCCTTTCTTGGGGTCACTCAGCCGTCTCGGGACTGGACGTGACAGACATACGTGGGTTAAAGCCGCTACACAGAAGACTGGAGGTGCAGGAAGTGCATCCGCCTTGAGCCTGGATGTGGGAGCCGTGTCCGGGGTCCCTTCCCGGGGGTGTGCCCAGCCCAGGGCACAGGGTGGGAAGCCTGAGCAGGCCAGGTTAGCAGCCCAGACACCCAGGATGGAATATTGCAGCCTCTTGCCCCACAGACCTGTGGGCAAAGGGACAGCGTGGGGACAGCCCCGAGGCCCCCACCATGCACTTTTCCAATCCATTCTGGGTCTGGGGACCACACACACACATCCACACAACAGACTCGCACATGCAACAGCTCGAAGCTTTTGTTTTGCCTCTGAAAGTTAGATCTATAAATTCACACTCCTAGGCTAGGGGCAGAGGGGTAAGGTAGGGCTCACAGGAATGGGAGTGGTAAGGAGAGGATGGTTTGGGCTCCTTCCTCTTTTTAGAAATATACAAGCAGAAATCTCATTCTCTCAAGTTGTTATAAAATGTGCAAAATACAAGCCTCCTTTGCCCAGAGGCACCATTTACATCTGGTATTCACCTTTGCTAAGAGATAGAGATCTATATATACTCTACGTGCTCACGCACGCGTGCACTCGCACCCAAGCTCACACAATTGATATTGGTGGTGATTGGCGCAGGAACCAGAAGGTTCCACTGCTGGCTGGCTCTCTAAGCTTCTATAACAGGGATGGGGAGAGGGGTATAGCCCAGCTGAAATATTTGTCTTGGTTCTGCTGCCCCTCCCTTGCCTCCCTTCTCCTCTCTCTCCTCCCTCCCGTCTCTCCCTCCTTCCCTTCCTCACATTTCCCAAGCTGCCACTGCTGCTTCTGGGGTGAGGGGTCACCCAAGGGTGTGCTACAGAGCAGAACCTGGAGAGGTGGGCAGGGGGTGGGCGTGGCAGGGGCAGGAGGAGTGCAGCACTGTGGGTGGGGGTGGGGCACTAGGCGGGGCCTAGGACCAGCTGGGCTAGGACTGGAGGGGGAGAGGCATCTATTTTTGGTGGGTTGTGATATTTTTGGCGTTTTATTAAAAATGGAAAAAGTTGTTTTAGTGAGCACTCATGGTGCTTTCTCCCCTCCTCTCCCAGGCAGACCCCAAAAGCGTCAGGGAAAGGCAGGCCCCCTGGAGGGGTGGGGTGGGGATGAAGCAGGGGCTGCTATGGCTACCAGAGGTGAGCTGGTGATGTGAGCTGAGCTGTCCCATGACACTCTCCACCACGACGACCTTGCTGCTCTCGGACACTGGGGTCAGGGTGGTCAGGCCCCTGACATCTGCATCCTGAGCTCGGTACTCCAAGTGGTGGAGGCCCCAGATGGGCTGGGTCAGGTGCTTCCAGCACTGCAGGAGAGGACATGTTGAAGCCCCCAGAGTCACCTGCTCATCCCCACGGTGACTTCCTCTGCCTCTCTCCAGCTCCTGCTGCCTGCCACCCTAGTCAGGGCCACTCCTTGGCTAGGAAGCAGGCTGGGTTGAATGTTCATAGCAGGGGAGGGGAGGGCAGGCCGGGAGGGAGCCTTACCTCAGCCATGGTGCCCTTGGCCCTGAGGAGGCAGCCCAGGAGGTGCAGTGGCATGCACAGCATGGAGGACAGCACGAAGGCCCAGCCCATGGCCTCACCCCACCACGGGTACACGTTGGTGTTTTTGTAGACCAGCGGCTTGTAGTACACAACGTTGAAGATGAAGATGCCCTACAGACCAGAATGCCGTGGTTAATGGGGCCCCCACCCCGCCCCGCCCCCCCCACCCCGCCCCACCTCCCCCAGCCCTTACCATGCAAACCAGCGGGGTGAAGAAGGACCAGCACCATTTCATCCAGGGGCAAGGTCGGTACCCGATCATACAGGCAATGTCGTCCGTGAAGCGGTCAGCTCCTGTGGCAAGGCGAGGCGGGAGGGCCAAGCTGGAGACCTGCCTTCCCCGCCACCATGCCCCAGCCCAGCCCTCAGCCATGACCTACCATACACCCAGACCACCACCACGCACTCCCAAAAGGCCTGCCAGAGCAGGGTGGTGCCACTGGCTGAGTAGTAGTCAAACAGCTGGAAGACATACATCCCACCCTGGGGGACAGAGCCCAGTCAGGGAGGATGGCAGACGGCCACCAGAGGTCACAGGCAGACCCCCCACCCCACTCACATCAGTCACCATGGAGAGATCAATGACAAAGCGGAGGGCACAACAGAGGGCCACAGAGATCTCCCTTTGGAAACAGAAGTAGTAGGAGGCTGGGAGGAGGTTGAGGAGGCCGGTGATGAAGCCCTCCACACCTACAAACTGTGGCCAGGCTAGCTCAGGCCGAGCCCCGCACCACCCTCCACCCCTTTCCTTGCCCGCAGCCCTCACTCCGCCCCTCTCCTGGCTCCCTGTCCCAGAGCCCCATGCAAATCTGGTTGTCGAGACCAAGCAGCAACAGCATGAAGAAGAACAGGGCAGCCCAGAGTGGGGCCACTGGCATCAGTGTGACAGCCTGTGGGTAGGCGATGAAGGCCAGGCCCGGCCCTGTGGGAAAGGTGCAGGCTCTAGACCTTGCAGCCGATGTCGTGCCCTGCGCGCACCCTGAGCCCTGCCTGCAACACTCACGCCCATGCCCACGCCTGCCTCTGAGGTGCTGTCAACCCTGGGTCATGCAGCAGGGGCTGGGAGGTCCTGTCTCTGTCAACATTGAAAAATCCCAGGACCTGCCCCCACAGGCCCACAATCTGAGAAGTTCTGTTTGAATCCTCATCACTTTTCAGCATTTCTATTGCGTGTTCTTGTACATCATGCATCTGGGTGGCAGTTGCTGCTCTGGAGGCGGGGCTGGGGGTAGGGCCCTACCTGACTCTGCCACCTTGGAGATGTGCATGCCCTGCTCTGCAGCCATGAAGCCCAGGATGGAGAAGACCACGAAGCCAGCAAAGAAGCTGGTCCCACTGTTGATGACAGCCAGGATGATGGCGTCCTGGAGGGGTGGAGGGGCCAGAGTGGATGGGTTAGGCTGCTGGGCAGGGCAGGGCGGGACAGGGCACGGGTGGCAGGGCAGCAGTGCTTACTTGTAGCAGTTGTTGTTGAAGCGGTTGTAGCTGCCCAGGGCTGTGAGGGCCCCCAGGCCAATGGCATAAGAAAAGAAAATCTGGGTCCCCACATCTATCCATACCTAGAGGAGGGCTGGAGAGTGCAGGCATGAGGGGCCTGCAGGGCTCCCCCACAACACCCTGCTGCAGCCTCCCCACCTCCACCTCACCTGAGGGGACCCCAGCTTTGACCAGTCAGGCTTGAGATAGTAAATGATGCTGTCCAGGGCGCCAGGCAGCAGCACTCCAAGCACAAGCAGCACGACCAGGACCACGTAGGGGAATGTAGCAGTGAAGTACACGATCTGGGGGGCCAGGCTGCTCAGCGGGGACTGCGGCACCACCTCCCTCACAAGCCCACTCCGAGCACCTCCGGTCCCCCTTGCGGGCAGGTATGTTCAGAGGTCCCCATTCTCCTCCGAGCCATAGCTCCCGCCAGAGGAAGCTAGGGGCAAGGCTGGGCCCCGGCAGCCCTGGCAAGTGCAGTGGGGAAGCTCTCTGGGCGCCTCGTTTGTCTGCAGGGATGCATGTCAGTGGGGAGCGGGCGAGCCTCTAGGAGCTCTCCTCAGTGGGGACAGGAGGCATGGAGCATGTGGGGAGTGAGAGCTGTGTGAGTGTGTGGGCAGTGCACGCATGGGAGGCCCAGGCAGGGAGCGGGATATTGGATCAGGGCCGGGCCCCCCTCCTCTTCTGGAGAGAGGTCGGGGCTGAGCAGGTGAAGAGTGGAACTGGGCCAGGCAGAGGCAGGCAAGATGCGGCTGCCACACTGTCTGCCCCCTCTTCCCACATGCTGCTCTGGGGACCTTGTCCCCCAGGGAGCTGGCCATGTCCCACAGCTCTGGACATTGTCTTCTTTGTTCAGGTGACTCCCCAGCCTGACCAGGAGCCCCCAAGGGATGTGGCCAGACTCTGCTCTGTGTCCCCAAGGCAAGATAGGCAGGTAACAGATGGCCAGACCAGGTCCAGCAGACTGTCACAAGAGTCAGAGACTGGCAGGAGGGCACCGGTGGGGGTGATGGGCACAGGGAAGGGACAGTGCCTGCTGGGGCCTCTCCCCACAGGAGCAAAGGCTGCTGGGCCCTGGATTTGCAGGGTGGGGAGTGTTGCTTGGCTTTCAGTACCTCCCCCTTCCTTAGGGCTAGACTCTGTCTGGTCACCTCCCGTTGCTACGGGTGTGCCTGGCACAGACATCCAGCTCCCAGGGCTGAGCCACCCTCCCCCCTGCATGCCTCTAGTGGTACCTTTCCCATGGATTTGACCCCCTTTCAGACACAGAAGTAGACCAGCACCCAGCAGGCCAGCAGACAAAGGGTCACCTCCCAGTTGAGGGCCCCTGGCACCTCCAGTCCCCCAGACAGCCTCAAGACTTTGTTCCTAGGGGAGGGAGGGAGGTCCCATGAGGCCTGTGCCAGCAGAGGATGGAGCCACAGGGTCCACCCCCAGGAGTCGTGGCTCCCTTCTCTCCCACAGCCCAGGGTTCAGTGGGCCCTCTTGTCCATCTGGGCTGGGCCTGGAGCCCACGAGCCCCTGGCCTTTGGGAGGCCACTCCCATCCCACCCCACATGCAGCCCCAGCTCCCCCATCAGGCGGGAGTGACCAGGACAGTGATAGGCTGCCGAACCCAGGAGCAAGGCTGACCTGGCGCAGCCCCTGGGGCTGGCCCCAGGACTCTCCGAGGGCAGACAAGGGCAGGCAGGGTCCAGGAGGGACTGCCAAGAAACACCCTGGTCCCCTCTCAGGGCCATTCCCCTGGAGCCAGGCAACATGAGGGAGACCTGGGGGATGGGATGGGCTTGGCCCAGAGGTGCTGGACTCACTCCCAGAACTCGATGACAGGGGACTGGCGGTCAGCAAGCTGGTCACAAGTGAGGTTGGCCAGGCTGGCACTGGCACAGTCTTCATGGCGGAAGATCTCCACACAGTCGGGAGTGTTCCAGGTGTGGCCACATGTGGCCCAGGGCAGCGTGGTGCTAAAGGACTTGACCAGGTAATAGAAGCCCCAGGCCAGCACCATGATGTAGTAGGTGTTGCAGTAGAAGACGATCACCATGGAGGCATAGCCCAGGCCTGGGGCCGGGAAGTCCTTGCCATGTAGATTCTTTCCTGGCCACCTCCCCTGCCACCCCTTTATCTCCCCACCCAGGCTGGCAGTGCTCCCACCGTCTGTCCTTCTGGAGCCTTGTTTGTGGTGCTCCTGACTCCCCTGGACTCCCCCTTGTGTGAGCCCCAACACTGGGCTGACTCCCCAGCCTCTCTCCTCTCCTCCAGCCGCCCCCTAGACCCAAGGCAGAGCGAGCCCCTCTCCTCCTGTCCCCATCTGACCAAGTGCTGTTGAGTCTCCAGCCTTACACACCTGGCCCCTTCTGTGGGTCCCACTGCCACCATGGCGGTTCCAGGAGGTCCAAGCCTCCACCTGGCCACCCAGTAGCTCCAGTCCTCAGCAGCTGGTGGTGGTGGTGGTGGGGAGGGGGGGAGTTTCTAGTAGCCTGAGGTAGTGTTGGAGACAGTTGCCCCCGTAGTGGGCAACCTCAGTACGTCGCTCCACCTGTCTGTGCCCCAGCGTCCTTGGGGACAGTAATAGTAGGACCTACCTAGAGAGCCAAGTGTGCTGGGCAGGTCCCATCCCCAGCCCGGCTATGCCTGGCCTGTCCTTGCCTTGTGGAGCTGCCTATGCCCCCTCTAGTCCCTGCTTCCCCAAATTCACTGTGCGGCCTGAACATCTCCTCCAGGCTCCCCCCTCGAGACTGGGATGCCATCACGTGGCCCCAGGCCTGGTGCTCAGGACAGGAAAAGATTTCTCAAGTGGGAGCCAGCTGGGAAAAGGGGGCAGTCCCTGAGGCTGGCCAAGGGCTGCTCACCTTTGAACAAGGGACAGATGTTCCAGACATTGATGCTGCCGGCCTTCATGAACTGGCCCAGCGAGATCTCCAAGAAGAAAATGGGGATTCCTCCGACCAGGGCTATCAGGATGCAGGGAATAAGGAACACACCTGGGGGTGGAGGCACAGGGTGGACTCAGGGTGGCCCCCAGCCAGGCTGCCCAGGCCCAGCGGGCCAGCCCAGACTCCAAAGGCCCCATCACAACTTCCCACTGGGTGAGTCAGTGTAGGGGTGGCCACTGACTCGGGCCCCACGTAGGGTCTTGAGGGGCTGGGTTCAGTGTGTTGAAGAGGTGCTACAGTAGCCCCTGGGCCATTGAAGTCCTATTCCCTGGGTGGCAGAGAGGCGCTAGGCCCACAGGGCTTCCACCCCCACGGTCACTTGGGGTGATGGCCATGGAGGACACGCACGCTCAGACACGCAGCCTGTCCCTAGTGCCGCAATTCCCTGTTTCAGGCAGCACAGTGAGGGCATGTGCGTGTGTGCATGTGCGCCAAGGCTGGGTGATCAGGCCTGAGGGGCTCATCCAAAGGCAGGGAGCGCGACTGTCCTGCACTTGGACGCTTGCCTGCAAGTGTGAGGTCCAAGGCAGAGGGCGGGTGGGTCACAGTCCCCTGCTGGTGGGATGGCCACGTGCAAGGACAGAGGGATACAGGTGCGGGAAGAGGGGCCAGGCCGGCCTTAGCAAGCCCAGGGAGTCAGGCTCTACAGGAGATAGGCAGGGCATGGCACAGGCCCTGGCCAGCAGGCTGGGGTGGGGGTGGCAAAAGGGCAGGGAGAGCTGGGTGCCACTACCCCCTTCTCCTCTCTGGGCCTCCTACCCTTGCCCTGGCTGGGCTCGCTCCACTACTCAGAGGCCGAGCTTGGCTGCAACTTGCCTGACTCCAGGTCCCAGCATCCTTCTCCTAACTTTGGGCAAAGGCCTTTGCTCTGGACCTCTGTTTCCCACCCATCACTGGGTCACTTCGGCTTCCAGAAACCCCAGTGCTGTTTTGTAGTCACAGGACACACGCGTGCCCATCGCTCTTGCTAAGCTGGGCCCAGACAGGCGGGCGGGCATGGGACGTGCATGCAGTGTTTCCAGTGGCGGCGCCAGGCGGGCCAGGCCACAGGCTTCCCAAGCCTGGCTCAGGTACCCAGTGTTCCAGCCCCGGGCCAGAGGGGAGGAGCGGGAGGGCTGCGAGGGGAGGGGAGGGCAGGGAGAGGAACAGAGTGGCCCATTGTGTGTGTGTGTGTTCGTGTGTGTGCACACGTGGGGGGCCCACACAATGTGCCGCTTGTGTGCCCGACCCGCAGGGGCAGCCAGGGCTCCTTACCTCGAGGAGACCCCAAGGCGCAGGCCTGCTTTCCCACCTCGGCGGCCAATCGCTCCTTCCAGCCCAGGAGTCTGGGGGGCAGCCTCGCGGGCATCGCCGGCCCCCGCCCCTCACCCTGCCAGGCACATGACTGCGAGAGGGGTGGAGGCGGACGGCCCAGCCACCGAGCAGCAGCGGTGGACCAGGGGCGGCCCCGACCCCGCGTGCCCAGGGGCCAACCGCTGCCCGGACTTCACCCCTCCGCGGCGGCTCCGGGGGTTGGGGGTCGGGCGTCAGGGGCCGGCGGCCTGCTGGGGGAGGGGGCCGCGGGGGGCGGGGGAGCTCACCTCCGCCATTCTTGTAGCACAGGTAGGGGAAGCGCCACACGTTGCCCAGGCCCACGGCGAAGCCCACACACGACATGATGAAGTCCATCTGGCGCGTCCAGGTCTATCGCGCGCGGCGGCACGGCCAGGCCGCCGCCGGGTGTCCCCAGGCCCGCGGGGCCGTCGCCCTTGGCCCGGGCCCCGTCGGGCCCGGGCGCGATGAGGGGGCCCTTCTTCTGGTCGCCGGACACGCTACAGATGCCGTTCTCGGCGCTCTTCTTCGCCATGGCCCCTGCGGGCCTCACGGCCGGGCTGGGGTCGCGGCACCCTGCGGGGGGCTGCGGTCAGGCGCGGGGCACCGGCGGCACCGGGGAGGGCCCCGAGGGCGCGGGCCGGCCGGGGGCCGGGGGGCGGCCGGGCCGGGGGACGGGGCGGCGGGAGAGCGGCGGGGTGCGGGTCACAGGCGGCGCAGTCAGAAGCAGTCCACGAAGCACTTGAAAGTGAGCCTGAAGAATCTCCTGTGTGTCAGGGGCCCGGGGGCGCGCGGGCGTCGGCGGGGCCCGGCCAGGCGTCCGCGGCAGCGGTTCCGGAGGCTCTTGCCCGCGGCTCGGGCGGTGGCGGCTGCCACGGCTCCTCGGCCGACCCGAGGCTCAGCCTAGCGGGGCGCGGGCGATATCGGCGCTCGCAGTCTGCAAGCGGCGGCTGGAGCAGGGGCCTGTGGCCCGCGCCCCCGGCCCCGACCGGGGCCCGCGGCGGCTGCCCGGCTCACCCGAGACTCCGGTGGCGGCGGCGGCGGCTCAGGCGCGCCTCGCCCTCTCCTTCTGGGCGGCGGCGGCTGCAGCCGCTCTCGGGGCCGCGGCGGGCTCAGCGACTCGCCACCGCGTTCCGACTGTTCCTCTCTTCCCGGTTCCCGGCCGGCAGCCGCTTAAAAACCGACTCCGGGGTGATGTCACTATCGCCCCACCCCCACGGCTGGCCGGCCCCCCTCTCCCTCCCGCCCTGCTCGTCACAGTCCGCCCACCTTGTCCCTGCCCTCCTCCCGGGGAGGAGTCGCCGCTCCAGCGGGAGGCAGGATGGTTGCTACCTGGGGCGGCCGCCAGCTCCTCCCGCAGTGCTCCGGGCCGCCCCTCACCCCAGGGTCGCCCGCTCCTAGTGTGGCCCAGGCTTCCCGGCCTGCCCCTCCCAGCCCTAGGAAGACGTCCCCCGGGCCCCCTCAGCCCTCCGCCTCCCCTTCTCTCCCTTTCTCCCCGCTCCTGGCAGGCTGCAGCCGTCTCCTCCCGGTGCTCGCTCCTTCCTTGAGCTCTGTCCACCGCTGCCCACTGGGGGCTAGAGCTTCCCGGCTACCCTGGAAGCTGGAGGCTGGGACCAGCTCTTCAGGTGACAGGCCTCTGTGTCTCCACAGTGGCCAGAGGGGAGCCTGCCTGACTGATGAGCAAGGCTCCACTTTGTCACCAAGGCAGAGAAGGGGCCCGGGTAAATGACCCCGGTGGCCCCCACCCCTGCCTGGCATGAGAGTGGGTAGGGGCTTCGGACTTGAGGGGACTGGAGCGGGAATAAGGCAAGGCTGCCCCCTGGTGCCTGGCGGGTGCACAGACCCTTCCCCAAAGGCCTCAGGTCTGAGGTCCTGGCTGCCCGCCCCCCACCCACCCCGTGTTCCTCTCCCCAGGACCCCCAGGCCTACCCAGCAAGAGCCAGCTTGTTGGGCTGCCTCTCCGCCACCAGCTGAGCAGCTTGGTTAGAATTTTCTAGGGCAAGAGTAGCCTGGGGGTGGGGTGGGGAAGGAAGTGGTCATTCTCCTGGCCTGGGAGGTAAAGTGTGCCCCCCTCAACTTCAAGCTCCCTGATCTGATCGTGGACACTGCAGTCCCCAGATGGCTCATCCCGTTAAGCTAAGCCCTCGGCCATCCCTCCAGCTTTAGGAAGAAAAGCAGTTCTGGCCCAAGCCAGACTGAGCTTCCTGGGTGAGGGAGGGGCAGTGTCCCTACCCAGGCTTGGAGGAGGAGCCTCAAGGGGTGTGTGTGGTTGGGGGAGACAGGCGGTGTCACCTGTGCTTAGACCAGGGGCGGTGGGCGGGTACCCTTGAGGTGGCAAGGTCACACTGCTCATCAGAAGTTTCTCACTAGGGTCTTCTCTGGCCCAGCCTTTGACTGAAGCTGGTCTGGAGACAGGGGCGTTAGAGAAGTGACTCATAGATGGCCTAAATAAGCGGGGCCACTCAAGGACCCAGGACAGGGGGAAGAGGGCCAACCCATCTGGACCGCAGGCAAACCCCATGGCCTTTGAGAGAAGAGAGAAGAGGACCCGGTGAAGTAGGCTCCGAGGGCCTCAGCCCAGCAGGAGCGCAGGGTGGGCGCGTGATGTCATCGAAGGGAAGACAGTGACCTGGGGGAGGGCCGCTTTGAGGGAGAGTGCAGGCCACCGCCAGAGAGCTCTGGGAGCCGAGGGCAGGGAAGACTTTCAGATGTTGCTTGTCCAAGGGGTGGGGGTGGAAGGGAGAGAGAGCAGAGGCTCGAGAGGGATGTAGGAGAGCTGATGGCACTTTGGGGACAGCCTCAGGGCTGCAATTGAGGAGGGCTCCCTCCCTCATGCAGGCTTTTCCTCCAGGAGCTGCACCAGGAACTCACAGAGGATCAGGGAGAATTCTGAGAACATGCTACTGTGGTGCTGCCTAGAGAGGAAGGATAAATGATGACAAGTACATCTCTGAGTAACGTATGGCCACTTGTTCATGAAAACTGTTTTTCTGAAAGCTTGTGAAGGTCTTGAAATACTCGCTATCAGTTGAGGACAAACATTTACACCCTCCTTCCACAGGGAGTTCAAGCAGGCTGGATGGGTCCATCTATGGATGATCTTCCCCAGCCCCTTCCTCTTCCCAGCTCATTCCTGGCTCTCTGTGTGAACAGGTCTCATCAGTGGAATGTGGTTGATGAAGTGAGGTCTTCAATTTTCTCATCTACTGTGTGGTCATGTTATTTTCCTCATCTGAGGCTTAAAAACTCACCTGCATGCAGCACATGACAGCTTAAAATCTCTTGTGAACAAAACAGTAACAAAGACACCCACCAGCGTTGAGCATCCCGTGTTGATGACAGCGACCACCATGGGTCAACGTCCTCTTCACAATCCTGTGTCAGAGCATCACTTGACTGATTTCATTAGCAACTTCCCAGGAGAATCAGCTTACAAAATACTTGTCCCATTTTCCATGCAGATGTAACCCATCTATTTTACTGAAGAAATGGGAAGAGCTGAATGCTGAATACACTGAATGTCTGCAGGTTGTGCAAGTTTGTGACTTTATCACTTTCTAATTTCTGATCTGTGTGGACCACTCTACAGATTTTTCTCACTGGTGTGATCAGCCTTCTGGATGTCAAATATAATAGACTTTCAACAATATAAAAGTCAACACAAGCTCCTCATGGTTTCAGTGCTCAGTGATGACTCTAAACTTACACAATGTGTTTCTTTATTAGTTTTGTTTTCTGGTATCTCTACTCGGCATCTTCACCACACCCATTTTATGTTTCTTATACAGGTAATTGATAATTTTAAAATTTATTGGTGCTTACTTTAATTAAATAAGCAGACAGTATCTTAGAATTTAAAAAAAATGTGCAGTAAAAGGAAATGCAATAAATTTTAATGTAAGGAAACCAGCAGCTGAAAGCAAGGGAAATCTCTTCTGCTG
Source organism: Homo sapiens (assembly GCF_000001405.40). NCBI lineage: Eukaryota > Metazoa > Chordata > Mammalia > Primates > Hominidae > Homo > Homo sapiens. Next base: position 32,888,908 of record NC_000016.10, read on the forward strand.
CATAGGAGGGTATGGAGACCTCATAATACGATGATTTTCTGCAATTTAATCATTATTGCCACACAAGTGATAGCATCCTCTCTCTTTATATCAGCACATTCCCTAACGTACAATAAAGGCTGAGCACAGATACCGCCAACCAGACTGACCAGCACCTCTCACCGAGTGCCTGAGCTGATAGTGATAGATATCACATTTGTCTAACAAAATCATTACACCCTGTAAGGATACCCACCAGTCATAAGGAGACAATTTAAAAAATTTAGTCAAAGCCCAAACCTGATAGGTAGTCATTTATACTTAGAAGAATTAACTCTTATCTTCACATGTATTTTTCTTAATCATAGAGAAGCTACTAGAGTCACTGTCCAAGTTACTGAATATCTTATTCCTAGAATGAGACACTGCACAATGTGTTCTGACACGAGGGGATGTAGATATAGTTAAGGGACAGGAGATGTGATCACGGGAACAAGAGTCTGTGATCCAGCAGTTCTTTCTCTCTCACAGTTGACCAGAAACAAGGCCCCAGCAGAACAAAGGAAACATTGACTTAGGTCTCCACAGTCTGATGTGAGATAAACAGCAGGTAGTTTATGCTTCCGTTTTATAGTAGGAAATTTAATAAAGAAGGGCCATTTTGGGGATAATACTATTCTCTATGATGCTTAAATGCCCCCAAACAGAGAGCACTACAGTGTCCCATGGCCAGGAGCTACAATACCTGGGTCTAGAAAGCAGTGGACAGAAATATCGGTTTCTCTTGCCACATGTATGATGAAAATTTGAAGAATGTTTCTTTCCTTCTCCATAATCATAGGCTGCGATGGACTGGAGGTCCTGGTACATAAGAATAAATGTGTCTCCAGTAGGAACAGAATTAGTCCCATAAAATAATTGTGCTGCCGTGGTTCTCATACTGTTGGAACAGCTGACCAAGAAAGTGTTGTAACAGCTGCAGTGTTTATTGATTCCTATCATATTTGGGGCTACATTCGCAGCTACCAAGGGAAAGAGAGAGAAGTAATTCTGGCCTAGATAGAGTCTATAGATTTTTTTTTTCTTTCCTTCAAACTGAGGTTTAAAAAAATCACATCAACTAAAATGCAGATGATGATCAAATGATCAAGGACAATAGCCATTAAATGTTTCAGGTGTGTTTTAACCCAAAGTCACACAACATGTGAGAACATGAGCTCTGGAGTCGGGAGAATCTCTGAGGAGAATCTAGAAGGTGGGTGGGAGAAAACAGTGATTCACGTCTAAGGAAATTGCAGGGCTACCTCCTGTAGGGGAAAGGAAAGCCTGAGCCTCTCCTACAGTGTGCTGTCTAAAAATTTTTGGCTGACTTATTGTATTCTTCAACACCAATTTTTTTAGTTCTCTTTTAAATTTTTTTATCTCTTAAAATTCTCACAGTGTTCTTGCATGCTGCCACTAGCTTATTAAACAAGATTGTAATATTTAAATTTTCTGCCAAGAAATCCATATGCTTTTATATTCATTGATGCCAGTTTCTGGACCTTTATGTTGTCCCTCTGTTTGGACCATATTTCCCCATTTCTTCATTTTCCTTGATGGTCTTTGCTGCCATCTACTCATCAAAAAAAACAGCTCTTTGTTCATCATAACAAAGAGCCATACTCTTCCAAGCCTAGGCCCTTAGAAAAAACCCTCACCAATCACCCCATCAGTGATTGTGGATCTCTCAAAAACTTCATAATAACTTCATAATATTCAAACTTCTGTCTTTGTTCTTAGTGGCCCCCAGGTTTTAGAGCATGTTGGGTTGTGGCAGGACTCCTAAGTAGGGGAGGTAGAAACTATTTACTCAAGCAGCCTCTTGAACAGGTACACCATTCAATACAGTTTTATTATTGAGGTATGATTCATCAGAATAATGTCAGTTCAAGCGCCTCTCAACCAGTTGTCTAGCATTGAAATGTTATAATTTATTATTTGGATCTCTCTGTTGTTTATCTTTTGAATCTTAGGTAAAATTACAAACTGGTATAAAACGGCCTATTTGGCAAATGATCTGTTGCAGAATTTTCATCTTCTATGTATCTCTGTTTGCACTTAAATCCAAGTTTATATTAGGCATGTATCTAGAATGTAGAAATAAATCTTAAAATTCCTTCATTTTTAAAAAGATTATGGGGTTTCCAGAAGATGGGAGAACCTTCTTTATTTATAAAATACCTGATTCCACATTTTCCAATAGTTTCCTCTTTATCAATCTCCTCTTACATTATACTATATTAAGCAAGGAGAAATTAAAACACACCATCCACACTTTGCATAGAAATCTCCTCAATCCCCTCAGCTTTTTTTTTTTTTTTTGACAGAGTTTCACTGTTGTTACCCGGGCCTTGGCCTCCCAAATTGCTGGGATTACAGGCATGAGCCACTGCATTGGGAAGCTCGAACTGGGCAGAGCCCACCTCAGCTCAGCAAGGCCTACTCTCTCTACAGACTCCAGCTCTGTGGGCAGGTCATAGCTGAACAAAAGGCAGCAGAAACTTCTGCAGACTTAAACATCCCTGTCCAACAACTCTGAACAGAGCAGTGGTTCTGCCAGCATGGCATTTGAGCTCTGAAAATAGACAGACTGCCTCCTCAAGTGGGTCCCTGACCCCCGTGTAGCCTAACTGGGAAACACCTCCCAGTAGGGGCCAACAGACACCTCATACAGGCGGGTGCCCCTCTGGGACAAAGCTCCCAGAGGAAGGATCAGGCAACAATATTTGCTGTTCTGTAATATTTGCTGTTCTGCAGCCTCTGCTGGTGATACCCAGGCAAACAGGGTCTGGAGTGGACCTCCAGCAAACTCCAACAGACCTGCAGCTGAGGGATCTGACTGTTAGAAGGAAAATGAACAAATACAAAGGAATAGCATGGCCAGGCACAGTGGCTCATGCCTGTAATCCCAGCACTTTGGGAGGCCGAGGCAGGCGGATCACAAGGTCAGGAGATCGAGACCATCCTGGCTAACACAGTGAAACCCCATCTCTACTAAAAATACAAAAAACAATTAGCCAGGCGTGGTGGTGGGTGCCTGTAGTCCCAGCTACTCGGGAGGCTGAGGCAGGAGAATGGCATGAACCCAGGAAGCGGAGCTTGCAGTGAGCCGAGATCGCGCCACTGCACTCCAGCCTGGGCAAGAGCAAGACTCTGTCTCAAAAAAAAAAAAAAAAAAAAAAAAAAAGAAAGGAATAGCATCAACATCAACAAAAAGGACATCCATACCAAAACCCCACCTGTAGGTCACCATCATCAAAGACAAAGCTTAGATAAAACCACAAAGATGGGGAGAAACCAGAGCAGAAATGCTGAAAATTCTAAAAAACAGAGCATCTCTTCTCCTCCAAAGGATCACAGCTCCTCACCAGCAACAGAACAAAGCTGGATGGGAATGACTTTGACGAGTTGATAGAAGTAGGCTTCAGAAGGTCAGTAATAACAAATTTCTCCAAGCTAAAGGAGCATGTTCTAATCCATCAAGAGCAAGCTAAAACCTTGAAAAAAGGTTAGATGAATGGCTAACTATAATAAACAGTGTAGAGAAGACTTTAAATGACCTGAGGGAGCTGAAAACTATGGCACAATAATTTTGTGATGCATGCATGAGCTTCAACAGCTGATTTGATCAAGTGGAAGAAAGGATATCAGTGATTGAAGATCAAATTAATGAAATAAAAATAGAAGACAAGTTTAGACAAAAAAAGAGTAAGAAGAATGAACAAAGCCTCCAAGGAATATGGGACTATGTGAAAAGAAAAATCTAAGTTTGATTGGTATACCTGAAAGTGATAGGGAGAATGGAACCAAGTTGGAAAACACTCTTCATGATAGTATCCAGGAGAACCTCTGCAACCTAGCAAGGAAAGTAAACATTCAAATTCTGGAAATACAGAGAACACCACAAAGATACTCGCTGAGAAGAGCAACCCTAAGACACATAATTGTCAGATTCACCAAGGTTGAAATGAAGGAGAAAGTTTTAAGGGCAACCAGAGTTGTGCCATGGCACAGTGTTGTGCCATGTCCTTTCTCTGTTTTCTTGCCTGTTTATTTATGTCAGATGTGCCACCTATATGTAATAAGGTCAGAATTCTGCCTCCAGTAACACATCAAAGGTGACCTTTGATTGTACTTTTGGTTTATGCTCCAAAATATTGATTATAAATTTCATCACCGTCATATTTTATGTCAAAATAAATCTGCATAATCTGAATGTCAATACATTTTGGAATCTACTAAATAACTGAAATTGCAAGAAATATTACCCACTCCAAAAACTGGAGAGATGGGCATGTCCAGAATTGCAGTTAGCACTTGCTTAACTGATGCAGAAGCTGCAGAAGCTGCAGAAGCCACAAGCTGTTGAGGGCACTTACATGGTAACCACTATAGACGTCTGAAAGACAAATGTGGACTCGGTAAATGTGACCATTCCAGAGGGTCTTATACTTCTAAGGTTTCTGGACTTTCTCTCCAGAAACCTCCAGATTCTAAAATATACAATCCAAATAAATTTCCTGTGGGTCAGAATTGAAGATGAAATGAAGATGATTAATTACAGAAAACTATACCAGGAGCCTACTTCAAAAGCTTCTAAAGGGAATGACTTTTCCAGAACCTTATCCTATGTGAAGGAAGACAAATCTCCCATTCCAGATTCTCTCCCATTCTTCCATTATTATATGAATGAGTAAAGTTAGCCAAAAGGGGTAAGATGTATGTAAATAGTCCAGGGAGGCCAAAACCACAAAAGGGAGTAACAGCCAAAAATGAGCTTTTCCCCTGGAGATGCTTTTTCAAGGTCACAGCCCAGAAGAGGAAGCCTATCGAATCTCTAGGTTTCCATTGGAAGAACAGGCAGTGCTTACCTGCACTGCACAATCCATTCTAACTAGGATGATGACTATGGATTAAAGATGAAAGTGTGGCAATGCACAGACTCTATCTGAGGAGAATACAGAAACACTAAGACAATGACAGAGGGTGAGACAAAGGCAGTAGAGCAATGTGAAGCCTCTGACATCGTGATTTTTAAGACCAACATCTTGTAAATGCCATCATAGATCTCAGCTTCTTTTATTATGGGGACTTTGCTGGTTTCCCAGCTGAGAAAGTGAAAATAACAACCTGCATGCACTTCCCAAGTCTCCACCTGTATCCTGTTTGCTTTAAATCTCTAGGAGAAGAAAGTCAGATAACTGGGCCTAGTGTTAGCGTAGGAGGCACTTCCTAAAAGCTACATATTAGGAAGAAGGGAAAATATGTGTTATTGGAATAGTGGGTATGGAGTGGGCTTTCATCTGAATGTATCTGCACCTGCTGGTATTCTCAGATGCAACATTCAACTGCAAGAGCCCAGTGAAGAAACACGGCACTCCCAAATCTCCTGTAAGTTTTTGTCTTCATTTTGGTTCCACTAATGAAGTGAATCTGGAGCTTCAGAGAAGGGGCTCCCTTCTGTGTCATTGAATCCTTGCTCTGGGTCTCCTTGCAGAGTTCAATAGGTTTAGTAAGGCTAATCAGTTGTTTCAAGAGATGTGTATCCTTATGAGAGTTGTGTGTTTTAACCAATCTAGTAGGTGAGTAATGGGATCTAATTTTTATTTAAATGCACATGTCCCTCAAAGAGTTCATATTTAACAATTTTCCAATAACTTTTGTTGAGATGCCTCTCCTGATATTTGGTTCATTTTAACTGCATTGCTTTGTTTTGATTCATTGTAAGTTTACTTGCATATTGTTTATAAAAGTCATTTAACAAATTAAAAGAATTCATTTAACAAATATGTGACTTGGAAGTATTTTTTCCAAGTCTGTGGCTGTCTTTACTCCCTTATCCGTGTGTATTGCAGAAACATACGTGTGTGTGTGCATGTGCCTGTGTGTGTATGTGTGTGTTTGTACAAATTTAGATTCAAAAACATGTAAAATTGTATTCATTCATAGATGATGTTTTTGGCATTATATCTGAAGTCTCATTATAGAATACCAAATAGTGGTTATTTTTTCCATGTGTCTAAGCTCAGGCCACAATCAACTCATGAGTGTTTAAACTTCACCTACTTGATTGGAGGACTATTCACCTCAGATATTTGGAATACTTCTGTAAGGAGATGTGTTCGTCTTCCCAATATTTATTTTCATAATCATCTATTAATATGTGTATTGGTTTATGAATATATATTTCATACTCTGAAGAAGATCCATGCTATATTACTCATTTTATCGTTCAAATCACCACAGCTTTATTAGGTCCTGGGAGCTCATTTAGTTTGGATCCTGTATCCTTACAGTGCACCTCATCCTTTTGTTTTTGAACACTTCCCTGTTTCCTTGTATTACAACAAATTCTAAGTTCATTTTCTATATTACCTCTTTTGTACATAGAATTAGCCATTTTTCTAAAGCTTGCTTGTTTCTAACGTTAACGAATAGCAGTAAAATAAAAAAATTGTGATACCGTGTATAATTACTTCTAGGACCTCTCAACCTACTGGCCTAGCAGACGTGCATGTTTATATGAACCCATGTTTATGGACGCATCAAAACTACTTATGTACTTAATCTTCTGTAACTTTATTATATTAAAAATGAGAACACACTGGTCTCCTGACCCAACTATGCTACCACGTGGACCTTTCTAGCCTTCCTTCCTTGACTGTCCATAACCATCCACTTTAAAGTGAGGAATCCTATCCCACCAATTGCCTTATTATTACCTGGTTGCACAATTTTAGGACACATGCATAGCGGTATCAGAAATGTAAAGCTCATTGGAAATATGTTTATCTACTAGAATAGAGTGCTATGTGTAGTTTCTTTACATTTTAAACATACAGAATTTCCTCATTTTCAAAGTTAATTAGACTAGCAACTTCATTTTCTACTTTCTTCAGTGAAGTCATTTCAATTACACCATATAATATCATTTATTTGAAATTTGGTATAAACCAAAACTATAGTCAAGTAAACAGATAGAGGATATTCAAGGAATTTAGAGAATGAGTATTAAATAAGTAAAAATGGCACTGTTTAAGAATAATAAAATTATTTTTAGTGCTATAAAATGGTTGAGACACGATGCAGTTAATTTGTCTAAGCTCATAATTGTGTGATGGAAAATATAAACCTAAATATATACAATTTTTGTAAAAAGTATTTAGCAGTTCATTAAACCAAGGATTAAATGCAGACTGTATAAAGTTATCTAATAACTTATTTGGTGAGGGTGGGGATATCATGAGATGCATGCAAAAAAGAATGAAGTAACTTTCCTCATTTGCATATAAGATGTTACCATTCACTAAAGACCTTTAATTTAAAAAAATCAATTTTCATTGTGACCCAGGTTTTTTCTTCCTGACAAGCAAATAACCCAGATAATTCTTTTCTTTCCTTGGTTGATAAAGATTTTCCCCAAACTTCAGCTCAGTTCAGGCACACACTGTCCCTGAATGGGCATTTACCCACAGATGGGTACACACACCTGTCAACATGGGGACTCTTTCGTCAGACAAACACACCTTTACTCACGTGGATTCTTCCCTCAGACAAACACATATGTCCCCACATGGACTCTTTCCTCAGACCACCACGTATGTCCTTACATTTACTCTTTCCTCTGGTAATGACATTTCCTCATGTGGACTCTTGTCTCAGACAAACAAACATGTCTGCATGTGAACTCTTCACTCTGATAAGTACACATATTTCCACAGTGACTGTTTCCTGACACAAGCAGATATATCCAATGTTGAACTGTTTTATGGGAAAATGATCTCAAGATAATAATTATAAAATCCCTCCCTGACAAGGTGTAGATCTGCATTTTTTTATTGTACCTTAACTTTGCCTTATTGTCAAGAACAGTAGTTTGTAGCTCTAAATGCACCGATTAGAGATTGGTGTCCGTTTTCTCTGGAAATGTATTTTTAAGTTCTTACTGGATGTATTTTTTTGATAATGTTTGCTACTGTGAAGATACCTGAACAGGGTCCACACTAGAAAATAAAAAAGACTAATCAGCAGATTAACCCTGTGCATCCAGACCCACGAGTCCTTTGACCCTGCCCCCCTGAAATGGAGACACAGAGGACGGATGAGCAATGCCGAGCGGTGCACCCAAGACCACTAAAAGAAAGACAAGGAAATGTGTCCCCTCCCCTCCTCATGAAAGGCAGCTCATCCCCTGTTCCTTCAGGCCCTGGCGAGGAGCCAACCCATGTCTCTTCCCTTCCTCGGTGTCCACACCGTGGGATCTGCACTGATTTGGGCTTCCCCTCTCATCACCCTCAATATTAGTGTCCCTTGTGAATCAGGTCCAGGTGCGGCTGCTCCACATGGAGCTGTTCTTCCATTTCCTCAGTGTTTGCAGAAGTCCTGTGTGAAATTTATTGATGGAGTCAGAGGAGGAAAAATTGTACACCCAGTGGTTCACTGAGACTCTCATGCAAGGCCTCTGATTTCACCTTTACTGGCTACAGCAATGAGCTTGGTCCAGCCAGCTTCACGACAGGGATTTGTGTAGGTGGAAACAGTGAGTGATCAAGTGGGAGTTCTCAGAGTTACTCTCCATAAGTACAAATAAATTAACAGTCCCAAGCGACACCTTTTAATGTGCAGTCTACCTTAAAGGGACCAAACTGAAAGTCAAGGACAAGGCCTTGTAATACTGTGAGAGACACAGGAGAGGGAATATCTGTGTGAGCCCCAACAGAAAAATCTCTGCAGGAAGACAGGAGGGAGCTGCATGGTAGATGCTCCTCAGAACCACCAGGGCACCTTGAGGACAACCTGGGGGCACTCAGAACCACCAGGGTGTGCTTAGGACCATGGTGTGCTCAGGATATTAGGGGGTGCTCAGGATCATGAGGGGGTGCTCATGACACCAGGGGGCACTCAGAATCACAAGGGGACACTCAGGACACGAGGGTTTGCCCAGGACCACCAGCAGGCACTCAGGTCACCAGGGGGTGTTCAGGACCACCAGGGGGCGCTCAGGACACCAGGGGGCGCTCAGAACCACCAGGGGGTGCTCAGGACACGGGGGGGGGGCGCTCAAACCACCAGGGGGCGCTCAGAAGCATCAGGGGTGCTCAGGATATCACAGTGCCCTCAGTACCACGAGGGGGCGCTCATGACACCAGGGGCACTCAGAACCACCAGGGGGTGCTCAGTACACGGGGGTTCTCAGGAAGCAGCTCCAAATCAGGAGCCTGAGAAGCTGTGATTTTCTTTTAAACCTTGGTGATTCCCGACCTGGTCAAGCAAAAGTCTTCCCCAGGATCTCTCACCATTTCTTCCTTGTAAATCCATGATTACTTTTACCTACAAAACATTAACTTAGAACAGGAATTTAATTCAACTTTTAATGCTGCATATTTTCCAAGTAATACTAGCAATGATCTCTCAGGACAATTTTTAAAATAGGTTATTTATATATTCTCTTGATTAAAAATAATACTATTATTAAAATAGTAAAATTATAAAAATCACACCTGTAATCCCAGAACTTTGGGAGGCTAAGGCAGGCAGATCACTTGAGCTCAGGACTTTTAGAACAGCCTGGCAGCACAGTGAGGTCTTTTCTATACAAAAATAATAATAATAAATACCTGGGTATGGTTCCACCTGTGGTAGCAGCTACTTGAAAGGCTGAGGTGGGAGGATCCCTTAAGCCTGGGAGGTTAATGATGCAGTGAGCTGTGATTGTGCCACTGCACTCCAGTCTCGTTGACAGAGTGAGACCCTATTTAAAGAAAATGTATATCCTCAATATAAACTGTTTCAATGATTAGAGTTTTGTATTTTTGTGCTGTAATAGTCAAACAATTGTACATGTTTTTTAACATTAACTCAGCGTATACATGGCATTTTGTTTCTTTTTCTTTCATCTGCTGTTTTTGGAAATTAAACACGACTTTAAATGCTCTTGTTCTCCATTTTGGTTGGCTTCAGGTGTCCTGTTTTTCAGACTGTTTCTCCATCTTCCCTTTTTCTTTGAAAGTATTTTACCTTCCTCAGTCTCCATGAAGGAAAAAGAAAGTCACTTTACTTTCTGACCTCCAAGTCTGGTGAATCAGTTCCCTTGTCTTCATAATCACTGAAGCCAACCAAGTTTAGAGGATAATGGCTCTCCTTAGAATATGCTCATCTACCTGCAGACTCTGCCCTACTCACCCTTTTCCAGGGTCCTGCAGTCCATCCCCTCATTTCCCTAAGTACCACAGAGTGGGCTCTGCAGCTCCTGCTGCCCTCTGTGTGTTCAGCCCTGGGGCTCATTATGTTTTGATGATGAAGTCCAAATCCCCATGTGCTTGGACCCTCTGAGACCACCCTCTAGGAAGATGCCATTGTGAGTGAGCCCTGAAAATAATGGGCTGTGTTCAGTTTCATTATCCTGGATGTTCTCTATCATAAAGGAATATTGACAAATAAATACTAGAGTTTGTATTGA